>NC_000001.11:182881556-183184587 GCF_000001405.40 Homo sapiens | reverse complement strand
TCCAAGGCTTGATTCTCTTCTACTCTGCCCAGGATTCAAACAAATTACACAAATATTCTTCTCTCTCAAAACTCAGAGTCTCCAGCTACAGCTAAGGTTTCAGTTCACAGAGACGGTATTTAGAATTTTCCCTTCTAGTCGCTGGTGCCTTGTGGAGGCTGAGGTCCTGTCCCTGAGTCCCATCTTTGTTGTGCAATTCACCACGGTCCTGCAGGAACAAGGAACAGGGCCCTACAAAATAAAGTCTTGAAGGAAGATTTCATTTTAGTGCAGATTGCTATAGTTTATTATATGTTAAAAGTTGGAACAGATGTTTTCATCTAGCATCATTTTGGGACAGTGATAATAGCAATACAAACACATAAGTAATGCTTACTATTTGCCAGTCGCTGTTGTAAATCCATTATCTCATTAAACTTTTAATCTTTAAAACAACTTTATGAATTAGGTGTACTGTTAATTTCCCCATTTTACAGACAAGAAAACACAGGCATGCGAAAGTCAGGTAACATGCTCAAAGTCACACTGCTAGTAAGTTGCAAAGCCAAGGTTCAAAACCAGGCCATATGACTCCACAATCCATTAGCTCTTTGTTACGTCAGATTAAAAAGTACCATAAAAAACAAAGACAAATTCACAACACTGAATGAATTCAACATGCAATCAAAAGTTATTTATCAATGACCATTATAACCTAGCCAGATTGTAGACTATTGGCCTACATCGATAAATTCAAGTCACAAAAGACTCTGAACAAATATTTCTAATTTTTCCCAAGATGTTAGTTCTGGAAGGACTGCCAGAGGTCATCTGGACCAGGGGCAGCAAATGGGCACAGGCCCCTGGGCACCAGACCCACCAGCAGCCTCTTTTATGTGAACAGTGCAGGATTTAAAACATATTTTTAAAATGTAAACGCCTTAAGGCAGGCACTCCCCAACTTTTCTCAGTTCCCACCTCTTCACATTGCCTTATTCTGGGCTTCTCCACACATCCAAACAACTGTCTGGCTCAGGCTTGACGCCCCTGCTCTGGCCTCATCCCTTACCTTGCTCAGGGACAATATCGACCCCTTTTACCAATCTGAGAATTCTTCTCTAGTGCATTCCTGAGGTTAAGAGAGTTCTAGTGGCCAAAAGTTGAGGCTTAGGCAGGTTCCCAGGGCCAAATCCTGGCTTCTATTCATCAAAGCAGTTACTTTGCTTTCTGTGATCCTTAGTTTCTTAATCTATAAAATGGAGATAATATTAAAACACTTACCTAGTAGGGTTATTAGAGTTAATGAATTATCTAGGGCTCAGAACAGCACCAGGCACATAATATGTACTATACAGATATAGCCATAATAAGAACAATAATTATTGTTTTAAAAATTATTATTATCTCTGAGTGAGCACTAATCATTTTTCTGTTGTTAAAATTACTAACAAACACCATATGAGAAAGATGAAATTTTTGCTTCAATCCATCTAATTAATTATTGAATCATTATTTTACAATTTTGTGGAACTCTTGGCCTAATCCAGGTTCATGCCCGTATTACCAATAATTACTTGGATGCTATTAATTATTTCATATTTTTGCTGCATATCTGGAAATTTCCTTCACATACAGATTTTCTTACCAAATGTTTCAATTTTTTTTTTTTTTTTTTGAGATGGAGTCTCACTCTGTCACCTAGGCCGAAGTGCAGTGGCACAGTCTCAGCTCACTGCAACCTCCACCTCCTGGGTTCAACCGATTCTCCTGCCTAAGCCTTCTGAGTAGCTGGGATTGGTGGCAGGTGCCACCATACGTGGCTAATTTTTGTGTTTTTTAATAGAGATGGGATTTCACCATGTTAGCCAGGCTGGTCTTGGACTCCTGACCTCAAGTGATCCTCCCGCCTCAGCCTCCCAAAGTGCTGGGATTACAGGCCTGAACCACTGTGCCCAGCCTGTTTCAAAATTTGTGAAACAGAGCAAGACTCTGTCTCAAAAAAAAAAAAATTGTGAATTTAAAACTTCACTTTCAGACAGGTAGGGATCTTACATTTCAAGGAAAAGGTAAAGGTAAAGATTTAAATGTATTCTTAGGATTACCTTTAATTAACACATGGCTTTTCAAAAAAGCAAAAACAAAAATCTATTTGCTTTTCCATATGGCCCAAATAAATATATATTTTTTCAAATCCAGACAAAAGTCAACTTAATACTACTCAGTAACAAAAAGGAATAAACTACTGATACATACACAGCATGGGTGAATCTCAAAGCATTGTGCTAAAACAAGCCAGGCACAAGAGCCCAGATACTACGTGATTCCATTTAAATGAATTCTAGAAAAGGTAAAACTACAAAGCAAGAAAGCAGATCAGTGGTTGCCAGGGACAGGGACTGACTGCAATGGGCCATGAGGATACTTCTGGAGGATGAAAGAAATATTACTGTGGTCAAAAGTAATCAATTGCTGGTGAGGCTCAGTGGCTCACACCTGTAATCCAGCACTTTGGAGGCTGAGGTGAGCAGATCACCTGAGGTTAGGAGTTTGAGACCAGCCTGGCCAACATGGTAAAATCCCATCTCTACTAAAAATACAAAAATTAGCCGGGACTGGTGGTGCACACCTGTAATCCCTGCTACTTGGGAGGCTGAGGCAGGAGAATCGTTTGAATCCGGGAGGCGGAGGTTGCAGTGAGCCGAGATCATGCCACTGCATTCTAGCCTGAGCGACAGAAAGAGACTCTGTATCAAAAAAAAAAAAAGAAAGAAAAAAGGCCAGGTGTGGTGGCTCACACCTGTAATCCCAGCACTTTGGGAGGCTGAGGCGCATGGATCACGAGGTCAGGAGATCGAGACCAACCTGGCTAACACGGTGAAACCCCGTCTCTACTAAAAAAAAAATACAAAAAAATTAGCCAGCCATGGTGGCAGGCGCCTGTAGTCCCAGCTACTTGGGAGGCTGAGGCAGGAGAATGCCATGAACCCAGGAGGCGGAACTTGCAGTGAGCCGAGATCGATCGTGCCACTGCACTCCAGCCTGGCCGACAGAGCGAGACTCTGTCTCCAAAAGAAAAAAAAACACAAAAAAAAACTCTATTGTACACTTAAAATTGGATTGTATACAAAATGTCTCAATAAACTGATATAAAAAAGAGAAAATCTCAAAAGAATATATTTCATAATTCAGATACTTTAATTCAAATGTGCAACCTCAAAGCAACCACTGGAAACATACCAGTGTTTGCATAAGTTGTGTGATAAAACCAGGCCTGACAAAACCATCTCTGCTGGTTTGGATCAGCACTAAGTGGCCAGCTCAGACCTTTGGGCAGAGACATCACCCAAGCATTGCAGGAGGAGCCCTCTTCTGGAAACCTGTTTTGGCAATTTACAAAAAGTAAAAGATGCTTTTTGAAATGTTTGCATAGGAGCATGAATTTTAAACCCATCTCAGACTTTTGTTCTAGAAAGTGAGCGCTTGAATTTTCATCTGATCCTCCCCAAATTTGTCCATTTAGAGTGTAACTCCTTGTGTTGGTGAGGATAATGCTCTACGTAGAAGTTCTCCAACCACAGAGCGGAAAAGGACTGGGGCATTCCCACCGGGTGTGGCCAGGAAGGCTGAGGCCCTGGAAGTCCCCTTTGTTCATTGTTGCTTTTGCAGCTCACAGTCATCACCCAGGGGACTTTTCTTTCTACAGTGCTGTATAAATCATTTCACAGAATGGTCATCTCCCCACCCAACCCCCCAAATAGAATTATAAGTAACATGTTGATTTTTCCCTTGAGTTCCATCATTACCTTAGTTTACTTTCAGAAGGAATGTCTGGCATGTCATCCTCTTTCAAACTCACTTATGATAAAAACTGAAGTACTGGCTGTTAACATGCCAGCAATGGACAGGGCTGTTGGTCCCAGTTCCCTGCCTTTTAAAAAATCTCCCCAGATAGTTCTAATTATGTCAGCATTCACATTACAATTTTAAATGTAAAATATAGCAATCAGGAAAAAAAAATTTTTTTAACTCCCCTTTGTTCTTAATTGGTAAAGGAAAATGTCCATAAATGGAAATGGTTCAGTGTTTCCTGGATCGTCTGGGTAAATTCTCTGAGGCTGGCCAGACTCCAGAAAACAATGTTCTCTGAAGCAAAACCCTGGCTGAAGTGGCAAGCTTCCATTTTATGCAGAAACATATGTGGTGTGCCCACAGCTAGTTTTCAGGGAGCGGTAGAGGCCAGACCAGAACTGAAGTAATGCCGTTTATTTATTAAAGGGACATGATCCTTTTTCTGTGGTTGGCTGATGGTACACCTGGGCCAGAGATGTGGTGGGAAATCAACACATGAAGAAGAACTTCATTTGCATCTTTTTTGGTGTAGCTATTATAGACAGAAATATTCAAATCAATTAATAGTTAAACAATACAAAAAAATGAGGCTGGATGTGGTGGCTGACGCTTGTAATCTCAGCACTTTGGGAGGCCAAGGTGGGTGGATCAGTTGAGATCAGGAGTTTGAGACCAGCCTGGCCAACACAATGAAACTCCGTCTCTACTAAAAATAAAAAAATAAAAAATAAATAACCCAGGCGTGGTGGCATGCACCTGTAGTCCCATCTACCTGGGAGGCTAAGGCAGGAGAATCACTTGAACCTAGGAGGCAGAGGTTACAGTGAGCCGAGATCACGCCACTACACTCCAACCTGGGCGACAGAGCGAGACTCCATCTCAGACAAAAAAAAAAAAAAAAATTGGGAAGGAGCACAGAGAAGAGGGGCATAAGCTGATAGAAAGCAAAATAGACACAGAAAAAAATCAGAACAAAACAGAGGACAAAAGATTCTGAGAGAGGGACATTTAGTAGATTTCAAGGCTGTGTCAGTTGTTGTGTTCCCTTAAACTGAAATTTGGGCATCCGTGCATCTGTGAAATGTTGATTAGTAGATGAAACATTGCCCATGGTTCCTCAACCATGCTTATGCTTGGACCATAGATATTCGAATTTGAATGAGAGGCAAAGGAGACCACTGCAGTGAAAATCTTGTCTCCATTGCAGTGGTGGGGGCCAGGGCTGTATCACATGCAGCCTTGACAAGATAAACTAGAAATGAGAGGTGGCTACCCTTAGATCAGAGATCCTACCTTTGCCTTTGTAAGGAAGAAATGAATTCAGGAAACAGTGTTTCTAAATGTATTTCTAAATTTAAATCTGAATTTTTCCACCTTTAATAATTTAAATTACAAAGTCTGAAAAACTCTATAGCATTTAGAAACCTGTCCTCTGCCTTTAAATGGGAAACTTTGGGTGTGTTTTCAATGTCTGATAATAATCTTGACAATTACAATACTAATAGCCAAACTGTAGTGAATATTCTGCATACGCCCAGCTCAGTGATGAGAGCCTTTATAGGGATTATGGAGTTCACTGTTCACCACCATCCCATGAAGCAGGTGTTATTATTATCCTCATTTTGAGGTTACCCAGGCTCCCACACAAATCCACACCGATACCTCTCTCTAGAATTATTATTCAACTACAATATAAAAACAAATTAAGCCACTCACTGAACAAATACGCTCTATAATTTAAAAAATCTTTCATAAAATATGACATGCCTGTTCCTTATAACATACACTGTATGTTCTATAGTCACCCCTCTGCAGCAGGTAAGCAATAAACAAGGTTTGGCTATTAGGGGTGCATTTTCCTTGTCATATTACCTTTGTTATTCTTCAGCATATGACAGCTTCGATTCTTATGCAACATCCTTTTATGTCATCCAATCAGATCTTGCATGGTTTTCTGTTGGTCTGATACCTTAATCCAGATATAAGAGTACGTTATTAAGTAATTCGATTCTTGAACGCCTTAGAACAACTGGAAGTTATTTTCGGCATAGTGATAATAGTCTGAGCTTGTGCAAGAGCTCAAGAATTTAGTAGCTATATCTCCGAACTCAGCTTTTCTAGGGCTGGGTTACACAGAAATCCCCAAACATTCCTGGGTGGTTCTTTTGCAGGAAACTTGCAGATTGGTTATTCCACTGCGCTCTAATGATGGAGAGAGCTACAAATAATCACAGAAAAATCTAGAGACCTTCCTCACTAACCTAAAAATTTCTCATAGTCTCAATATGTTTATTTAGATTAAGTAGGAAAATTAATTCAGTGATTCAGACAACTTAAACCAAAATGACACATTTGCCTCACCACCTGGCTGTTTTAGGTGAATTTATTTTAGGCCTGAATTATTTGGACAACTATTTCAGTGCTCTGTTTTTTATTATATGAATACAAAGTAAAACAAGGTTTAATTGTCATTGCTTTATCAAATTAACTAATGCCTTTGCTATTTTCTTTTCTCAGGGTCCTCTATTAATACAACCCTTATAATTTACTTCGAAAATTTCAGCTTAAGCAGAATATGGCTAAGTGGTTTTGCAACAAAATTGTTTATATGGAATTGAATACATCTATGTGCCTCAGGTAAACATAAAGTGGTGTGAAAGGAAAATAAATCATGGGACCCCCAAATCACTAAGCCAAAGGGAAGAGTCAAGCTGGGGACTGCATTACACAAACCTGCCTCCCATTTTGTTTCTAAATAAGATAGTTACAAAGATAAAAAAGCTACACACCTCTCTCACAATTTGCCCACTAGGAAATTCCTTGTGGGCCCCAAGATCAAGTTCTGTTGAATTTCACCCTGACAAGGTAAACTGATAGCTTATCTTTATGGGTACGGGACAAAGGACAGAACTTAAAGTTATCCCTCTACTCACCTGAGACAAATGTATATCTGATCACTTCCTCTGCCCTGTATTTTATCTTATGTAAAAATGCTGATTCGCTGAGCTAAAGGAATACATAAGTGACTATTCCTTTACCCACCCTTACATGTGAATGGCTAATCGAAGACTCAAAAGAATGCAACCGTTGGCCTCTTATCTATATACACCTTCAAAACATTCCTTCCTTTTTTCCTAATATCCGCCCTTTCCCCTTTAAATATTGAAGTTCTCAAAATCATTTTTGGAGAAAGGCATAGGTCTGTCTTCCAGGTGTAAGATGCCCTTAACTTTGGCTTCTAAACTTCTAAATTGATTGAGATTTGTCTAAGATACTTTTTGGTTTACAGTGGATTACACTTATGCTAAAAATTCTACACACACATGGATATGTATTACTTGAACTCTAGGTAGAAAATCTCCTTTTAAGAAAGATTTTGGGGGCTTTGGTTGATTCGGTTTTTTTGAGATGGAGTCTCACTCTGTTGCCCAGGCTGGAGTGCAGTGGTGTGATCTCGGCTTAGCTGGGACTACAGGTGCCCGCCACCACGTCCGGCTAATGTTTTGTATTTTTAGTAGAGATGGAGTTTCCCCGTGTTAGCCAGGGTGGTCTCGATCTCCTGATCTCAGGTGATGCGCCTGCCTCGGCCTCCCAAAGTGCTGGGATTACAGGCGTGAGCCACCGCGCCTAGCCAGTTGATTTGGTTTTTAGATTTTAATCTTGCACTCTCTCTCTCTCTCTCTCTCTCTCTCTATATATATATATATATATATATTTTTTTTTTTTTTTTTTTTGAGTTGGAGTCTTGCTCTGTCACCTAGGCTGGAGTGCAGTGGCGTGATCTCGGCTCACTGTAACCTCCGCCTCCCAGGTTCAAGCGATTCTTCTGCCTCAGCCTCCTGAGTAGCTGAGACTACAGGCGTGTGTGTCCAGCTAATTTTTTGTATTTTTAGTAGAGACGCGGTTTCACCATATTTGCCAGGATAATCTCGATCTCTGGACCTCATGATCTGCCCGCCTTGGCCTCCCAAAGTTCTGGGATTACAGGTGTGAGCCAACGCACCCAGCCTATTATCTTTTAAAAGGGGTGGGGCAGGGGGCGGCAATTCTAAATCTTTGGACCGTTTGAGGCCTGATGTAAAACCCATGTTAGAAGAAACTGTCTCATTGTTATCTGCGTGTTAATCTTTCTTGCTGGAAATTTCTGAAGAATTTTTATTAACTTGATAAATACATTTATTTTAATAAATATTATTTTAATGAACTTCCTCTTAGAACCAGATCTTGTCTAATCAGTCAACCACATTGTTGATTTTTCTTCTGGAATACAGACAGAGCTGAAACAGTGATAACAGAAAATGCCATGTTGATTCAGACCAATGTACCCTTACACCGAACCAAGCTGTATCTGACAGAAGCACCAGTGGATGTTTTGGGAGTGGGTTGCTCTCATTACACCAACTTCAGTGTTTAGGAAAACAGTCTAAAAGATCCTCATATTTTCTAATTCACATGCTATGGAATTATCATCCACAAATTTAACCAACTCTTTTAAATATTTTTAAAATATATTTTCTAGGTGTTGTTGGTCTGATAAATAAAATCAACTTTTATTATATTATTAATACAAGGACCTCACAATTGTTACTGGTTTTAGTGCTTTAGGATTTGCTAATCCTTTTTTCCAATCTCTTAAGGTTTTGTTAACTTTATCTATATGTTTCTTTGCCTTTCTGGCTGAAAAATCCTTTTAGACTCTTCTAGTAGCCTGTCCTGGCGATGATTTTTGTTTACTTTCCTTAGGAAGTTTCTAAGCTTTCCCATGTGTCTTGACAAAGAAAGATCAGATTGTAAAAATTTCTCACATTTGAATACACTTGTATACTGGGGCATAACTCTTTCTGATGGGGGTTGGGGGGAGTTCCAGACAGGTCACCTAGTATGATTAAGCCCAGTGCTGGCACCTGGCACAGGACAGTTCAGAGAGTGGGATTGGCAGAGCACTGAAATTCAGCACAGAGTTTCCCTTGCCATGCCATGCACCCTGGCACAGGCCTGCGTGCATCTAGAGGAAGGAAAACTTTTCTCTAATTGCTCTGCTTAGAGAGGCTCTCTTAACTTAATTTAATTTTTTATTTTTGTGGGTCCATACTAGGTATATATATTTATGAGGTACATGAGATACTTTGATACAGGCATGCAATGCGTAATAATCATGTCCTGGAAAATGAGGTATCCATCCCCTTAAACATTTGTCCTTTGTGTTACAAACAATTCAGTTATACTCTTTTATTTTTATTTTTTAATTTATTATTATTATTATTATTTTTTGAGACAAAGTCTTGCTCTGTCACCAGGCTGGAGTGCAGTGGTGTGATCTCAGCTCACTGCAACCTCCACCTCCTGGGTTCAAGGGATTCTCCTGCCTCAGCCTCCCAAGTAGCTGGGACTACAGGCGTGTGTCACCACACCAGGCTAATTTTTTGTATTTTTAGTAGAGATGGGGTTTCACCTTGTTGGCCAGGATGGTCTCGATCTCTTGACCTCATGATCCGCCCACCTCAGCCTCCCAAAGTCCTGGGATTACAGGTGTGAGGCACCACACCCGGCCACAGCTTTTTTTTTGTTTTTTTTTTTGTATCCATTAAACCTCCCCACTTTTCCTCCACCTCCTGCTACCCTTCCCAGCCTCTGGTAACCAATCTTCCACTCCCTATCTCCATGAGTTCAATTGTTTTGATTTTTAGCTCCTACAAATAAGTGAGAACGTGCGAAGTTTGCCTTTCTGTGCCTGGCTGATTTCACTTAACATATGACCTCCAGTTTCATCCATGTTGTTGTAGATGACAGGATCTCATTCTTTTTTATAGCTGAATAGTACTCCATTGTGTATATGTGCCACATTCTCTTTATCCATTCATTTGTTGATGAACACTTAGGTTGCTTCCAAATCTTGGCTATTGTGAACAGTGCTGCAAAAAACATGGGAGTGCAGATATTTCTTTGAAATACTGATTTCCTTTATTTCGGGGTATATATCTAGCAGTAGGATTTCTGGGTCATATGGTAGCTGTATTTTTAGTTTTTTGAGAAGCCCAAGAAGCACCTTTTTGCTAGCCTTCTGCCTGGAGGGGTCACATTTTCTATTTGCACCAAAGTGTCTGCTGAGCTTGCCATGGCCCTCCTCCTCAGCCATCAGCAGCAAATGAAAACCAAAGGATCAGTCTACATGACTTCTTGGTATGAAGCTGATAATTCAGATCCCATCATTTAATAATTCTAATTTGGATTGTTTTTAATATAATAAGACCAGTTTTCATTGAATTTCATATTTCACCTTTCTGCTTACTCCAGTTTTTATGACCTTTTCCAAAAGGTTTCTTTTTCTCTGCACTGATTTCATATTCAGCATCAACTTCAGTGAAATACCATCTGGAAGATTAAACCATGTATTACGTGTTCTAGGTAATTTGCAGTCATTGTAGAAAACATTGCTTACTATACCAATCTTTGGGGGATATCTCTTCCAGCACATTTTCCTCCATCCAAAAAAACAACCGCCTTTTTTCTCTAAGCAGTTCCGTATGTATAGCAAAATACTACCTCTAGTTCTGGGGTACTTAAAATTTTTAAATAATTTCTGGTGTGGAATCTTAGTAACTTTTTTGAATGTCTAAACAAATGACTGTTGTTCTATCTTATATGTAAATTTATTTATGCTCCCAAAGAGCCATTCTAGTGTGATCCTGTCTCCAGGAAACCATGCTTCCGTTTCCAGAGTAAGTTGCTTGCCTATGTTTATGAGAGATTCTATCAGCCTAACTCCCTATCTGTATAGCGGAGTTAGACAGATTCTCAGGCAGCTCTATCCAGTGAAAATTTCTGCAATGATGCAAATGTTCTATATTTTTGCTCCATAATAGGGTAGCCACCAGCCACATGTGTAATGTGAGTGAGGAGCTGAATTTTTAATTAATTAAATTTTAATTTTAATAGCCACTTGTGGCTAGTGACTACTGTATTGGACACTACAGGTCCAAGGCCTTCTCTGGAACCCTTTTCATGAATGGACATCACACTAGTCCCTCCTTCACAGTGATTGCTTGTAACAAAATACTGCTTCTTCTTGTCAGCAGTCCCACAGTTTCTCCCCCAAGTTCTTGTGAAATTATCTTACGTGTTACATAAATTCTTCTGACCCTGAATTTTCACTAGCAAATATTACAGGGTTTGTTTGTTTTTTTTAAATAGGGTCTCGCTCTGTCATCCAGGCTGGAGTGCAGTGGAGTGATCACAGCTCACTGTAGCCTCAGCCTCCTAGTTTTAGGTGATTCTCCCTCCTCAGCCTCCCAGATAGCTGGAACTACAGGTGCACGCCGCCACACCCAGCTAATTTTTGTATTTTTTGTAGAGATGAGGTTTCGCTATGTTGCCCAGGGTAGTCTCAAACTTCTAAGCTCAAGTGATCTGCCCACCTCGGCCTCCCAAAAGTGGTGGGAATACAGGTGTGAGTCACCGTGCTCAGCCAAATATCAGTTTTACGTTAATAAACCCCCGTAAACTAGATGCCTAGAACTTGGGAGTAAGTCCTTTGCTCTTTTAGTTTTACCTTCATGAGACTGACATTTGGAAAGTTGTGCATATTTTTGTTTCCACAATTGCAGGGCATTCACACTTGTCTAGGAAAGTTGTGCATATTTTTGTTTCCACAATTGCAGGGCATTCACACTTGTCTAGGAAAGTTGCTATATTTGAAGGGCATCCTGTGAAAAATGAAATGATTACAGTTTGTAAAATGTGTATCAGAAAAATGTGTTTAAATTTGCTTTCTAGTACATTCTTGAAAACTTAGTTATTATAATCATCTACAAATGGAATTTACCTACAAAAATGATCATCACAATTGCAGGTTTCGAAAGTATATAATCTTTTTAAAGAAAATAATATGATACAGGAAAGAGAAAAAAGTGCTTATAACCTGCCTTTTTTGGTGACTGTAGGCTAAATTATTTATATTAAAATTCTTTATAGTAAATTCTTTATATTAAAGTCTAACAGTAAAGTATTTTGCTGTGCTCATTCTTTTATTTCTTTGTCCAATGAATTTCTTGGATTATCTGCTATAAGCCAGCATTGTGGTAGACATTTGATAAATAATACAGTGCCACCCTACATAATCTATGGAAAAGGATGATAAGTCCTAGGCAAGAAGGGAACCAAAGGAAAAAATATGATTATGAGGTACAGTTTCAAGGCTTTTCCTGATAGAGTAAGTTTCATTGCAAGAGAACAATGAATTAACCACTTCAATCTTTCTTTCTTTTTTCTTTTCTTAAGACAGGGTCTCATTCTATCAGCCAAGCTGGAGTGCAGTAGCATGATCTCTGTTTACTGCAGCCTCAAACTTCCAGACTCAAGCAATCCTCCCACCTCAGCATCCCAGGCAGCTGGCACTACAGGCGCACACCATGAAGCCCAACTAATTTTTTAATTTTTTGTAGAGATGGGGTTTCACCATGTTGCGCAGGCTGGTCTCAAACTCCTGTGCTCAAGCAATCCACATGCCTTGGCCTCCCAAAGTGCTGGGATTACAGGCATGAGCCATTGTTTCCAGCCCCACTTTGATCTTTCTAATAAATGACTACTCAACTGTTAAGACTATAAATCAGCTTGATGAATAGTAAGGGATCTTAAATATTACTGTCTTTGGTATGCTGGGGACAGTTGGGCTTGTCAGAGAGTCCGTAGGCTGGGGACTCTTTCAATGGTACCCATTTTCTCATCTTCCTCAGAATAAAACCCAAAGTCATTCTGTGTCCTCTCAGGTCATATGTGATATGCCCTGCCCCACCTTTCCAACTCATCCTCTGCAGTTCTCTCTCCTCATCCTATCTGCTCCAGCCACTCTGGTCCCTCTGCTGTTTTCCAGACAATGAAGCAAACTCCACCTCCAAGCTCATCCCCACCTGAGGGTGCCTACAATCACATGCCACCTCCCACTCCTGCTTAGTTAGCCTCTATTCCTTTCCTTTGCTTTATGTTTTTTCTTATTACTTATCACCTCCTAACATAAGATTCATTATTTATTATTTGTCTCCCCCTATAGAATGTAAGTTTCATGATGGCAGGGACTTTGCATTATAGCAAGGCATGGAACAGTGCCTGCCTCTTAATAAGCCCTCAGTAATATCTTTTTGAATGAATAAATGATACATGTTTTGTACTTATTTTACAAGGTTGAATCACTCACCTTTCTATATCTAAGTTTAAACATTAGTATGAAGAGAGAAGTTATAACTTATTAAATTACCCCTTAAGGCTAGGCACGGTGGGTCACACCTGTAATCCCAGCACTTTGGGAGGCCGTGGTGGGCAGATCACCTGAGGTTGGAGTTTGAGACCAGCCTGGCCAACATGGTGAAACCCTGTCTCTACTAAAAGTACAAAAATTAGCCAGGTGTGGTGGCACACGCCTGTAATTCCAGCTACTTGGGAGGCTGAGGCAGGAGAATCACTTGAACCCAGGGGGCGGAGGTTGCAGTGAGCTGAGATCATGCCACTTCACTCCAGCCTAGGCAAAAGAGTGAGACTCCATCTCAAAAAAAAAAAAAAAAAGAGGGAGAGAATGTTAGGAAGATAATTAATGTTATTCAGATTTGACCTGCTGGAGGACAAACCATTCTAAAACTCAATTTTTTTATTTTATTGAAATAATCCCAAACCATACATTCATACAACTAAAATTAATATATAAGAGAATGGCATACAACTATAATAGAAATTGTGTAAGAACCAGTGAACCTCAAAATGAGATAATGCTGCCGGGCACAGTGGCTCACGCCTGTAATTCTAGCACTTTGGGAGGACTAAGCGGGTGGAACACCTGAAGTCAGGAGTTTGAGACCCACCTGGCCAACATGGTGAAACCCCGTTTCTACTAAAAATACAAAAATTAGCTGGGCATGGTGCACATGCCTGTGGTTGCAGCTACTCAGGAGGCTGAGGCAGGAGAATCGCTTGAACTCAGGAGGTGGAAGTTGCAGTGAGCCAAGATTGCGCTACTGCACTCCAGCCTGAATGACAGAGCAAGACTCCAACTCAAAAAAAAAAAATAGATAATGCTTATGCTGTTGTTTATAAATCATTCCTTATGTTTAGAGTGTGAAGATTAAGAAGGGAAGAGACTTGCACATAGACCAAGGGTGTTAATGGAAGGCAGAAAGAAAGTTAAAATCTTCAATGCCTCTTTGCATTCAAGTTCTTGGTCTCATTGCAGGGGAAGTGTCCACCGACCCAGGCATTCCACAATTCCATAAATTAAGGGTCATTTGATCAAAACTTCTGCTACACTTTAAAGGTTTCTCCCCTCCAAAACTCATGTTGAAATGTAATTGCCATTGTAATGGTATTAAGAGGTATGACCCATAAGAGGTGATTAGGTATTAAACCACCTCCATGGGGTCTATTTAATTCCCTTTTTAAAAAGGGCTTTTAGGAGTAGGTTATCTTTCTTGGCTCTTTTGCTCTTCTGCCATTTGAGGAAAGGTGTTCCTCCCTTCTGGGGTATGCAGCATTTAAGGCGCCATCTTGGAAATGGTGACCCAGACCTTACCAGGCACCAAATCTACCAGCACCTTGACCTTGAACTTCCCAGCCTCCAGAACTGTGAGAAATAAATTTCTGTTGTTTATAAATTACCCCATTTCAGGTATCTGTTATAACTGCACAAAACAAACGAAGATATCTTCACTGTCCCCTGGGAGACCCACATTCACCAATTTAGGCAGTTAAAAAGAGTCAGGGTAGTTTTTATTCCCTATTTTTCACATTCTTTTTTTTTTTTTTTGTGATGGGAAGGAAATTTTATGGCAGCAGGTGTTAACTAACTCACTTCAGTGTTTGCAAACTTTGAAAGCCATAAACTTATTTTTAAACTTTCCATCAGCTGGGATGCATTTATCTGCAAGTAACAGAAATCTCAACTGAAAATGTTATTTATAGCTGGACGCGGTGGCTCACGCCTGTAATCCCAGCACTTTGGGAGGCCGAGGTGGGCGGATCACGAGGTGAGGAGATTGAGACCATCCAGGCTAACATGATGAAACCCCGTCTGTACTAAAAAATACAAAAAATTAGCCGGGCATGGTGGTGGGCACCTGTAGTCCCAGCTACTCGGGAGGCTGAGGCAGGAGAATGGTGCAAACCTGGGAGGCGGAGCTTGCAGTGAGCTAAGATCGCGCCACTGCACTCCAGCCTGGGTGACAGAGTGATACTCCGTCTCAGGAAAAAAAAAAAAAAAAATTGGTATTTATAATAAGCACATTTATAGGCTTACATACGGAAAATTCTGAGGATGAGTGGAAAATAGAGTTAAATTACCCTGTAGTTCAATAATATCATCAAGAATACAAGTTCTATGTTTCTCTTCCATCGTCCACTTCATCTGAAGGCTTGTTCCCCTCATAGTTGTAGACTGGGTGCCAGTAGCAATTAAGGTTGGATGCTTCCTTATTTTTGTAAACAGGAGAGATCATACCCTTCTCCCTCAAACTCCAAACAAAAATCTTTCCTGATTGAGCCTATCATATGCCATCTCCAAACCTGTAATTATCACCAGGAAAAGGCTTTATGCTGATTAGTTTAAGCCTGGGTATCTTAATCACTGGCAAAAGGGATGGCATACTTATGATTGGCTTAAGTCAGAGGTCAGAAAACTATAGATGCAGGCCAAATCCTGCTTGCCAGATGTTTGGGGGAAGTTTTATTAAAACACAGTTACGTCTTCCTCTAAATATTGTCTGTGGCTACTTTTACAACAATGGCAGAATTCAATAGCTCCAACAAAGACCATGAAGTCCCAAAAGCCTCTACTATTTGCTATCTGGCCCTTTACAGAAAAAGTTTGCCAAGCCCTGGTTTACCTTAACATGGGTCTACTTTGGACCTATGTTTAATCCCCCAAACTATGATACTGCTACCCAGAGAGGGAAAGTTTGGACTCGGTGTGGATCTCCTCCCATGTCAACCTAAGGTTGCTTTTTCTTTTGTTATTTCCTAAGCAAAGCTGAAAAAGAACTGAGCACACAAACTTCAGAATGAAAGCCTTTACTTTTGTAAGTCCATTGACTGATCTGCATTTCTCTCTTACAGAGTGATGAGTATCTGTTCCTGACATTGATCTGTGTTCCAGTCTTGGCTGTATGTTGTTTTGTTGCACTGATTTGAAGTTATTTGTTAATTCCATGGAACCGGACTACCCAAACCATCTGCCAGATCTTCAACCCACCAACAGTGTTAGATGGAATTCCCCAGAGTCCTGCTGCAGTCATAGAAGAAACATCATCCCTAAAACCAGGGCACTGCTTTGCAATGCCTGTCAGTCAGTCTCAGGCAGAATGGCTCCTCTCCACGTTTACATCAATGATTTTCTTTTCTTTTCTTTTCTTTTTTTTTGAGATGGATTCCTGCTCTGTCAGCCCAGGCTGGAGTGCAATGGCACGATCTTGCCTCACTGCAACCTCCGCCTCCCAGGTTCAAGCGATTCTCCTGCCTTAGCCTCCCAAGTAGCTGGGATTACAGGCATGCACCACTACGCCCCGCTAATTTTTGTATTTTTAGTAGAAATGGGGTTTTGCCATGTTGGCCAGGCTGGTCTCTAATGCCTGACCTCAGGTGATCTGCCCACCTTGGCCTCCCAAAGTGCTGGGATTACAGACGTGAGGCACTGCACCCAGCCTCACATCAGTGATTTTCCAGGTAAGTGATTTCCTGTCCAAACAGCAATCTGAACTTTCTTTTAAAAATAGCTTTTCTCATTTACTTGTATTATGACAAATGCAATGAATGTCCATTGTGGAAACATTAGAAACACAGATAACCAAAAAAAAAAAAAAAAAAAATTGTTACCATCCCACACTCCCAGGGAACTTTAAAAGCAAACAATGTGTTCCGGAGGTGAAGTCTTCCCTCCAAGTGGTCTGAACTAGCTTTGACTTTTCCAGCAGGAAGTCATCATGGAAGATTTCATTTTTTAACCCCCTATATTTATGAAGTTACTGAATGGGCCTATTCCTTGACTAGCCTTTCTGAGAGTCTTTATTAAATTGTGAACTTTCTGACTGTTTAAAGAAATTTATGGAAAAGGGCAGGGTTTGAGAAGTTGCTATTTTTAATAACTTATTGTTATGTACATCTTTTAGAGTCTTATGTACATCTCTTTCAAACATGAAAGAGAACCTATTTCTCTTCATTTGGACTAGTACATCCAATTCCACCTCGTTTTGTAAATAAAAGGGAGCCAACTTTTCTGAAATGTAGGGTTGGGAAAGTATGCTCAGCTTCACAAATCCTCACTTAGGCACACCTGTGGGTTTACTAATGCTCATTATCGAAACCACTTGAAAATGCCCCAGTGCTGGTTTGTTTCCAAGACATCAGATGGGAACAACATTAGTTTTACAGCTAGAATTGACTATAGGATGGGATTCAGTATCATCCAGGTCCTGCGGTGATCGGAGTGTAGGATGTGGGCCAACGCTATAATTTTAACCAGGCCTTACTTCATAGAGTGGCACTTTTCCCCTGCTCCAAGCACCCACCTCCACATCTATTATTTCTTGATGGAGTCTACACAGTACAGCTGACATCATGGGTTGTAGTAAACTTGACCATTCTTAGACTAAGGATAATCCTGCTTAAAGAAAGTATGAGCCTCTGAATACCTGGAAGAGAAGTGAATGAGGGAGGGAAGTAGACCAATGACAAAGGTTAAAAGCACACTGGCTCTGGGGCCCAGGCTGTCTGAATTTGAATCCCAGCTCCATCCTTACAGGCAAGGGATCTTGGGCAAGGTCCTTAACTTCTCTAGGTCTCATCTTCTTCATGGATACAGTAATGCTAATAGAACCCTCCTATTCCATAGTGTTGGCTGCTGTGAAGGAGAAAGGCAATACATGGGCTACATATTACATAATACTATGTAAGTATTAGCCTTATCATTATGGGGGCAGGGCAGGGGAAGGGGGAAGCACATCCAGAACAGAGAAGCTGGGAGCTCTGAAACATACTTCTCTTCACAACATCGCCTGCTGCATGATCCATATTTACAGGGTTCCAACTACCCAGAACTGCGCAATTCATGATTAGACTTTCTGCATCAGGCTGACTCTGTGAAAGCAGGGGTGGCAGGTTGGGTGGGGTGGGTGGAGTGTTCTCTTTCAGTCAAGTAATTTTTTCCTTAAACAGGTTTTTTTTTTTTTTTTTTTTTTTTGCACAGCTATAAATTTACAGAAGATTGAGAATATAATGGAATTCCCATAAATGGCACATTCAGTTTCCCCTATTACTAGGGGAATTACTAGCATCCCACATTAGGAATTTGTTACCATTAACAAACCAATATTGGCACATTATTATTATTAAAGTTCATATTCTCGGCTGGTCATGGTGGCTCACACCTGTAATCCCAGCACTTTGGGAGGCTGAGGTGGATGGATCACGAGGTCAGGAGTTCAAGACCAGCCTGGCCAACATGGTGAAACCCTGTCTCTACTAAAAATACAAAAATTAGGTGGGCATGGTGGTACGCAACTGTAGTCCCAGCTACTCGGGAGGCTGAGGCAGATAATTGCTTGAACCCGGGAGGCAGAGGTTATGGTGAGCTAAGACTGTGCCACTGCACTCCAGCCTGGGCAACAGAGTGAGATTCCATCTCAAAAAAATAAATAAATAAATAAATAAAGTTCGTATTCTCTTCATATTTTCTTCAGTTTTTACCCAATGTCCTTTTTCTGTTCCGGGGTTCCATCCAGGATATCACGTTACACTTGGTTGTCACCTTAGACTCCTCGTGGCTGTGACAGTTTCTCAGACTGTCCGTGTTTTTTGACGGCCTTGATAGTTTGGAGGAGTAATGGGCAGGCGTTTTGTAGAACATCCTTCAGTTGAGGTTTGTCTGATGTTTTTCTCATGATTATAATAGAACAGGGTTACTAGTTTTGGTGAGGAAGACCACAGAGGCAAGTGCCATTTTCATTTCATTGTGTCAAGAGTACTTCCCACTGTTGGGGTTACTCTGGAGCCCCTGGGTGAAGTAGTTTGTAGTGTTGCCCATGGTAACATGACTCTCCCCGCCCTTTTCAATACTGTGCTCTGAGAGGAATTCGCTATGTGCTGCCCACACTTAAGGAGTGTGAGTTATCCTGCATCTCCTTGAGGGCAGAACATCTACATAAATTATTTGTAGTTCCTCTGTAAGGGAGATTTGTCTTTTCTCCTCAAGTAATTTTTCCCATCTAGTCTTTACTTGAATGAATTATTTTATTTTCACTGAACACCAACTAAAAAATAGTCTAAAGCCAATTCCCCCAAATTGATGGAATTTCCTGTAATTATTAGTATTTGGAGTGTTCTTAAGCCTGGGCATGGGGGAAATATGACAAAAACAAGGTTTCTAAAACCTGACTTAATCTTCTAGTTGAGTGTCACAGTGGGCAGATCCGGAATTAGTAATTCCTTGCTAACCCTATACGGAAAGGCCCGAAAATGAATAAGGACTTAAAAATAAAATGAGTGGGATGGTCAAAACCAATATAAATGAATTGCTGTGAGCCAAATGGAAAAGCATCCTTTGGCAAGTTTCAACCAGTTACCTCTGCATGCCCTGAGAATGTGCTTTTGGTGTTCCAGGCCACTGGGCGCCCTTTGTAGGCAGGCATCCTGCCCCTCCTCCAAAAGGAGGCAATCTCCTAAAACATGCCTCTCCTAAGACACAGATGTTCAGACTGTCCTAGAATTAACATGCTCTTAAAAATCATACACATACACACACCCTTTTATTATTATTATTATTATTATTTTTAGAATAAAAGCCATGTCTTAATTAGAATAATTTGCTGGGTAACCAAAAATCCACTTGAACTTTTCCTTGGAGAGACTCCTTCCTTGTAAAACTAAAAAGTATATGCTTTAGGGTTGCTCATTTGAAAGAAAATGGGAGAAGATTATTGTTGGATCAGCCTGTAGTTTTTATATCTGTTTGGTCAGATCAAAATTAGCCACCATTATCTTCACCCCATCAGTATATTTTTTTTCTCTGAAAGCAATTCAAACTTTGTTCCCAAAGCATGAACTTACAGACATAGGCTAGTGTTGTACATTTCTCCAAAGTTTGCCTCCAGAAGAAAAGACCTCTAATGTGCCAGCAGGTTCCTTGCACCCGCCCCCACCTTGGGTCAGGCACAGCCCAGTTGCAGCATTCCAAGGCTCTGACACATCTCCTTGGAAACCCACCCATTGCCTGGTATATAGCAACCTGCATTCCCCAGTGGTAGAGGCCTTGATTCCTGTCTTATCCTGTTCTTCTGTGCTTTCATACACATCTGAGGACAGGCCTTCATTTTGATCTATTATCTCAGGCCATTAAAATGAGCAGAAGGAAAAAAGTCCTTGAACAGCTCCAGTGTAATTGTGGTGAAGATTCTTAAAAAGAATTCTCATGGCCATTTCAGAGCCTCCTCAGTTTCCCCATTTCCTACAAATGCAGCAAATGGAGAACTGCCTTCATTACACAGAAAGTTCAGGGAAGAACATGTTGGTGTTGCAAGTGGTTTCTGGCCAACTATACCCCTGCTAACAGTATTTTTCTAAAGTATGGCACTTCATTTCCAGATTAGGCACACTCACACCTTCATTTAACAAATTAGGTGTCCTCAATGTGTCACCCACTATCTAAAGCATGATTATTATGATCTTTCTGGAAGATTTTGGATCTTGTTCATTCTTAACCATTATTTTTATTCAGCACTATAGTTAATACAGACAGTATAAGTCAAAGTTTTGCTCACCCTTTGCTCACTTGGAATTTTGGAAATCTTTGTTTATTTTTTTAAATGAGATTATTGATATGAGCTTATATTCTTGAGATATTTTTCTTTTAATTAACTCAATTGCTCAGCGGGGAGAGTGGTGGGTGGGATCCAGTCAATCTAAGGGCTTTGATTAATGTTTTATAGGTATGTAGTTTCCAAATTCTTTGCCTGCAGAGGTACACTAAAAGAATGCTAGTTTGCAGAATGCACATGGAACCACAAAAGGAAATACAGTAATCTGATATTTGGTTAGAGTAAATCAGATATCCCTATTTAAACCATTGGCTTTACAAAAATTACACAAGTGTACTTCATCAACCCCAAGCATGCACGCTAGTGTTCATGTGGGACTCAAACCCACCCTTTTGTATCAAGGAGTCTCATCAAGTGTCCATCATGTGTCTGTGTGCAGGATGCAAAGAGCCAGGACATCCATGAGTCACGATGTGTCATTCATGGCCTATGGGCTGACAAAGTGAATAAATATTTCGTTAGGCTTTATTTGAGAAATAAAACTTCAGGACAATGTACTGAAGTGGCTTCAACTGGGACAGGATTGAAAGAGAGAAAAGTGTGATTACTTAACCAAACAAATTATCTAGTAAAACACCTACTTCAGCTACTCACTACTGTGATCACATCTAGATGGTGCCATTTCAATCACGTGTACTTTTTCCACAACCTCAGTTTCAAGCACCCCGTCTCTAATCACCACCGTTGATTCTTGAAGCTCAGTCACTCGAGTGCCCAGACTTTAATAATATCTCAACCCTCTGGAGCCTACGATCCATTGAACCTGCCACCTTTGCACTTCTCCCACCTTCCTTTACCATCATAGCCCTCCTAACCCATTTTAAATTCCATGGTTAGTCATTAGAATCCATCCTTCACACACACCCACAACTTACTGCCTCACTTTGAATTCACGTTCATTAGCTTCAAGGGGTTCTTAATACTACCTGGCCATCAGATCCATTTCCCCAGTCCATTGGCTTTCCTGTTCTCCTCAAAGACCGTTTCACACTTTCCCTTTTTCTTCAAACCTTCCACTCTTCCTCCCCCATGTCACTCTGCTAATGATTTATTTCCTAAGACACACAAAAACCCAGAAGTACTCAGAAGAGAACTTCTACCACACACTTCTACAGCCACATCCCACAATTTGCCTACCTTCCCCATGATCACATATCCCATCTCAGGTCAACAGGAGGGCTCCTCCCTTGCCCTCATCAAGGACTGCACTCAGGGATTCTCTACCTGCATCGTTGGTTTTTTTCTTTCTTCTAGGATATTGCCCGCCTGCCTACAACATGCTGTTGGTTTTTCCTATCTCAAAAAAACAAAACGACTGCCTTGAACCCATGCTATACTTTAGCTTCTGCCCTATTTTTCTGCTCCCCTTTAGAGCAATACGAAAGAGTTGTCCATACTGACTCTCCCCAGTTTCTGTTCTCCTAGTCTCTCTTGAAACTGCTGCAATTAGGTTTCAAGAAACCTCTCCATGGCAATTAGGTTTTTGCCTCCATTATTCCAATGAAACTGCCTATACCTAGGTCTCCAGGGCCTTCCATGTTGTAAACTCAATGGCCAATTCTCAGCCATAATCTTCTTGGCTCTGACAGCATCATTTAACATAACTGATCATTTCTTTCTCCTTAAAACACTTTCTTTTCTTGGTTTCCAGGACATTGTGCTCATAAGGCTTTTCTCCATGAGGCATCTCCTTCTCAGTCTACTTTGCTGAATCCTTTTCTCTCCACCTCTTAACATAGAAGTGCCCCTTAAGGTAGAAGAAGCCACCAGAAGCTCAGGCCTTGAATCTCTTTTATGTCTACGCTCACTCCTTTGATTTTCCCACCTAGTTTCAAAGCTTTAAGCATATATGCTGATGACTTTCAAATTTATGTCTTCAGCCTGCTTGCACAGCTGTCCTGAACACTATGCTCATATATCTAACTGCATAATCGAAATCTCCATTTAGATGGGTAATTAATATCACCAATGTAATACATGCAGAGCTGAACTCCTGATGTTCTGTCCCCCTAGACCTCTTCTGCCTCAGTCTTCCATACCCTTGTTCAGTCCAAGAATCTTGAAGTCATTCTTGACTCTTTTCTTCCATAGAAAATCTTGCTGTCTTACTCTACCTTCAGATCATAATCAGAATTGGATCACTTCTCATCAACCTCCACTGTAATCACGTTGATTCCAGCCCCCCCTTGTCTTTTGCATGGATGATTGTCATTGCATCCCATCTCCTCGCCCTACTTTTGCCCTTGTCCCACTTTGGTCTACCTTAACACAACTGCCAGGAAACTCCTATTATAGTGTGACTCAGGTCATGTCATTCCTTGTTATAGAGGCATCCAGTGGCATTCTATCTCATTCTGAGTAAAAGCCAAAGTCTTTGGAATGGCCTCAAGAGCCAATACTATGTGTCCTGCCCCACCTCCCACCCCATGGGTCTCACTGTCCTCCTTCTCACACAGCCCCAGCCACGGGACCACTTCCACTGCAGGACCTTTTCCCTTGCTGGTGCCTCTGCCTGGAATGTGCTTTCTCTAGATATCTACATGGGTCCAGTCTTCAATTAAATGCCATTTTCTTAAAGAGGCTTTCTCTACCATCTTGTATAAATTTGTAAGCTCACCCTACCCCCAAACATGTTCTCTCTCCCTTCCCAGCTTTATTTTTCTTCATAGAACTTTCTCCCCTGGCTGGGCGCGGTGGCTCACTCCGGTAATCCCAGCATTTTGGGGGGCCAAGGTGGGCCGATCACGAGGTCAGGAGATCGAGACCATCCTGGCTAACACGGTGAAACCCCGTCTCTACTAAAAATACAAAAATTAGCCAGGCATGGTGGCGGGTTCCTGTAGTCCCAGCTACTCAGGAGGCTGAGGCAGGAGAATCACTTGAACCTGGGAGACAGAGGTTGCAGTCGGCTGGGATTGCGCCACTGCACTCCAGCCTGAGCGACAGAGCAAGACTCAGTCTCAAAAAAAAAAAAAAAAAAAAAAAAGAGTTTAGATCTTTCAACTCAATGAAATAGCATTGTTTTGGTTGTTGTTGCTGTTTTGTTTTGTTTTCATAAAAATAAAGCTAGCACCAAGTCCTGGCTGAAAAGTCGAGGTCTATGTTCTTGCTGTTCAGTTTGTGTTCTGTTTGGAGCAGGCTCGGGTCTGAGGGCAACCCCAAAACTACCATTTCTGATATGCAATGTGATGCGGGTGGAGGCAGATGGAATTCTCTTTTAAGAAGTGATCTTGGCCAGGCGCCGTGGCTCACGCCTGCAATCCCAGCACTTTGGGAGGCCCAGATGGGCGGATCATGGGGTCAGGAGATCGAGAGCATCCTGGCTAACACGGTGAAACCCCGTCTCTACTAAAAACACACAAAAAAATTAGCTGGGCGCGGTGGCGGGCGCCTGTAGTCCCAGCTACTCGGGAGGCTGAGGCAGGAGAAAGGCGTGAACCCGGGAGGCGGAGTTTGCAGTGAGCCGAGATCGTGCCACTGCACTCCAGCTTGGGCGACCGAGCGAGACTCCGCCTCAAAAAAAAAAAAGAAGTGATCTTTAAGAATTGAGCTTTGCCTCTTCCATTTTTGAGACTAAAAGGCTTAACTAAAAAGATACTGAAGGCTCCACCCAGTCAAGCCATTCATAGTTGCCCGGTGAACACATGCTTCAGGCGCTCTTTCTTCCTTTGGCAAAAGTCTGATTCTGTAGCCTCTGGCCATGTTCTGGAGGCGGGACACTCCCACTGGGAGCCACACCCGCCTTCATCATGCAGTGAGCACACCAAACAGGTTTGCCTGGCTAGACGGTGGCTGAGGTGTCTGCGGCAGAGGGAAGTACAGTCATGCACACGCCCAGTGACGGAGCCACTGATGGACACCTCCACATGAAGGAAGCAATTGCTCTGCTCTCCCCTGGCTTAAAATAAACAGAGTAACTGCACAAAGGTGGATTTCCTGTGCGAGGAGAGCAGGGCTCAGGGACCCCTTCCCAGCCCTGTGCTTGCTTTTGAAATCCTATATTCTTTTTTTTTTTTTAAAGAGGACTCCCAAATTGTACAAGCTTCAGGCCCCACAAAAACTTTGTTTGCCATGACTATACTAAATTTTGTATATTGTTTCATATACTTACCCATTTATGTGAAGTACTTTATAAGGTAGTGTTGTTCCCATTTACAGGAAACACAGGCAAGATTGAGAGATTTAACCTGAGATCACACACCTAAATTGTCCATGAACGGTGGCTGCCACTCAGTAGGGCCTAAGGTTTACTTGAACTTGTTTTGATGTCTTTTGGTATATTTACTGGTTGTCTGATTTCAAATGCATCTCCCACATTAAAAGACTTGGCTCGCTTTTATTTTATGTTCATGGAACCATGCAGAACAAACGTGCCAAGTCCTAGCAGTAGAGAGTAATGATGAACCCCAGGAAGCCCAGCCCATTCCACCATCTCTCAGCCTGTTCACATCTATGAAGAGAAATTGCCATTTAGGCCTGTAATCCCGGCTGCCTGGGAGACTGAAGCAGGAGAATCACTGGAACCCAGGAGGCAGAGGCTGCAGTGAGCCGAGATCGGGCCACTGCACTCCAACCTGGGTGACAGAGGGAGACTCCATCTCAAAAAAAAAAAAAAAAAAATTGCCATTTAGAAAATCGTGTGAAAAGTAGAGAAACTGATGGGGAACTAAAATACTTATGTTAAGTTTTTAAAAATCAGTATCAGTCGTATCAGTCTCCACCTAGTTTTTCAGAAGGCTTTTGTCTTCCATAGATGGAACATCTTGATTAATTAACCAAGTCAATGTTTATACAATGCTTAGAGTATCTCAGTTTCTTAAGAAACTCAGAGAAGAGTTAACATTCATTGTTTCTAACTCTGTGATGAGCACAGACACATTCTGAACTTCTCTCTTCCTAATTCAAAGAGGTTGCAACCTGTTTCCTAGCAAGGGCAGCTGAAAGTAAAGATAATGTCTGGTTGAGTTCAACATGCAGACACATAGGATATACAAATGGTGAAAGCTAACACCAGGGGGAAAATTGTTAAGAACCAGTACACTAGTTACTAGATATATTAGATGTGATGAATCACTTAGGTGAGGGGCTTATTAAACCCAGACTGTTCTGAATCCTTCCACCCCTACTGTCTGATTCAGTCGGTCTAGGGTGGGGTTTGACAATGCATTTCTAAGAGGTTCCCGGGCAAGACAGATGTTGCTGGGCCCAGAGCTTCACTTTGAGAACCACCACTCTTGGAGATGTTCTGCAGTCCACAATCCTGTGCAAATACAAACTTGGTCTTATTACCTATTCAACCCTCATAAAGCTCAGTGCAAGAGCATAATAAAGCCCTCAATAGTTTTTGACAGACCTTCCTTAGAATTTAGTAAGACACCAGTAGACTACCATTGGTATGCTTTTGATGTCAACATGGTAAGATCTTTATACTCTGGGCCCTGATTAATGACTAGGCACTTTAAAGCCTCAAATAAGCAACGAGAGCTTGAAATAACCAAAAACTTGCTATGTTGTCATTGGTTTTTGTGTGTGTGTGGTTTTTTGTTTGTTTGTTTGTTTTTTGAGACCGAGTCTCACTCTACCGCCCAGGCTGGAGTGCAGTGGCACAATCTCTGCTCACTGCAACCTCCACCTCCCAGGCTCAAGTGATTCTTCTGCCTCAACCTCCCGAGTAGCTGGGACTACAGGCGCCCGCCACCACGCCTGGCCAATTTTTTGTATTTTTAGTAGAGATGGGGTTTCACCATGTTGGCCAGGCTGGTCTCAAACTCCTGACCTCAGGTGATCCACCTGCCCTGGCCTCCCAAAGTGCTGGGATTACAGGCATGAGCCACTGTGCCTGGCCGTCACTGGTTTTATGAGAACAACATCACATTACAAGAGTGGCCAACATGATCAGCCAAAAACTAGAACATGGACAATGAGCATAGGGAGCATGAGTTCTCTCTGGGAATACAGACCACAGGGCTTGGTCTCCAGGACATCAATACACAGAGAGGAATGGATGAGAGGAAAACCAGAAAAACTCAACTTCTCAGTGGCATATCACTGAATCTCTGTCCATGCATTTTCATATCTGGATCAATGTCCCCAAGCTCATTTTCTAGATTATATTCTCTCCAACACAGCTAAAAATATACCCTTTCATACAAATACAATTTGTCCTTGAAAGACTTCTCATAATGAACAGTCTTGAACATTCATTATATACACATTGATTAGATAGACATAAATATAGATATATTTCCCTGTGCATTTTTAAATTAACATGCTCATGTATTTCTATTTTATGAAAATACATTTTCCTCTATTTTTGGTATACAGTAGTCTCCACTTATCCATGGGCTTGCTTTCTGTGGTTTCAGTTAACTTGCAGACAATCATGCTACAAAAATATTACATGGAAAATTCCAGAAGTAAATAATTCATTTTAAGTTGTGTGTTGTTCTGAGTAGCGTGATAAAATCTCGTGCCATCCTGCTTCGTCCCACCCAGTACATGCATCATCCCCTCGTATAGTATACCCACATCGTATATGCTACCCTGCCCCTTTGTCACGAAGTAGCCATCTCAGCAAATTGCAAATATAGTATATAATAGTGTTTGGTACTATCTATGGTTTCAGGCATCCACTGTGGGTCTTGGAACATATCCCTTGTGGATAAGGGGGTGACTACTCTACTGTTTTTCATGTTTTATTTTTTGCTGCCTTCTTGTCTTGTTTCATGAAATAGAAAAAAATTGTCTTTGTCACAGTGTAAAACCCATAGGTACCAGTAGGGTAGGCTACAAGAGCCATAGGTGTTCCAAAAGTATTTGTTGATAATGCATTTTTAAAAAGCAATCATCTATAGGGAAAGAAAAGGCCATGTCCCCTAAAGCCAATTAGTCTAATGAGCTATTTGCTTAACATTTCAGCATCACTTTTGAGAGTTTTACATCCATTTGAGCAACCTATTTTTTGTTATTTTTGTTGCTCTTGGTCAATGGCATTTTGAGAATTAAAGAAACCTATGTTTGCTTCTTGTCGAAACAGCTGATTCCAGGACTAAGGCAAGGAAGGTACAAGATTAGCCTGAAATGTCTTGATATACCGAAAGTAAAACAACACTCAAAGAATGACGGGGATGTATCAGAGGATCACAGGAGCCAGTCTAAAGATACTCCCAGCAGGCGGAGATTGCAGTGAGCTGAGATCGCACCACTGCACTCCAGCCTGGGCGACAGAGCGAGACTCTGTCTCAAAAAAAAAAAAAAAAAAAAAAAAAAAAAAAAAAAAAAAAAAAAAAAAAAGATACTCCCAGCAAAAGGAAATAATTAGCAGATTGAAGAGACAACCTACAGAATGGGAGGAAAACTTTGAAAAATATGCATCTGACAAGGGGTTAATATTCAGAAATTACAAGGAACTCAAACAACTCAATACCAAAAAAGCAAATATGGCTGACCCTTAAACAATGCAGGAGTTAGGGGTGCTGACCCCCATGCAGCCAAAAATTTGCATTTAACTTTTGACTCCCTCCAAACTTAACTACTAATAGCCTACTATTGACTGAAATCCTGAATGATAACATAAACAGTGAATTAACACATTTTGTATGTTACATATCCTCTATGATTACAATAGAGTACGCTAGAGAAAAATAAAACATTATTAAGAAAATCCTAAGGAAGAAAAAGCACATTTATAATACTGTACTGTATTTATGAATACCATAAATTTACATAATCTGTTTATAAGATGAATCATCTATCTGAAATGGTAGCAACTACAGCTGCAGACTTCGATCTACAGTACATGTCAAGCAATTCAACTTTCTCTTGTAACATCATGACTTTTCTTTGCTTCTTGGGAGCACTTCCAGTATCATTAGTGGCAGTTCATATGGGTCCAATGGCATTATTTAAGGTTTATGGTATTACACTAAACATGATGACAAAGATGTGGGAAGTGCAAGAGATCACTTTTTTCTGTGATACACAATTTACTGAAGAGATGAACAGTTCATGTGGAGATGATTAGTGTCATAGGGTGTTTTAAGCAGACACTCACAACACTTGTGCTCACAGCAAGAGCAACAGGAGGTGGCAATAAAATTATTACAGTAGTACAGTATGTACTGGGGTAAATTTTATGCAGTTATGATTTAATACTGCATCTTTATGTTTGTTTATGCTTCTCTTGACTGTAAATGGCACCACATACAGCCTGTGTTTGTGCGTGTAAATTGAAATAAATTTTAACTTGTTTTTGTTTTTGTTTGAGATGGAGTCTCACTCTGTCGCCTAGGCTAGAGTGCAGTGGCGCAATCTCTGCTCACTGCAACTTGCAACCTCTGGGTTCAAGCAATTCTCCTCCCTCAGCCTCCCGAGTAGCTGGGATTACAGGTGCCTGCCACTGCACCCGGTTAATTTTTGTATTTTTAGTAGAAACAGTGTTTCACCATCTTGGCCAGGCTGGTCTGGAACTCCTGACCTCGTGATCCACCTGCCTTGGCCTCCCAAAGTGCTGGGATTAGAGGCGTGAGCCACCACGCCCGGCCAACTTTTTTTTCTTTTTCTTTGAGACGGAGTTTTTGCTCTTGTTGTCCAGGCTGGAGTGCAGTGGTATGATCTTGGCTCACTGCAACCCCTGCCTCCTGGGTTCAAGCGATTCTCCTGCCTCAGCCTCCGGAGCAGCTGGGATTACAGGCATGCACCATCACACCCAGCTAATTTTGTTTGTATTTTTAGTAGAGACGGGGTTTTATCATTTTGGCCAGGCTGGTCTTGAACTCCTGACCTCAGGTGATCCGCCCTCCTTGGCCTCCCAAAGTGCTGGGATTACAGGTGTGAGCCACTGCATCTGGCCTTAACTTTTTATAACAGATTTGTGTATATCTTATGATAGTAAATGATAAAATAGATTAGTATCTACATATATCTTATGCATTCATGAGATACTTAACTTTTCCTTATTTTAAAAATATTTCTAGACTATGCAGTTAATCTGTGAGATTTTTCAAACTGCCACATACCTCCAAAGTATTTTCCAATGTTTCCAGTGCAAACCCATATTGCTCAAGGATCAACTGTAATCCAATTTATAATGGCAAAGGACTTGAGTAGACATTTCTCAAAAGAAGACATACAAATGACCAACAAGCACATAAAACATGTACTAATCACTAATCATCAAGGAAATGCAAGCCAAAACCACAGTGAGATATCACTTCACCCCAATTAGAATGGCAATTATCAAAAGGGCAAAAACGTAACAAATGATGTTGCGGATGTGGAGAAAAAGGAATCCTTACATACTGCTGGCAGGAACGTAAATTGGTATAGCCATTATGGAAAACAGCATGGAGATTCCTCAAAAGCTGAAAATAGAACTACCACATAATCCAGCAATCTCACTCCTGGGGCTATACTTTAAGGAAATAAAATCAGTATGTCAAAGACAAATCTGTACTTCCATGTTTATTGCAGTACTATTCACAATAGCCAAGATATGGAATTAACCAAAGTATCCAGCAATGAATGAAATGATAAATAAAATGTGGTATACAGTATATACACAATGGAATACTACTCAGTCATAAAACTAATGAAATCTTGTCGTTTTTGGCAACATGGATGAAGCTGGAGGACACTGTGTTAAATGAAATAAGCCAGGTAAAGAAAGACAAATACAGTATGATCTCACTCATTTGTGGAATCTAAAAAAGATAATCTCACAGAAGTATAGAGTAGAATTGTGGTTACCAGAATCTGGGGAGAGGAGAGAAGAGGGGCAGATGGGGAGAGATTGGTTAAGAGTACAAAATTACAGTTAGATGAGAGTAGGTTCTGGTGTTCTATAGCACAATAGGGTGACTCTAGTAAATTATATTATAGTGTATATTTCTAAATATCTAAATAACTAGAAAAGAGGGGGCTGAATGTTCTCACCACAAAGAAATGATGAATGTTTGAGGTGATGAATATGCTGAACACCATGATTTGATCATCATACATTGTACACATGTATCGAAACTTCCCTCTCTACCCCACAAATAATGTACAATTATTATGTGTCAATTAAAAACAAAATAAAAAGTGCTCCCACTGGTCAAATACGGGACAATTAGAAATCAAAATAAAAATCAAGAACAATATGTTGTACCCCATTAAATAAAATAAGACCCCATGAATCTAAAATAATATAAATATGTAAGTAAATGAATAAGGGAGAAGCAAAAGCTTTACCTCCAGCATAATGCCAATTAATATATGACATATAGGCTGGGCGTTGTGGCTCATACTTGTAATCCCAGCACTTTAGGGGGCCGAGGCGGGTGGATCACCAGGTCAGGAGTTCAAGACCAGCCTGGCCAAGATGGCGAAACCCCGTCTCTACTGAAAATACAAAAATTAGCCAGGCGTGGGGGTGGGCGCCTGTAATCCCAGCTACTTGGGAGGCGGAAGCAGAGAAATGCTTGAAATCGGGAGGCAGAGGTTGCAGTGAGCCGAGATTATGCCACTGCACTCCAGCCTGGGCGACAGACTCTATCTCAAAAACAAAACAAAACAAAACAGCAACAACAAAAAATGTATTAGAAAATCTCCATTTAGTAGCCATCATCACTGGATACAAAAACTGGTGGACAAAAATGTGGGGAGTAACAGGATATTTATATAGTCTCAGAATATCTTCTCACAAAATACACATTTATTACAAAAGGTAACAGAGTAACTTTACAATGGAGACCTGGAAGACACGACCCTAATCAAATCTCAAAGTTAACATTGCCAGTAATGACTTATGTGCCTCCTGATTCAGTCAATGTATTATTAAAAAGAATTCAGCATCACTTCTGTGATCTCCCTGCCAAAAGCTTATAATCTGAATCTAATCAAAAGAAAACATCAGACAAAGAAAATCGAGGCTCATTCTTCAAAATAACTACCCTTATTCTAAAAAAATGTCAATGTCATGAAATGCAAAGAAAGATCAGGAGCTAAAAGAAACAAAGGAGACAAGACAGCTGAACACAACACATGATCTTGGATCTTCTTTTGCTATAAAAGATATTATCGAGGCAAATGGTATATTAGTTTTCTACGGCAGTCATAACAAATTACCTAAAATTTAGTGGCTTAAAAGAACACAAAGGGCCAGATGTGGTAGCTCAATCCTGTAATCCCAGCACTTTGGGAGGCCGAGGCAGGTGGATCACCCGAGGTCAGGAGTTCGAGACCAGCCTGGCCAACATGGCAAAACCCCGTCTGTACTAAAAATACAAAAACTAGCCAGGCATGGTGGTATGCACCTGTAATCCCAGCTACCTGGGAGGCTGAGGCAGGAGAATCGCTTGAACTTGAGAGGCAGAGGTTGCCGTGAGCTGAGATCACACCACTGCACTCCAGCCTGGGCAACAAGAGTGAAACTCTGTCTCGAAAAAAAAAAAAAGAACATACATTTATTATTTTATGGTTCTGTGGGTTAAAAGTCAGATGGGGATCTCTGCGCTAAAATCGTGGTGTCAGCAGAGCTGCATTCTATCTGGAGGCTCTGGGGAAGACCCATTCCCTTGCCCTTCCCAGCTCCTAGAGGCTGCCCCACATTCCTTGGCTCGTGCCCCCTTCCTCCTCCTTCAAACCAGCAATGGTGCAGAGTCCTTCTTACATTGCATCACTCTGATGTCTTTTTCTGTCTTCCTCTTCTTTTTTTTTTTTCTTTTGAGATGGAGTCTTGCTCTGTCGTGCAGGCTGGCGTGCAGTGGCATGATCTCAGCTCACTGCCCTCAGCCTCCCGGGTTCAAGCAATTCTCCTGTCTCAGACTTCCGAGTAGCCGGGGCTACAGGCACACACCACTACGCCTGGATAATTTTTGTAATTTTAGTAGAGATGGGGTTTCCCCATGTTGGCCAGGTTGGTCTCAAACTCCTAACCTCAGGTGATCCACCCACCTCAGCCTCTCCAAGTGCTGGGATTATAGGAGTGAGCCACCGCGCTCAGCTTCTGTCTTCCTCTTCTTATTAGAAGAGCATTTTGATTACATTGGGCCCACCCAGATAGTCCAAATAATCTCTTTATTTTAAGGTCAGCTGATTTACAATTTAATTACATCAGTAACCTAATGCACTCACAAATTCTAGGAACTGAGAAGTGAACATCTTTGTTGGGGGCATTATTCTGTCTACCACATATAGTAAAATCTGAATAATGGCTGTAGATTAAAAATATTGTATCAATGTTAATTTCTTGATTTTAACAATTATACTATAATTATATAAGAAAGTTCTCTGTCTTTAGGGAATACACATTGAATTATGATGGGTAAAGGGGCATCACCTCTGCAACTTAAAACAGTTTTCTCTCCCTCTCATTTGTGGGAGCCAGAGAGAGAAAGGATAAAGCAATAGTAGTAAAATTTTGTATATACATATATATATATTTTTTTATACTTTAAGTTCTAGGGTACATGTGCACAACGTGCAGGTTTGTTACATATGTATACATGTGCCATGTTGGTGTGCTGCACCTATTAACCCGTCACCCACATTAGGTATATCTCCTAATGCTATCCCTCCCCGCTCCTCCCACCCCACAACAGGCCCCGGTGTGTGATGTTCCCCTTCCTGTGTCCATGTGTTCTCATTGTTCAGTTCCCACCTATGAGAACATGCAGTGTTTGGTTTTTTGTCCTTGCGATAGTTTGCTGAGAATGATGGTTTCCAGCTTCATCCATGTCCCTACAAAAGACATGAAAACACTGAGGGAATCTGGGTAAAAAAAAATGGGATTTTTTTGTACTACTCTTGCAATTTTTTCATAAGTCTGAAATTATGTCTTAATACAAAAAATTTAAAAACAAATCCTTCTAAGTAAGTTTCCTGTATCTAATAAATACTTAAATTTGTGACATATTGTGAATGCCATGTTTATTCAGATGGATATTTTAATATCTCTTTCTAAAACTTTAAGGGTATTTTATTAAGTTGCTTAATGTCATTATCTGCAATTAACTATGAATATATTATACATTGGGAAGTCTTGAGCATAATATAAAAGTAAAATCAATTATTTTGGACTTCAAATTCCTGTTGCCCCATAACTTGGGTATTAATGTCAAATATTCTGATTTTCTGCTTTAAAACCCAGTATTACTTTAAAAATGGAGCCTTAGAAAAAAAGATGTTTAAAAGTAGGCAAAAGACTGTACTTTAATTAATAGTACTGTACCAATGTTAATTTCTTAGTTTTAATAAATGTACCATAGTTATGTCACATGCTAATATTGGGGGAGGCTGGGTGAAGGGTATATGGGAACTCTCTGTACTACCTTTGTAAATCTTCTGCAAATCTAAAATTATTTCAAAATAAAAGGGTTTAAAAAGTAGAAAAGAGAAAAACAGTCTTTCATAAAAATACAAAACAATCTCATCATTTATAAAATGCTGTGATAATGGGACTTATTTGAAAGAAGAAAATTACAAAAACTGAGTAAAGTTATTAAAAAGCAAAAAGAATAGGGAAATGAAAATGGTGTAAAAATATTCCAAAGAGGGTTAAAATCTAGGTGAATTCCCTTATTAAGCAAAATTATCTAGGTGAACTAGCCTTAGGTGCCTTATCCTTGAGCCTAAGTAGGGAAAGGGAAAGAGAGGGAGAAACAAGGGCAGCGGGAGAGGGGTGTGAGCTGTGTGGTGTGTGAGGAGGAGAGGGGTGTGAGCTGTGTGGTGTGTGAGGAGAGGGGTGTGAACTGTGTGGTGTGTGAGGAGAGGGGTGTGAGCTGTGTGGTGTGTGAGGAGAGGGGTGTGAGCTGTGTGGTGTGTGAGGAGGAGAGGGGTGTGAGCTGTCTGGTGTGTGAGGAGGAGAGGGGTGTGGGCTGTGTGGTGTGTGAGGAGGAGGGGTGTGAGCTGTCTGGTGTGTGAGGAGAGGGGTGTGGGCTGTGTGGTGTGTGAGGAGAGGGGTGTGAGCTGTGTGGTGTGTGAGCAGGAGAGGGGTGGGGTGTGAGCTGTGTGGTGTGTGAGCAGGAGAGGGGTGTGAGCTGTGTGGTGTGTGAGGAGGAGAGGGGTGTGAGCTGTGTGGTGTGTGAGGAGGAGAGGGGTGTGAGCTGTCTGGTGTGTGAGGAGAGGGGTGTGGGCTGTGTGGTGTGTGAGGAGAGGGGTGTGAGCTGTGTGGTGTGTGAGGAGGAGAGGGGTGTGGGCTGTGTGGTGTGTGAGCAGGAGAGGGGTGTGAGCTGTGTGGTGTGTGAGGAGGGGTGTGGGCTGTGTGGTGTGTGAGGAGGACAGGGGTGTGGGCTGTGTGGTGTGTGAGGAGAGGGATGTGAGCTGTGTGGTGTGTGAGGAGAGGGGTGTGAGCTGTGTGGTGTGTGAGGAGAGGGGTGTGGGCTCTGTGGTGTGAGGAGGAGAGGGGTGTGAGCTGTGTGGTGTGAGGAGGAGAGGGGTGTGAGCTGTGTGGTGTGTGAGGAGAGGGGTGTGAGCTGTGTGGTGTGAGGAGAGGGGTGTGGGCTGTGTGGTGTGTGAGGAGGACAGGGGTGTGAGCTGTGTGGTGTGTGAGCAGGAGAGGTGCATGAGCTGTATGGTGTGTGTGGCCCAGGCTGCTTGAGGACAATCAGGTTCCACGTAATAATTCTGCCACTAAGTGGTTCCTTAATATTGGGTAAGTTGCTGATATATTTAAATCCTGCCTCACTCTCTCCAAAAAAGAGATTTGAGGCAGCTTATAATAAAATACAAGTATATTTCCTTCATAAAAGGAAAATTGATCCAAATCATGAGAGAGAATAAGGCAACGTGCTAAAACAGTGGTAAAGGTGGTGGAATAGCAAACCATGCTTTGAGTTTCCCCCTTGGCCAAATGAAGACTCTCTTCAAATGAGGGAGAAATGAAAGAAAATAATCACGAAAGTGCCTTAAAACATACAAGCTATCTTGATAATGCCAGTCCTTCCTAAGTCCTTCAGAAACTTAGAAGGCAGCCTATCTGAAATCAATGAGGCAAAACTCTCTCCGGCCAGGTCTGATCTCCTGTATCAGCCCAAGTGAGACAGCTCTGAGAGCAGACTGTCTGAGCCACAAACGATCAGCAAGTTGTAACACAAACCTCTCTGACCACGCCAAACATATAATCATTGAAATAACAGCTGTGCCTCCTGAGCCTTTATTCTGGACGCTAGCTCAGCAACCGAGGAATTTATAATCCACACTAGGACAGCATATCTCCCAGACATTTCTGCTCATGGCTGATTTGTGCTTACTCTGCAGTAACCCCAACACAGAGACCATGGTCAGGAGGAAAGAAATGTCCATGGAAAAAGTGGTGGGGATCAACAGAGAAGTGTAAGGAAAATTAGGACAGAATGTCCTAGAAGGCACTGAATATTCAGAAAGGAATTGGATTAGAAATTCTTAACATTAACAAAAGTAACATGGACAAAATTTGATGGCTGCATTTAGTTACTAGATGACAAAGGATCTCTGTATTAGGGCAGATACCATGGGATGGGCCTGAAAAGCATCGGTCTGAAGTTCAAGTGATTTTTTTTTGTTAGTAGCCAAGGTGAAAAGAATGATGGGAAGATGGAAGGGTTGTCTTCAAACCAGGCACGTTTCATGGAGGATCACTTAAATTGAGTTGGACTTACTCATGGGGACAATAGTGTAATAGAAGGTCACATTCTTGATCAAGTGCCTGATGCTTGACTTTTTATAGAAATAAGCAAACTATACTGAGTTAATCATAAATAATAACTTCATGGCCAGTATTAATTACGAGGCTTGCTAAAGTGCACATGCAAACAGGATAAAACACCAAATTAATTGGTTGATTGAAATTTACTGGGATGATTTCCAGGAATTAGAGAAAAAGGAAATTAATGCTGGGCTGCAGGAGGAACTGTATGGAAAACCTGCATTGGGAATGGTGGGTCTGAGGCTGGGAGCCAGGGCAATGGGCCTTGCAGACCAGATTGCACTAGCCAGTTGCTGACCACATGGCAGTGTATGTGGTGTGTGCTGTGCCATATAATGCAAGACTGTGGCTTTGCTTATCTTCCTGCAAACAAGAGGCCAATCCACACTTAGGTGGGAATGTTGAGAGAGCAGAACGCTGTTAGGAGTTGAGACAGTGCGTGAACAAACTGCCATAAGACTCCCTGTCTGTGCACAGTAGGAAAAAAGTAACAAGTATGGGAGCATAGGTGGAGAAAGGCTACCTTTTCACTATCATACAACCTGAGTGCCTAGTGTATGTCTCCTAGCCCCAAGGATAACATAAATAACACAGACCCTGATCTTTGGGGGTGGGAGCAAAGTGGGAGGGAAAGATTAGTGGCACCTAACTATAAAGATGTGTCCAAGGGCCATTCTAGAAGACAGAGCAAAGGTGGGAGAAGTGGTGGACACAAGAAGGACTGGCCAATCCCAACACAGGTGATACCTTGACCTTAGGCTTTACTGTACTGGGCAGAGGAAAGAAAGGACATTCAAGGCAGAGAGAGGAGTTAAGGCAAGGACATGGAGGTGTCATAAGTTTTGAAATGTTGATGTTTCTAATGTTTGAATTCCTAGTCGGGGCTTTTGGCTTTTCATTGGATTTAAAGAAAAATAATTCTCTTAAGTATGCATTTGACTTCTATTATTTAGAATTCATTCACTAATGTAGAACAAATACAGTCATTCTAGGAGACTCAATACAAATACAAGGCACTATATAGTTGATCATAGCTCCCTAGTGGAACCTTGGACAGATAACTTCCTAAAAAGCTTCGTATTTTTTACTCTACCTATTATTATTCATTTAAACCTGCTTAGTGTGGACAAAATTATCTGCCATTTAGAATTCTCTTGTTTCTGTTTTCATAATCTATGTGCCTGGAGAGATCTAATCTTTCCTTGGGCCTGTCCTTCCTTCCCTTATGAATGTATCCACCTGCTTTCCCACCTCCTCACCTTCCTGGGTGCCTGGGGTCTTCTTCAGGCATTCCATTTTGAGCTTAATGGAAGCGGAGCTGATGAGTTCAGGTGTATTAAGGGGCTAGGATGTTTATTTATGGAGTAAACCTCTGGGGATATTCTGAATCAGATTATGCTAGTAGCAACTTTTGAGAAACTGCTGTCCTGAAAATGACTGATGGAATAGGAGCAAAATTTTAAAATCTCACTTATCACTCTGACAGTAATGATAAAGGAGACATAGCTGCATCTGAATTAGTCCTACAAATGAGGGGAAATGGTCCTCAATAAAGGTTAAAAACAGGGCATGTAAGAAAGCTGTAATAGTACTAGTAATTAGTGCCCTCTAAAGCTTTCTCCGAGGAAGTCTAATGAGAGTAGTTCAGGTTCTTCTTTACAGGTATCATAGTTGTAACAATTCCTAAGATTGGGAAGGTGGCATGAAATCCACGGAGGCCCAGGGCAATAAACAGGGCATCAAAGAGTAAAGGGAAGGCCTTTGCAGGCCCAAAGCCTTCCTGCTGTCTCTGTAGCTCCCAAAGGCCTCACCTGGTCTCAGGTCACTTCAGATGGGTCCTCCCTCCAGAAAGAGTGAGGTAAATTCTAGTAAAATTACCCGATTCTAGCCTGTTAGTGCAGCACATTACTTACTTTTTATTAAATCATAGGCTTAAGAGCTTCTCATCATCTAAAGAAACTACCTTAAGCTAGACACGTGTGTATTGAGAGACAGACAACTTTTAACATACATCTGCTAATTTAGGATGTCCAACAAATCTTAGTTTTTTTTTTTTTTTTTGAGACGGAGTCTTGCTTTGTTGCCTCAGCTGGAGTGCAGTGGCATGATCTCAGCTCACTGCACTCCACCTCTCGGGTTCAAGCTATTCTCCTGCCTCAGCCTCCTGAGTAGCTAGGATTACAGGTACGCACCACCATGCTCAGTTATTTTTGTATTTTTAGTAGAGACTGGGTTTTACCATGTTGGTCAGGCTGGTCTCGAGCTCCTAACCTTAAGGGATCAGCCCACCTCGGCCTCCTAAAGTGTTGGGATTACAGGCATGAGCCACTGTGCCTGACTGTCAGTTGTCACTGAGTATTGAGGCTACACTGGGGTTCCAGTAAACTACAGCCCATAGGCGCATGGCCTGCAAAGCCTAAAACATTTACTATCTAGCTCTTTATAGAAAAAGTTCACCAACTTCCAGACTACACTGCAGTATCCCAACTTGAGAGAGGCATATATACATATATACATACATATATATATATATATAAAATGTATACTGAATTGTTCTCAAGAAAATAAGTCACCCAAAGAAGGTATTATGTATGGCTTTTCATTCATTATACCTTTTAAAACATCTTATGTCCCCAGTACCACACTCAGGCCACACCAAATATAAAGGGTTACAAATATTCAGATTTTATTATAAATAAAATACTGTTTTTCTTAAAACATAAAAATGCCAAGTGTTGCATTTTATTAACCACCCCGGAGAGCAAGGCTGTAGAGATTAAGGCAAACAGCTAAAGTGAAGGCACATATAAAAGGTCCACAGTTGGAATTCAAAGGAAAAAAATTCAGGGAAAAATAGCAGTATAATAATCCCTGTGTCAACCAGCATTCTGCAGCAGCCATCCTGTCAATTACATTACATAAAATACAGATAACTGGAGCTAGACAATAAAATAATGGCTGTGTTGCGGGAGTGTAATTAAGGTATCATCTTGTAAAGAACCTTTTATTTTAAAAAATAAAATTCTGCTTAAAAAATATACCACACAGGTGGAGGAGAAAAGCAAATAACAAAAAGAAAGTTAAAAGGAAACCAAACCAAACCACCCCATTGTGGCCTGAGACTTGCTGGAGTGAACTTCACCCAAACTAGCTTGGCAGTCAATCTTCAGTCCTCTTCTGCAACCTTGACCAAATGCATATGTTAGGATGTAGCCACTTAATGAAATGAACTAGCCAGGAAACAATGACGTGAAAACTTTGCAACAGCACGCCACATCTCCTGCCATAGTAGAAGAGGCCTGGGAGAAGCAGCAGAGTGAAAGCTCAGGAGTATATCGTCAAAACACTTGTGGTAAACTCTGGTATATCCCAAGCAGATGGAAACAGGAAGTGGGATCATCAAGAACTAAGTTACACCACCTCTCCCAGTCTACCCATCAGTAAGTAGCACTGTTCCTGATGCCCTAAGTGCTCAGTCAAAATGTACTCCCTTATAAAACTTACCTATCCAGCTCCAACAATTGCCAGAAAGGGCATTTCTCCCTCATTCCTGGCTAGTCCCACTGTGGCGTCAAAGATCCTCTTCAGCAAACTTTCCTAATCCTACCATAGCTTGTCAACCTGGCGTTCCTGCTCTGGAACATTGTAAAACCACCGTGCTGCAGGTTAGGATCATCAGGACTGCAATGGAAGAGGACCCAAGTTACCTCTTTACAGTGGCTGGGTGTGGAGGAAAGCAATTATATTAATTTTAGAGAATGGAGATGCTGCAAACACAAGGCACAATTCTTTGGAGTACAATCCAAAGAATTCTAGAAGGGAGGGAAGGAGGTATTCAGATACATTGTGCCAGTGAAGAGGAAAAATTGAGCAAAGTGAACAGAGTGTCATTCTAGAAATAGGACTAAGTATATTTACATAAATTCCTTATTCTATAATCATGATAAACAAAACACAAAACATTCACACAAAAATATAAATTTGAAATAATTAATAGCACCAGTGTGTCAGATAATAGTTTCTTTCCCCCCACCCCGCCCCTGCTACGCAAAGTACAAAGTTGCATAGTGTTAAAGGCTATATATGAATCTCAAAGGTGGGTTGGTAGGAGGAAGGGGGTGTGTGGCAGGGAACTGTCACACTGTGGTCTTAAAACCACAGAGCTGAGGATCAAAAGTTGAGAAGCCCACTAGGAAACTCCACGTAAGGGTCTTCCCTCTACACTTAGAGGGAAGGTTTAGAGTGGATTTAAATCACAAAGTGCAGGAACTCGATAGCGTTGGCAGCTGTGTGAAATACTGAGTGCAAGTATTTGCCACCAGGATTTGGCAAACAATGTTTTTTGAGGGATTCTGGAAGATGGAAACATCAGAAGAAAACTGGAGCTAAGGGTCAAATGTCTCATCTCTCCAACAGAAGAACAAATGGATACACGGGATTCTGACAGTACAAGCTGCCATCTAAGTTTTATCCCTTTGCTAGAAAAGACTAGGACGAGGAGGCTTGTTTTTCTTCTGTTTTGTCAAGACCTTAGGGATTAACTGTTCTCTGCCAGATACTTAACACTAGTTCCAAGACTAACTAATAAAAAAGCTGTAAGAATTAGTTTGATTTTGAAAACAAAATTTTAGTGGTTATCATATCCCTATTTCTTCTGTGTAAGTTCCATTTATAAGAATATCAAAAGATGTCTTTTGGTCTATTGGTGAGTGCAAGCTGCCCATCCAGATTTAAATTATCAGCTGCCCAAAGATCTGAAAAAAAGTTCATCTTCCTAGTCAATTATTAATATACTAGAAAAATCTTCAGCCATGTTCACCTGGAGACTTTTATAAATAATTGCATCCTGACCCACGGATGGCTCAGTGTCCTACACTCATAATAACTAAAAGCACTGATGGATGGCTACCGACATTCTAAATGACCAATACCTTTGGCACAGGATGTTTATTTCCTTTTGCTTAGAAGGAAGAGGGGTAGGAGATGCAGATGCATTTTCTTTATCCATGGACTGGATATACTGGCCATCACAATGCTACTGTTAGTAGCCAAACTTTTCCTTCATAGAAACAAGAGTACTGAGACTGAGGAGGTTCTGCTGGTATCGATGAGACAGGGGAGGGCTACTTGCTCTACCCCAGCATACATGGGCTCACACGATGTGCTTATGCCACTGTACAGTAACGTAGGATGCCACGTCCTCACGCAAATCAGAAGGGAAAGTGTGGGTAAGGTAGCAACGTGAATGGAAGAGACACTTTATTAGATAAAACCCTTTGTTCCCGATTCAGGATGTTTAATTTGCTTCTCTTTAAACTCTGTGACTTTTCCTGGTTCAAAAGGACAGTCATGGACAGCAGCAGAGGAGTGGGGGTCTGAAAAATGTAATCTTTGTGTCAAGGCACTCTGTGGCCTCACAACTGCCCCCCTGTCAGAGGGATGCTGCCTTCCAGCCCTAAAGACACTAGGGCTTTTCAATGGACGGGGTGTTGAAGCAGCCAGATGGTAAGGTCTTCCTGATGTCCTCCAGATTGCGAATGTCCTTCATGATCTCCTCGATATCTCGGTTATAGTCCATGATGGCAGCCTCCTGCTTCTTGGCTTCATTCTCCAGGTCAGACACTTTCCTATCAAGATCGCTGACCTTCATTTCATCTTTGGCTTTGTTTAGGGTGCCTTCAATCTCGTTTAGCTTATTCAGGTCCACTGTATCCAGCTGCCCTGGAGGGTCAGAAAGTACATAGAAGAGAACAGACATATTCAGTAAGAATGATCCCTTCACAAGTACCTGCACTAGACTCTAGGCCCAGCAGCTGCCATTCTGCACAGGCAGCCCGGCAAATGTGACTTGCAGATTGTTGATGTCACACAATGGTATAAAATATGCAAACCAAGTACAAATGCTGACCTAACCCAGCAGGGATGGGTCTGAGCATACAATTAATATAGAGCTGGATGTTTCTTTCTGAGACAATGGTTTTTGCAGAATGTTTCCTCAATGCACAGCTACCATGTTCTAGACCTTTGAGGGCCATCTGATAACATTTAATACCTTTTCCAGGTGTATACATGTAAACTCTATGTCATTTTAGTGCCATCAAAGATACACAAATCTCTAAGAACCCTAATCCCTCAGCTCTTAGAGAGATTCCAGGGAAGATGGGTCAGTTTTGAAGGTCACTTTCTGCTTTCAGGAGTTAGACACTATTAGGAGCCTTCCTATGGAAAATGGCCAGGAGTAAAATGCTGAAATAATTTCAGCAAGTCTTCACTTTAAGCTTAGCAAGAAAAAGAGGTTCTTTTGAAAGAAATGAGATGTTTCCATAACAAACAAAAGCAGACACAATAGACAGCATTTCATGCATACTTGACTTGATTAAAGTCTCACAAGACCATTTTACATCAGTGATTCTCAGATGTTAAATAATTTGCCCAAGTTTGCACAGCCTATAGGCAACAAAGCAAAGATACTAACCCAAGTCAGACTAATGTTAAAAGTCTGGCTGTTCCACAAAAAGCTTTCTCTTCTAGCTTACTTTCATTTTATATCCATCTGTTGGCACATAACTTATTCTTGACATTTGAGACCGATAAAAAATACCCCTGTAGCCCCCCACCAAAACAAAATGCACCAGTCTTTAAAGGCTGGCAAATTAAAATATAATGCCTTGCTACAAAGAGTCCTGGCTAGAGTGTTGACACTTTATAATGGAGTCTGGTGACAAAAGTGCATCTGTCCTAAAATGAAGCCTGCTCCCTAACACCCTATCAAACTGGATTAAAAGAAGGTTTCCGTATGCATAGATTTCCTTGAAAAATCAAGGTTTTTCTCTCTTTTGGCATGAAAGCTTTCCCCTCATCGGACTGTCCTTACTTAGCAAATGAAGAGAATTCCAGGCAGTAAAGTCATGACCAGTTTTAAGTGTTCTTTTTCGTTTTTTAAATTGAGACAGGGTTTCGCTCTGTTGCCCAGGGTGGAGTGCAGTGGCACGATAACAGCTCACTATCACCTCAAACTCAAGTGATGCACCTGCTTCAGTCTCCCGGGTAGCTAGGACTACAGGCGTGTAGCACCACACCCAGCTAATTTTTAAAATAATTTGAAGAGACGAGGTGAGATCTCGCTATGTTGCCTAGGCTGGTCTCAAACTCCTGGCCTCAAGCTATCCTCCTTGCATGGCTTCTTAAAGTACTGGGATTACCAGTGTGAGCCATCACACCCAGCCTGTGATTCTACTATTCTTTTATTCTACTATTGAAATCCTTTACTTTAAATCCCTTAAAGATACTGCCAGCAAGATGAGTTAAGAAAAATCACTGTTTAGTTGTACAATGATACTGGACCATAAATGCTACCCTAGCTGGCAATATATCTTCAAAATATAAAAAGAAACTCCTCAGACCACAGTGTTCTACTTAGGGCAAGGTCCACAGAAGGCACCTAGTAAGTACTTGTCACATTAACACAGCCTAAAGTCATGATTCAGGTCACACTGTAAAGCTGACAAATAATAAGTATGGTAAAGAAGCAAGTTGCTCTTAAAGACCCTGTCATGCAAGACAAACATTTATTTTATAAGGCTTTCAAAAATAAGCAACAGCAAAAGGAAATATTAATAATTTAATTAATGACTTAAAAGGGATTCATGTAAACCTATATCATCTGCTTTTGAGTCAACTGTACTATATCAGATCCTAAGAACAGTACAAAAGATTCAGAGACTGACAAAAATGACTCTATGGCTACGTACCCAGCTGCTCCAAGAGGTCATTAATAATGCTGAGGAGGCTAGTAACAGAGTTTTTGGCTTTTCTGGCATTGATCTCGGCTTCTTGAGCAGCCTGTGAAGCCTGTAAGGGAAAAATGAGGCAAAGAGTCTTGACTGTATGTTTTCATCTTCTTTAAATCTTTTTTCCCAATGACCCAACAAATCTAATTTCCAGATTTTCTTCCCTTTTCTAACTTAGGAAATTGAAACCTCTCATTGCTTTTTTTTTTTTTTTTTTTTGGTGGGGCTGCTGCATATCTTCATATTGAGGATGTTGGTATTTCTACTTCATCAAAGTTATGACTAGGCAGTCAGGATGCCTACACTCACTAACTCACTATATTTGTACTTCAAAAATTAATCTCCTTTTCTCACATTCTAACTCAATAATATATGGAGGTATATTCATAGTAAAGCCTATTAAGCAGAAACAAGTTATTTTTTAAGGATGATTATAGAAACTATGTTTCAGAACCAAAACATGTCCTTCAGGACACTCTTAGGGACTTATTAGAAATGTCCTATTCTTTGAAAATTTTCATAGTTAAGTAAAGCTCTTCTAGGAGTTCTCTTCTGTAAACTCCCCCTCCACATGCAATGACCCAGCCACAGTCCCCCTGACACACATACTCATTTATTGGGGCAATATAATTTACATTTTAAAAACCAAACAAAGGTAAATACACTTGGGAAATTCCATGAAACCTGAACAAATAACTGTGCATGAGTCATAGGAAACAGCAATGGAAGAGGAAGTGTCTAAATATCAGAAAACAGATGTTCTCACAAATAAATCTAGTTGAGATTTAAGTAAGTGGCTCTGAGCCTCTTACCACATAATTGTTTTTCCTAGTTTTGAGTAAGGACAACACAAACATTTTGGGATCAAAACAATGTGAAGATTTAAAAAAGAACAAGAAAGCAAGGCAGAAAAAACCTTCACAAATAAATGATTAATCTCTGTCCAAACGGCAGCTGTCCTTATTGAGCATCCACAAGCTTGTCTGCGAGTGTAAAAGGAGGGAGAAAGGACCCTGCCAGGGCCGGCCAAGAGCGATGCACCTGCATTTAACCTGTGGTCTCCAGCCTCCTCTTCCAAAAGAATGAAGCTATAAACCTTCATTCTTCTGGTTAAAAAATACAATACAGATTCAAATAATACTGGCCAAATGCTGGCCTTTCAGAATTGACAGAAATACAAATGAGATAGTGCATGTGAGGGTGGTTTGTTTCCTTAGAAGTTATTTACCAAAATAATAAAAGATCTTCTTTCACCCTTTGAACTAAACCAAAACCCTTTTTTGAAGCTCCTAAAGAATATACTGTTTTCTTTTTCAATATGCTTTAAATCTAATGTTTCTACAATCATATTAAAAATGAAATCCATATATGCTCAACATGTGAGAAACATCTATTTTTTTTATGGGAATTTTTGTTTTTTTGAGACGGAGTCTTCCTCTGTGGCCCAGGGTGGAGTGATCTTGGCTCATTACAACCTCCACCTCCCAAGTTCAAGCAATTCTCCTGCCTCAGCCTCCTATGTAGCTGGGGTAACAGGCACCCACCACCATGCCCAACTAATTTTTGTATTTTTAGTAGAGATAGCGTTTCACCATGTTGGCCAGGCTGGTCTCGAATTCCTGACCACAGGCGATCCACCCACCTCGGCCTCTCAAAGTGCTGGGATTACAGGAGTGAACCACTGCGCCCAGACACCTTTATGGGAATTTTTACTTGAGCCACACCATAACGGAGAAAATCAGGACAATCCAAACCAACATCCACCCCCCTACCTGTAAAAAGCATAATAAAATTAGGTGGTTGCACAGAGATAGTTTCCTTTATCACTTCCCTAGAGTTTTTACTGAGATTAACAGGCTTTGTACTTCTTTTTTCCATCCCAAGATGAAAATGACCCACACTGAGGGACTATGTTTTCTGGCAGCAGTGAACGACGGCCTCTTCTTTGCCACTGAAAGTGAGCAAGTAACCACAAGTTCGTGTATGTCATTACCGTGATTGCTACACCCAACTGGAAAAAGAATATTCCTACTGTGACTCCATTAAAGTCTTTTCAAAGCAAAATATAGCATAGAACAGAAAAATGGACCTTAGTTCTTCCTTGGGCCATCCATTGACAAGTCAATTTTGTTACAAATAGTACCTTGCATACACATTATCACAAAACGTGAAAAATTAAACTAGATGTAAGTTTCATATGTTTTGGTGGGGTGGTAGACAATGCCATCTTCAAAAATTTCTTATATACAAGAAACTTGTCTTTGTCTCTAAAGGTGCTGGGAGAACAAGAATAAGAAGAAAATTAACTTCATTGCATTCCTTTTTTATTAACATTTATGAATTACCCAGTGAAAAATATAAACACATACTTTTAATGTCCTAAAACCTCAAACGTGTAAAGCAATGTTTTACTTTTAACTGAGTAACTTTGGGACAGGACAATTGTGCAACAAAATTACCTGGCAGAAGATCCAAATTCTTTGTCTTCTATGTAAGCTACTAACCCAATTCTTGACGAGACAATGTGATGAAAAACAGAAGTCAATATAAAAAAGACTCTTCTCAACAAGTGGGGGATCTTTATTATTAAACACTGTTCACTTTCTGCCAATGAGCAAATATACCAAAACCTCTTACCATCCCTGCCATCATCATGTCCTGGTCAGCGTCATCTTGTTTTCTCTTTAGCTCTTTTTCTGCTTCCTGCAGTTGCTTCAACATATTGTTCACCTCATTATCCAGATCTGTAACTTCTGCAAAAGTTCTTTCAGCTTCTGCCTTGGTGCTGGTGGCATTCTAGGCACAAAAGAAAATTGTACTTTTTTTAAAAAAGCTTTCCTTTTTCTCAAGTATGCTCCCGCTCCTTTTATAATTTATAAAATGTCTTAAAAATATAATCCAGAAATAATAATATATTGATTTATACTATCTCATGACTTACATTATCAATTTGGGTTATAAATAATCATAAAAAAAATTACTACCCACATAATAACATTTTGTATTTTATCTAGCACTTTCATTTGTATCCTCTTCTTTAATCCTGGAAACTTCTGTTCTATTATTGCTATTTTTAGTTGGGGTCATACAGACAGCAAATGATAAACATTTAATGGCATACACTTTCTACGACATCATATTGATTAGATGCTTTCGCTGAGGTAAAATTTAAATTCAAAGCTAGCTTGGTTCATTCTTGGCAGTTCATCATAATGTACAAAAAGACCACAATCCTGAAATATGAGTATTTTATAAAATATAATTAATCCAAAAGCCAACTGTTCTAAGGAAACTAAGAGGTTTCTCTGATTCTTAAATACCTAATTCTAAAATTGCTCCAATCTCTCTTTTAAATAAAACAAACAGATTGACCTTGAAATAAGAGAAAGCCAAACTAAAAAACATTATTCTTGAAGATGACTTCAAAGAATCCTAGCAATGGCAGCTATGGGAAGTCTCTCCTAGGAGTGGCTTACATATGGCAATATACTTGAAAGGGGGACTTGAAAGTTATATTGATAAGGCACACTACATAGTATTGAAATAAATACCACCTGTCTAGGTCAAAGAAGAATGTTTATTTAGAAAAAGTCTGATTTTTTGTGGGAATGGGCTCTATAGACCTCTGAAGCCAGACCTCACACTGAGACATAGTAGAAATTTTAGAGTAAAGCACCCTTTTACTGAGTTCCCCTCCTCAATGTGGATACCTACTCTCATGCCTAGTCAAAAGAAAAAAAAAAAGACAAATATGGTTTAAGACAATTTTACTGAAGTTCAGGAAAAAAATCTGCAAGGGCTCTGAGGGTCTGGAAAGAAACTGGAAAGTGACCAGAGAAAGATATGGGCAGGGACTCTTGGAGAAGAGGAAACGCACACCTTTTGGACAGCGCTCGCGATCCTCTCCGCCTCATGGGCCTTGTTCTTGGCCTCTGTGGCATCCGCCGCAGCACTGCCCAGGGCCTGCTGGGCTTCTCTGGTCTTTTCATTGGCTTCAGTGATGGTCTGGTTGATGGCAGGAATCTTCCTTAGTGCCTCCTCTGCGGCCGTCTTGTTATCGTTCACACGCCTATCAAAATCTGAAACAAGTTCAAGGACACATTTGAGCTAAACTCCCAACAAGTAAAAAGGGGGCCTTTCAGGGAGTTCCAACTGGATTTTGTTTTATGAACAATGGAAGTCAGGGTAAAAAATGGAAGAGAGCATGGGCTGAAATTTTAGAAATTACACATCTCTACAGAATAGGTCTCCCAGTTAGTGTTATAGAAATGTTCCGTTTCTGGAAATAGAATTCTTACTTCAACAATGTGCTTTAAAATGCAGAGCGCTGAGCATCCCATTACCACTACCTCAACCATTATTAAAAGCTGCAATTTATTTAGTGTTTACTGTGTGTCGGGTACTGAGTTAAGAGCTTTGTGTCTTTGACATAAAATAGGCTGTATCATTTTTATAAGAAAATTGAGGATTAAAGAAGTTACATGACCTGTGGTGCAGGGTGCAGGGTTTTGAACCAAGGCCCACTGACACCAGAGTCCATATTTTGAACTACTACTTTTTTTTTTTTTTTTTTTGAGAGACAAGGTTTCACTCTGTCACCCTGGCTGGAATGCAGTGGCACAATCACTGCTTAGTGCAGCCTTGACCTCCTGAGCCCAAGGGATCCTCCCACCTCAGCCTCTCAAGTAGCTAGGACTACAGGTATGTGCCAGCATGCCCGGCTAATTAAAAAAAAAATTTTTTTTTATAGAGATGGGGTCTCACTATATTCCCCAGTGAGGAACTGGTGTTCAACTCCTGGCCTCCAGTGATCCTTCCTCCCGAAGTGTTGGGATTACAGGCCACCGTGCCTGGCCCATATTTTCAACTAGTACCCTGTAAAGCATCCTGTAAAGCTTCTCTATTTATAGAACCTATGACTGTTTTATCAGACAAGAATTCACAGTTGCTCAGTGAATTGGTCACATTTCTCTTCTATCTGGGGTGAAGAAAAAAAAACAACAACAAAGAATCAGATGCCACTGGCAGAGAAAATGAAAGATAATCTCCATTTACCTATATAAGTTCTCTAAATAGGCATCTTGGTTATGTGAGTTTGCCTAATAAGAAAACATCTTTAAAAAAAAATCCATACTGAAGTATGCAGGGATAAAATGACAGGAGCTCTGGGATTTCCCTTTGAAATACTTTAGCATAAAAAAAGTAGGGAGTTGGGGATGAAGTAATAAATATGGTAAAAGTCATGATTAAAAAAAAAAATCACTCTAGTGGCGGAAGCATTTGCCCCTGTTATCTCAGCCTTTTCTACCTTTCAGGTTGTTGAGAATGTCATTAGCTTCTTGTAAGGTATCCCGTCCCTTCTTTGCAGCTTCTTCAGCGAGGGCCTTGGCAGCATCAGCTCGGGCTAGGAGTTGGTCTGCGGTCTGCAAACACATGGCAGATGAGAGGATGAACCCTCAAAGCAAATCCCTTCTGTCTCCTGGACAGACAAGGCTCTCCAGAGGTGCCACCCTGAGACTTGCCAGCATAAAATCTGTTAGGCTGCTCTCTCAGCACTGGGGTCTGCTGTCTCTGAAAGTACGGCATCATCACAGACCCATTTGGACTGTTCAAATGTTGCCTCAAGAAATGAAGCGACCTGCAAATCAAACCAACCTGCTGTTCAGTCTTGCCTTTCTCCAGAAGGTTCTTGACTTCAAGTTCCTTCCCTCTCATATCTTCTCTGAGGTCCTCATAATCTTTTAATTTCTGGTCAATCAGTTGTTCCAGATTCTCAGCTTCCATCTTTATGTTATTTGCTTCATTCTGTGAAAAGCAAGTAAGATCACTACACTTTGGATAAAACATTTAAACTAATGAAAAGGTAGGCTTAGGAACTCTGTAACACCTAATACTCAATGATATTTTTAAAAGAACTGCACAGATCAAGATTTTATGGACTTTTTTAAAAAATGAGATATACTTTACACCCACTGAAGTTCACAGAATCCACATATAGTTTGATGAGTTTTGACAAATGCATTTCTGCATAACCAACACCCCAATCAAAATACAGATTTCCATCACCCAAGAAGCTCCCTTTTCTCCCTTTCCACCCGATCTCTACTCTACCTTTCCAACACTGTGCCTGCCATTGTTCTGATTTTTATCATCATAGACTAATTCTGCCTATTTTCTAATTATAAATATATAGAATCAGACAATCTGTACATATCTAAAGAGACCTAAACCTTTATGGTAAAAATCAAGTCAACACCTCAGATATAAGAAGTGAAACTTAGTAAACCTCAAGCTTAATGCAAAAAAAATACCATTTATACAGAGCTTGGAGTGAGAATCCATGATTAAGAGTACAGATATGAAATAAAATCCTACCAATTCCAAAATATTTTACCTGCCTCAGAACATCCTGCTATAGTCTTTTAATTAAACCATTCTCTCTTATTTCTCTCTAGGTCTCTACTAGACAGAGCCTGGGAGTAAATGTCTACATGTACTCTGCTTTAAGCAATTCAAATGTATTATTATAATTTGGATTTGCACTAAAGACTTAGGAGTGATTGTTCATATCATTAAAGTAGTCTTTGCTATTTAATGTTTACAATCACAGGATTCTTTACCTTGGTAAGTTTTTGTTTTTGTTTTTTTAAGAGATGGGGTCTCACTATGTTGACCAGGCTGGTCTTGAACTCCTGGCCTCAAGGAATCCTCCCACCTCAGCCTCCCAGGGTTGGCATTACAGGCATGAGCCACCACATCTGGCTACCTTGGTAAGTTCTATTAGCGTATGTGAAATAAGACTCAACTTTACCAGCGAGTCAGTGGGAGGACAGAGGGAGGTGCAGAGCAGTCGGCTCTCACATAGACTTGGGGGAGAGACGGGGTGGGGCTGTGCGTACAGGCTGCCCCCATACCTCCAGTGTCTCAGAGTCCAAAGGGCTCAGCTGAGCCACGCTGGCATAGATCTCCACAGCTTTGTCACCGGCCCTTTTGGCCTCCTCATGTACTCGGGCAGCTTGTTTTTCCAGATCCTGTGAGATGTTCTTCGCTTGTTCATACCTAAGACACAAATAATGTGGTTTAATGACAATCTTAGCTGCTTTTAGCATCTTAATGTTAACCAGATTAACATGATCATGTGATAATACGCCCAAAACCTCAAAGGAAATGCTACATTAAAATGCTTGCATTTTAATACCAACATTTTGCATATTTACATTTTCTTTTATCATTTCTATTTATAATGTATGGCTTGGCCGGGCACAGTGGCTCACGCCTGTAATCCCAGCACTTTGGGAGGCTGAGGTGAGCAGATCACTTCAGGTCAGGAGTTCAAAACCAGCCTGGCCAACATAGTGAAACCCCGTCTCTACTGAAAATACAAAAATTAGCTGGGTGTGGTGGCAGGCACCTGTAATCCCAGCTACTCAGGAGGCCGAGGCAGGAGAATCGCTTGAACCCGGGAGGCAGAGGATGCAGTGAGCCGAGATCGCGCCATTGCACTTTAGCCTGGGGGACAAGAGTGAGACTTCATCTCACAAAAACAACAAAAAAAAGAAAAAATTTTCTATAATGTATGGCTTACCATATACTTTCTTATTTCAGACACCCTTTAAAGATTTGTAGTTCAATTATGTTTCCTCTACTTACTCTATTATATTTTTTCTTCTTTATTTGTGCACAATTTTAAGTATCATGGCTCATCTTGTTACTATTCTCTGTAGTTACAGTAATTGAATCAAACCAAATCTCTGTGGCTTCACATGCCCTTCTCTACTTACTTTTCCATTTCAAAAGCATGATTAACAAAGGAAATCTTACTGCATGAATGTATGCCCTGAATGCACCAGCATTTAATTTTTCATTGAACTAGTGTTACTTACCAGAACACCTGAAGGGGTGTAAACCACTTTCAAATTATACTCACTTCCTATTAAGCTCTTCAATCTCAAATGCTGTTTGATTTTCTCCTGCCAGTGTCCTCAGAAGCAGGTTGTATGCCTCAGTTGACGTATCATTGGCTGTCTTTGCCACTCGAACAATGTCATCAGCTTCCTGTTTATGACTATACAGATAAAACAAAAAATAAGCCATGAAACAACCATCTGATAGGGACATAAGTAAAATTCAGGTAATGCTTACTTTATTATTATTATTATTATTATTATTATTTGAAATGGAGTCTCGCTCTGTCACCCAGGCTGGTGTGCAGTGGCGTGATCTTGGCTTATTGCAACCTCCGCCTCCCGGTTCAAGCAATTCTCCTACCTCAGTCTCCTGAGTAGCTGGTATTACACGCATACACACCATGCCCAGCTAATGCATCTTTAGTAGAGATGGGTTTCGCCATGTTGGCCAGGCTGGTCTCAAACTCCTGACCTTAGGTGATCCACCCGCCTTGGCCTCCCAAAGTGCTGGGATTACAGGCATGAGCCACTGCTCCCGGCCTACTTTATTATATGTACATATACTAACATGGGCAACAATTCTACAAATATTAGAAAACGTCATTCATTTGGAATTTTGTGATCATTTCAGTGGGGCTGAATTTATGAATAGCATTCTAAAACTGAGATGAGAATATTTTCCAAAAAAATTATTGGTATACATTTATAAGAGAAAATGTTTATAATTCTTCAGAAAAACTACTTTTAAATTTAATTATTTGAGAGTAATGTACATATAAAATTGTGTATGCCAGCAAGAAATCATTTACCTAGTTAAAAACAAATCCCATGCCTAATCTTTATTAACAACAATCTGCTAGTTTCATTCAGTTACTACAGTCTTAAATAAGTTAAAAATCTAAAAATATTATGGTTTTGAGAAATATAAATATGATTTGTCTTCAAACCATTGTATTCTAATATTCAAAGTGAATATTCTAATGTCAAAGTAAAAGGAAGAAAAGAGTATACACAGCTGATAATATCTTAGAAAAGAGAGCAAAGTGTGCAAAAGTGGGTTATGTAGAAAGTGTTTATGGGTTATGGGATAAGACAATACACACACACACACACACACACACACACACACCCCATAACAGAAGCCACAACTTAACCATTAAACAGGGATCTAGAAGTTACCGTTCAGCAAGCTTTCGAGCCTCTTCTGCCAAAAGAGTCATGTTGTTTGGGTCCCCTGTAGATTCTGGCTGAGTGACTGACTGCACAGGAAATAAAGCACTTATTCTCAAAGGACTGAATTATTTACATTTAATAAAGCAAGAGTCAAAACTAAATTTTTGTTAGAGGGCAAAAAGAATGCCTCTACCTTTTTTTTTTTTTTTTTTGAGATAGTTTCACTCTTGTTGCCCAGGCAGAAGGGCAATGGCACAATTTCAGTTCACCGCAACCTCTGCTTCCTGGGTTCAAGTGGTTCTCCTGCCTTAGCCTCCCAAGTAGCCGGGATTACAGGCATGCACCACCATACCCGGCTAATTTTGTATTTTTAGTAGAGACGGGGTTTCTCCATGTTGGTCAAGCTGGTCTCGAACTCTCGACCTCAGGTGATCCACCCGCCTCGGCCTCCCAAAGTGCTGGGATTACAGGCGTGAGCCACCGCGCCTGGCCCCAAGAATACCTCTTCTTATTTTCAGAGATCTTTATTTAATATCAGCACCCTTGATTGCAGATTCTATTTTCAGTAAAGGATAAAGGAAGATTAAACTGCCTAGTTCCATAGAAGGAACAAAGCTAGAGAAATAACCCAGATGTCCCTTGGTTTTTATCCAGTTTTTAATAACTGTTTCATGCCAACTATGAGCAATGTGGCTTTTCTGCCCCATATTTAGGGACAAATAAAAAGATGCATGGAGTCAATTTAGTTGAAGAAGCACTCCACTGCCAGTAACAGACTTGCTACAAACCCCAGGGGCCTCCCCCATCCCCACCTCAGACGTTTGCAATCACTTACCACATTGGCAGCAGCGACTTTTGCTTTCTCAAGTTCTCTGGATGCGATTTCAATCAACCGCTCTGTGTTCTCTACATGGGCACGCGCTTGTTCAGCCAAGTTTCCAGTCTCTTCAATGGTATTCCGGATATTCTGTAAACGGCTAATTTGGCTGGACAGAGTGTTATTCACTCTCTGTAGGCGATCCATCAAATTCTGGTCAACATCTAAAATGGTTTGCAGAAGAAAGTCTGTAAATTATCTGAAGAGGATCATATCATCTCACATGAAATCTGAGGCCCTATGTATCTCTACTCTTCTAAACATCGCAACTTTCTGCCAGGTTTCCACAAAGCCCCTGCCATAGCTGGACAGCCTTTACCACACCCAGTAGGTCCTTCACTGTGCACTCATCACACCTCCAACCGTGCGTCCATCTGTCCACTTGACTACGAACTCTTTCTTACTCACCACTATATCGCTGGTCTTATGCAGTGGTTGGCAAAGAGAAGACACCCAAGGAATGTTTAATGAAGGTGAGAATGACTGACTTTAATACCAGCACATGCAATTTAGTCATAAATCTACAATGTTGTTAAAAATGCTGCCAGCCCTAAAAGCCGAACATTTTTCAAAACCCAGAAAAAACTAGGTTTAAAACATAAGTTGAAGTATGACAAATTAAACTCATTTTGTATTTTAAACTAAATAGACTCTTTTGCCACCCCCATGTGCCAGCATATCAGTGTAATTTCTTTCAAACTGATCTCTGTTTTTGAATAGTTCTTCAAATTATTCTTTATTAATATGCTCATTCAACTTAAATCTCATACTCAGGTCCTAACAAATCAAAAGATAAATATAAGTCTGTTATTATTAAAACTCTCATGTATCATGAGGTTTTATTAATATATAAAAACCATTAAGTAAATTGACCAATTCATATTTCAGCATCATGCTCGGTGTTGGGGTCTAAATTTTCTAAGGAATGTGGGAAAAAAAAAAAAAGATGAGAAGTCAAAGGTAAGACCAATGAAGATGAATACAGGTTTGGAAAAAACCAACTTGGAACTTGGCTACCAAATGTATGTGCAGAGGTGACATTCTACAAACTCTTGCCTAACTATATATGGTGGTCCTGCTTGGAAGGTTACTCAATTATTTGATAATGTAAAAATTTTTTGGCTGGGCGCAGTGGCTCAAGCCTGTAATCCCAGCACTTTGGGAGGCTGAGGTGGGCAAATCACGAGGTCAGGAGATCGAGACCATCCTGGCTAACACGGTGAACCGCCATCTCTACTCAAAATACAAAAAAATTACCCCGGGCATGGTGGGCATGTGCCTGTAGTCCCAGGTACTTGGGAGGCTGAGGCAGGAGAATCACTTGAACCCAGGAGGTGGAGGTTGCAGTGAGCCAAGATCGCGCCACTGCACTCCAGCCTGGGCAACAGAGTGATTGTGGCTCAAAAAAAAAAAAAAAAAAAAAAAGCTTATGAAGACGCATGCCTTTAATGATTTTTAAAACTATTTTAATATTTTAAGACACCTTGTAATAGAACAGATTCATAAAATGCTTGAAATTTGAATATCGAATAGTTTTTTATTTGTTGGAAAATCACCCTATGCTTACTGTAGCTTAAAGCAGTAAATTTGTCAGGTTGCTTTTTGAATTAGTGTTTAAAAAATGAAATGATTTATAATCTATGAGTAGTTTAAAAACTGAGAAAGAATTTTATAAAACTATACTAACCTTGCTTTAGGAGCCACATCTAAAGATTGGTCCATCTCACAGAAGTCATGCACTGTTCAATCATGCGTACCTTTGACATCCTGGGCCTCACGAAGGAGGTCCATAACTTCCCTCTCTGCTTCCTTTAGTCTATCCTCGAAGGCTTGATCTGTCACCATCTCATCCCCAGTTCCAAGGTTTGCTATGAGACTCTCTAATTCCTGGAGCTTCACTCTATGATCAGCAACCTAAACATAAAGAAGAAAGAAAAGGGAAAGGTAGGACACACAAGTATTCCTGAAGAACTCAATCACACTTCCTGCAGGAATCATGGGCACTCCATGAATATGTAGTTCTTTTTTTTTTTTTTTAATTATTATTATACTTTAAGTTTTAGGATACATGTGCACAACATGCAGGTTTGTTACATATGTATACATGTGCCATGTTGGTGTGCTGCATGAATATGTAGTTCTATCCACTCCATGCATGTCTACTTCTGAAGAGAAGACGTGGCTAGTTTATTTTTCCAGCTTCAAAAAAAACCTTCAGAGCTGTTCCTTTGACTTTAAAGACTGTATGCTGATGAGTCTTAAGCTCTGACCTCTCCCTTGAGTGTCAGATTACCTTCGTGATACCTCCACTCAGCTCTCTGATAGGTATCTCAAACTTAACATCCAAAATTATACCTCTTACCTCTATTCTCTCTGAGGAATCTCCATCTCAGTAAATAAGGCCTCCAGCTACCTTAAGCAAAAAACCCAAGACACATCCTTATTCTTCTCTTTTCCTATCCTGTCCCCAAACACGCATATTTATCCAATCCAATTGAGGCTTCCCATTAAGCCCCATTCCTAACCATCATTCTTCACACATCAGTCAAGAGTGCTCCTCTTAAAATATAATCTGGATTTCCCAGATTTTAAGAGTTTCTTCAATGCATTCTTATTGGATTTGGGATAAAATCTAAACTTCTTACTATGGTCATCATGTTCCCATATAACCTGTCCGTACCAACCTCTCCCGTCTTAAAAAACAGAACACACCCTCTGCACTCAGCAGGCTCCAGCCACTCTCCAGCTTTCAGGCCTCTGTATACCAGGTTCCTTCTGCCTGGAACAAACCTACCATTACTTTTCACTCGGCTCATTCCTTTGTATCCATCAGATCTCACCTTAGATGAATTCTGTAGAGAGGCCTTACATAAAGTAGTTTCCCCCAGTTATTCTCCATTTGTATTCTTCCTGGCACTTATCTCAGTGTTTGTTTTGTTTATTTATTTATTTTTTATTATTTGCCTCCCAACTGGAACATAAGTCTTTAAGAACAGGGACCACATCTACCTTGTTCACCACTTTTTCTATAGAGATTAGTGCACAGTAAGTTGCCACTCAACGTCTGCTGGATGAATGAATGAATGCACTATTGACAGCTTACCTTATCCTTTACCAGCCGGTAACAAGCTGGACATTCCTGGCAGCCAGGCCAAGACCGATTGTAGAAATAGTTTTCTTCACACTGGTCACAGCGATTTCCCACAAAGCCTTCTCTGCATTCACAGCGACCATCATCTTTGCACTGAAGTGAAAGAGATCCCTCAGGATGACAGTCACAGGCTGCAGAATAAGGAGAAAATAATACATAATTAGCAAAAGAAGGAAGAGTATATCTCTTAATTCAGACTGATAACAATAAGCTGACTATAAGCTGACTATACTGTCATAATTTTTTTGAAAAACAGGACTATTTATGAGATCTTAAATGGCTAAGTCTGTTTAGCAGAGAAAACTGACATTTTTAAAAGTCAAAATGAGCTTTAAAGTAAAACGTGCAACCTTTGGGACACACTTCAGGTTACTTAGCAATTAGAGAAGTTATGAAACTATCAGTGCTCGTTTCATGCACTTCAAGGATTCATCTCTACCTTCAATTCTCCACTGTTTAATATTTCTCTAAGGAACTAGAAAACCCAAATGCTAATGCTTCTTTTGCATTATCTTATAGTTTGTTTATTCACTGTGTTCTCTGAACTGAGTCAATTACTTATGCTACATTCCACAGGAGAAATGAAGGAATTCAGAAAGCAAAAGCCAATCTGTTCTGAGGCCCAATTCCAGGCAAGTGTTTATGCCAAGGAGAAGCAGATGTTTACACGTAATCATACCAAAAGGGCCCCAAGGGTGGGAAGCAACTACAGCAAGTCAACAAACATGTTGTGAACAGAATCCTCCACTATTTCATTATCTGCACTAAGAATGCAATCAATAAAGAAGTTTCATGAACCACAGTGGGAAAGCTCAGTAATCAAAGGAAGACTTCCTTGGAAAAAATAAAAGATTGGAAAAAGGAAGCATCAGAAACGTTGTAAAAGAAAACATACAAAGAAACCAGAGAAGGCTTTGATCTGCAGAGTTTTAGAAATGGATAATATTCTTCAAATAAAGCATCTACGATGACTTAGGTACAGCCCTGACTATGAGTCAAGTGGCTAGACTGAGGCTGTCAAAGTCCTTTCTGGCCTTAAGACACTAACTGGAATTAGTGGAAGCTTAGAGTTGTATGCCACCAACACCCCTTACGTTTGCAGCCTTCAGGTCCAAACCCAAAGTGGTTGACCTCACAGCGCTCACAGTGCTGACCAGTGATGCCGGGCTGGCACTCACACTGGCCGGTGCGGATGTCACACTGCCCATTGGTGGAGCCCAAGGCATGGCAGTCACACCTGAAAATGAACACAGGACATTTCTCAGGCAAGAAAAACAGACTTTAAGCACAACTTTTTTTTTTTTTTAGTATAGCACTGATGTAATTTGTAACTTGTATCAGAAAACTGAATGGTAAGGGTTACTAAGATGGAATGTTAAGGGTTATTAAGCCCCTAAGGTTCAAGTAATTTTCATGAGTGCTATTCAGAACCTCTTTTCCTAACTTAACTGCTACCAGTGCTCTCCAGCCTGGGACTGTATGGACACTAAGTAGCAGCTTTGAAAACAGAAGTTCCCAGGCTGCAACCCTGAAGGGTCTGATTCTAAGTGCCTCAGAAAGGACCCGGCAATTTGTGCTTTTAAAAGGTTGCTCAGGTGATTCTGGCACAGCTGGGGCCACTGTGCTCCACTCCTTTCTTTCATTAGCTTTATTACAATTCTCCAGCACTGCCCCTGAAGGATGCCTTGCCTACATTAGGCGCTCCAGTAATTTCTGAACAGTCAATTATTAAATGTACTTATAAAAATTCATTTTTTATAACAGAAAAAGCAAAGATTACTTTCACCAAAGGCACCTATGTCTCACCTCTCACAGCCTTGCCCACTCTGCAGATTGTAGAATCCAGGGTCACAAGCACCACAGTCCTGGCCAGTCACGTGAGGCAAACATTCACACTGCCCCGTCACGGGGTTACAGCTGCTCTGCTGCTTCATGGTCCCATACAGATTGCAATTGCAGGCTAAGGCAGGAAGACAGAGATGGCAAAAGACACAAATCACCTGAGAGAAATACTAAAATATAAACAACCTAAAGAGATTCTTTAGACCTGTGTTGCCAGGTTGGTAGCTGCTGTCACATGTGGCTACTGAGCACTTTAAATGTGGCTGGTGAGTCTGAATTGAGATGTGCTATAAACGTGAGATACACACTGGATTTTGAAGGCTTAGCGTGAGAAAAAACATATATTTCATTAACAATTTTTATTGATTACTTATTGAAATCATATGTTGGATATATTAAATAAAATACATTAGTATTCATTTCACCTGTTTCTTTTTACAGGACCACAGGTGTCAGCCACCATGACTGTCCTTCTTTATACTTTTTTAATGTGGTGACTAGAAAATTTTAAAAGACAAAAGCGGTTCACAATGTATTTCTATTGGACTAAACAACTATACATATTTTAAGAGACACACAAGAATTCTCACAATAAAGGGGCATTTAGCTGTGACAGAATCTGATCAAAGGCTGATTACCTTTGCATTTGTCTGCTGGATTGGGAGCCAGGGGATTTCCAAAAAATCCGTCTTTGCACCGGTCACAATAGAAGCCAGCAGTGTTATAGATGCACTTCAGGCATTCTCCCGTCAAGCGATTGCAATTTCCAACTGCATTGGGATCGATGTTGTCACTGCACTGGCACAGGCGGCAAAGTCTCACAGGGCCGTTTCTACCCAGGGGGTCTCCAAAGTAGCCATCATCACAGAGCTCACATCTCTTACCTGGGGATGAGACAATCTGATGTTATGAAAGAAAGGCCTTAGACATTTTTGGTGCTAGATTACCACTGGCTACAGGTAATCTAGTGTAATCATCACATGAGAGAAGACATGGTGCAGTGGAGGGCAGAGGACCTGGGCTGCAGCCCTGGCACGGGGCCAGACCACCAGAGTGACCTTGAGCACATCTCTATTTCCTCACTAGACAGGAAGCACCTGGTCTGCCTACTTCACTTTAATTGTTGTGACAATCAACCCAAATCATGTATTAAAAGTGCTCGGTAAATGAGTCAAGCCCAAGGTTTATAAACTTCTCCAGTCTCAAAGGATGGCACATTCATATATGTTGTTTTGGCAGATGATATTAAAAGAGGTGAAGTGCCACTCTTGACACTGTAAGTTTCCCACACAACAGGGTGAGCAGAACCATTCTCTTAAAATGTAAGAGGCATGTGCTAATCCTTGTTAATCAGTATCAATTGGTACAGAATCAGGGCATGTTAGAAGAGAACTTAGAAATCATCAGTTGCTGACTGCTTGTATTAAATATTATAGCTCAGAGAACAGAGAGGATAAGTAATTTGCCTGCAACCAAAGAAGTGACAGGTAGAGAGGGAGAGCTAGAATCCAGAGCTCTTTCCACTCTACTACTCACTGCTCCTCATCCTTCCTTTTCCACTTTCCTACCTTGATTAGTTCAAGTTGGGCTCGTGATATCTTTGTAACCAGTAGGGCCTGAATTAGACTCAAATTTCTGGGAATCCGAGGTTTATTAATTCATTCAACAAGTATTTTCTGAGCATCTACTATATACCAGCACTGTTCTAGGTCATTAGGATGATGTGAACAAGGTGGACAAGGTCTCTGCTCTCATGAAGTGTATGCAGCGGTTGGTGAAGACCAATACACAGACATACAAATAAACAAGATTACTTCAGATAGGGATAAGCATAAAAAATTTAAACAAAATAGAGCAGCATGATGGGGTGAAGGTGAGGGCTACTTTATATTGGTGGGTAGGGAAAGCCTCTGTAAGAAGGAGACATTGGGATAGCAATGGAAAGACAGAGAAGAGACCAGCCAGGATAATATCCAAGGGAAGAAAGTTTCAGAAAAACAAGATAAGCCATGGAAGCAGTTCAAACCCATGTAGAAGCATGGAGGTCAGAGTAAAGGATTTGGTTTTAGTGTATCAAGAAGCTATTGGAGGGTTTAAAAGTGGTGTAATCTGAGGTACATTTTGAAAGGACCATTTTGGCTTTCATGTTGAGATTGGAGCCATTGTAGGGGAGCAGGTGAGGCAGGGAGAACAATTAGGCAATCCCAGGTGAGAGATAACAGAGGTTTGAACCAGGTTGGTGATAGTTGAAGTGGTGAAAAGTGGTCAGATCTGAGATAACATCAGTAAGATTTGCTGACTGTTTCTAGGACTTGAAAGGAAGATGAATCAAGTATAGGCCCTAAGGTTTCAGCTTGAGCAACTAGGCTAATGGCAGCATATTTACTAAGATGAACAAGACTGGAGGAGAAACAAAGGGTCGAAGAAAAAGGGAGGAAATCAAATATTTAACTTGGATTTGTTTAAATTTGAGTTCCTTTGGCTATGTGAATCAAAATCACAGCAGAAAATGGCTGACACAATCAAATCAGCACGGAGTGTAAGGAAACTGCGAGAAGAGTGCAGCACTTGAGATAGGCTCCATACCCTGGGCCTCAGGTGGTGGGTGGGGCAGCTAGCAGAACCTAAAGGCAAAAAGAGCTGTTTGGAGAAGGCCTACCAGGAGCTGATTTGGCTCATCAATGACGGATTTGAGGTCATCGATCCAGAGAACCCCATAGAGAAGGGGCCATGGGATAAATACTCTGTCCTCACCCTCCTCCTTCTCTGTGAGCTCCCATATGTGCTTTCTGCTGTCTGAATGCAAATGGAGCCTGACATTTGATGTAGTGCATGCAGGTCTCAGTCAGGGTGCAGAAAGGTGAACAGGGATGTGGAAAGGCAAGTGGAAGGCTTCTAGCCCACCATCCAAGTGGAAATGGCAAGTAGGTAGCTCAGGAGAGGTGCCAGGGCTGGAAATACAAACTTAGCTATCATAGATATAGAAAGGCTTTTGAAGCCTCAAGATGAGATTTGATCACCTAAAGGGGAGACGGTAGATCAAGGTGACATGAAAGCCCTTGGTTGACAGATGGAGACAATCAGGGGATACCCAAAAGAGAGATGGAAGGAAACAAGGAGAGTGAGCCTCAGCTTCCTATTAGGAAAACCATAACCACTGAAACTGAACCAAACACAAAGATCCAAAACAACTCCGAAGCCCCTTTCCCCTAGGTCTTTTTATAGAAGGGAACACTGAAAGCAGATGAAGCGAGCAGACTTACCAGTGGTGCCAGTAGGACAGTTGGTGCACACCACCTCCTTTGTCTTGGGAACAACAGCACAACTTGAACCTCCAGGACACGGACAGGGTTGGCAATCGGAGGAGGTGCCTGCAGTTGAATCTCCATAGTACCCATCACTGCACTTCTCACAGTGCGGGCCAGCCGTATTGTCTCTGCAGTTACAAACACCTATTTGGAAGGCAGGCGTGAGAAAACAGGCAAATGTACAAGTATATAAGACAATGAGCACTTTCTACACAATTGCTAAAGAGAAGTTAGGTCTAAGAGCTGCCAAAGATCATCTCACCTGTCTCAGGATCACAGGTCTCGCTGTGTCCATTGCAGGCGCAAAGCACACATGGACTGTATGGTCCAAGATTAGGAGTTTCTCTTCTGTAACCTGAGAGGCACATCTCACAAAACTGCCCTCCATATCCCACAGGACAGGTGCAGGACTCCACCCAAGTTGCAGGGACTCCAGGCCCAGGACGAGCACTTGCCAGGGTGACATCATCCAAATATCCAGCACCTGTGTATAGTGAGGAAAAGAAAATCACTGAACTGGCTTGTTTTCCAAACCTTGTGTAAAGTCAGTAACACTAAAAAGTAACTAGACCCCAAATTCCAGAGAAAATTAGCCATTTGCTTAACTGGGCTCTGATACACTAAACGAGATATCCACGTCTACACCCTGGAGAAGAGAATTAGAAAACAGCATTTAGAACAATCATGTGGTACTGAGTGCTAAGTATCTGGAGTGGTGGTATAGCAAACTTTTATTTTATTTATTAATTTATTTGTTTGTTTATATATATATTTATTTATTGAGATGGAGTCTCACTCCGTCTCCCAGGCTGGAGTGCAGTGGTGCAATCTCGACTCACTGCAATCTCCGCCTCCTGGGTTCAAGCAATTCTCCTGTCTCAGCCTCCCAAGCAGCTGGGATTACAGGCGCATGCCACCATGCCCGGCTAATTTTTGTATTTTTTTTTTTTAGAAGAGACAGGGTTTCACCATGTTGGCCAGGCTGGTCTCGAACTCCTGACCTTAGGTGATCAGCCCACCTTGGCCTCCCAAAGTGCTGGGATTACAGGCTTGAGCCACCATGCCCGGCCCAAACTAATTTTTTTTAAAACACACACATGTACCCCTAGATTTGCTGAATTTTACAGTCCCCACCAATGTGAAAAATGAAAAGCATCAGACAATCATTTGGAGTGAGAAGAGATATGAACAAGAGTGTGGGGGGAAAAGAAGAGTTTATGTCTACAGCCATTAAGGAGTGTTTTCATTCTTTTGCTACAAAAGCAGGCACTACAGAGTTCAAGGGTAAGACAGAAGGGAAAGCACCTGTCAACAGGTAATACTCAGGTTACATAATTTCTGCCCTCTGTAAAACAGCCAAAAAACCCCCCAAAAAACAAAAAACAAAAACTCTCAAGTAAAGTTCTAATACTCAGGGTTACTTCTGACAAGTATACAATTACTCCAAAGCTCAATGCTTTTCCATTTCTATAAGAAATCAGAGGAAACCTTATATTGCCTTAGACCAATGGTTCATCCAATCCAGTGGTGCCCCTGATACAAGCATCAACAGGAACATTTTATCAGAGAGGTATAGGCCTCAGTAACATCATCATATTTCCCTGTAATCTCCATTCCACTCTAGTGTTTTGCAGTCTTATGCTTAAAGCGTATTTTTCATGTTATGAAATAGCACTTGCTGTTTATAAAATTCATTTGAAAATTAACCACCTAAGGCTGAAGGACACCTCCATTACTACCCTAAATGTACTACTTTTAGTATGTTTACAGGTTTATCTTGCCTAGTTAGGTCATGAGATATGGCTTTATTGGTTACTGTGCTTCCAATTCTAAACATCCTTAAGTCTCCCCATTCTAAAAATACTTTCTTCAATCTTGTTCCTACTCCCAAATTATAGTCCATGTCTTTTCCTTATAGCCAAACTTCTTAACTGAACATTCTTTATTTTACTTACTCAACTTCAAATTACTTCTTAAAGCACTGTGATCTTTCAGTTTCAACACCACCCCGCCACCTTTTTTTTTTTTTTTTTTTTTTTGAGATAGATCCACTCTGTAAACTCAGGCTGGTGTGCAACGGCATGATCACAGCTCACTGCGAGCTTGACCTCTTGGGTTCATGCATCCTCCTGCCCTCAGCCTCCGAGGTAGCTAGGACCACAGGTGTGTGCCACCATGCCCAGCTAATTTTTTTGATTTATAGAGACAGAATCTTGCTATGTTGCCCAGGCTGCTCTTGAACACCTAGCCTCAAGCAATCCTCCTGCCTCAGCCTCCCAAAGTACTGGAATTACAGGCATGAGTTACCACGCCTGGACAGTTTTAACACTTCTTAAAAACAAAAACTCAGCAGTGATTAAGGAATCACCAATCCAAAACCCAACGATGCTAGCTTCCTAAACTTGTTAATTGTTTCTCTTTCTTAAAATTCTTTTTCTCCCTTGGCTCTTATTTATTTATTTTACTTTTTTTTCAGACAGGGTCACACTCATTGTCCAGGCTGGAGTGGAGTGGCACAATTACCACTCACTGCAGCCTTGACCTCCTGAGTGCACGTGATCCTCTCACCTCAGCCTCCAGAGAAGCTGGGACTACAGGCATGCACCACCATACTGTGCTAATTTTTGTACTTTTTAGTAGAGATGTGGTTTCGCCATGTTGCCCTTGGGTCTTAGAGCATGGACTTAACTGTTTCCAGGATTCCATCCTTCTTTTCCATCTATATTTTCTGTCATATTTCCAAGTTTAAAAATTATTGCCCATATGTTGACAACCTTCTAAATCTGGATCGCTAGTCCTAATCTCTTCCTAAGCCCCAGATTCATATTTCTAACTACTTATAAGCCATTTTTATCTGGATATTCATGCAGGCATTTCAAAAATCAACACATCTAAGCTGCAGATGCCTCTCCCAATACCACATCATCACTAACTCCACCTCCCCAAACAGCTGTACCTTGCTAGAGAAAAAGGTCCTTGTTTAAAACTTTTTTTTAAGAAAAAAAATTTTGACCGGGTGCAGGGGCTCATGCCTGTAATCCCAGCACTTTGGGAGGCCGAGGCAGGGGGATCACCTGAGGTCAGGAGTTTGAGATCAGCCTGGCCAATATGGTAAAACCCCATCTCTACTAAAAATACAAAAATTAGCTGGGTGTGGTGGGGCGTGCCGGTAATCCCAGCTACTTGGGAGGCTGAGCAGGAGAATCGCTTGAACCAGGAGGCGGAGGTTGCAGTGAGCCAAGATCATGCTATTGCACCACAGCCTGGGTGACAGAGCAAGACTCCGTCTCAAAAAAAAAAATTTTTAAGTCTTAAACTCTTGTTCACCAAAAATTATAACAAAATCATTCAATAATTTATGACTTTTAATAATTTAACCAATGGCTCAAATTATAAATTATAATTACACAACAGTAAATAAAAAGAAATGAAGATGAGGCAACTTGAGCCAGTAGAATTATAATCAGATTTTTTTTTTTTTTCTGAGACAGATTCTCATTCTGTCGCCCAGGCTGGAATGCAGTGGCATGAGCTCAGCTCACTGCAACCACTGCCTCCCGGGTTTAAGCGAATCTCATCCCTCAGCCACCCAAGTAGCTGGGATTACAGGCTTTTGCCACCCCACCTGGCTAATTTTTGTATTTTTAATAGAGACGGGGTTCCACCATGTTGGCCAGGCTGGTCTCAAACTCCTGGCCTCAAGTGATCTGCTCGCCTCAGCCTCCCAAAGTGCTAGGATTACAGGTGTAAGCAACTGCGCCTAGCCTATAATTAGGTTTTTTAGAAAATCTATTTATATACAATGTAACCTCAATTGACCTACTGATCAATTGAGTAATCAATTAGTAAATAATACTATTTACTAATTTTACCAAATTTTTTCCAGGTCCTTGAAAGCCGTTAAAAAATGCATTGTCTTTATATATAATTCATGTATAATGTGAGTTGTTATACACTTCTCAGTGTTATATTATTAGGAAAGAGAAACTTTTGCATTATCATGAATCTTTCTAACCAATCATCTTTTTAAACAACTCTCCTAAATTATATCATAACTTACTTCTCTCACTGTATGTCCCACGTATCTTGATAGAGGTCAAGTTGTTTAGGAGCTTCTGAAATTCAAAAGGGGTAAGAGCAGGCCTCCAAGGGTAATCTGTTGCTTCATGGAGCCTGGAGAGAAAGAAAGGGCCACATTAACCTCTGTAAGGACAATTCTGGATGTTGGGGAAATATTTCTTATTCATTTATGCCCCAACAATGCAATGCTCTAACAATCAAATCAAATAAAAAATAAGACTATTGGTTTGGTAGTACAATTGGAAAAGATAAAGGTAAAGAAAGGAAGGCTCCCTTTTACAAAATCACCACAATAACCCAGAAGTTTTTCTTTAAAATACATCTAGAGGCCAGTTAAACTTAAATAAAGACACCACTTTCACAATGTTCGTCAAGTCTCACTTTACAAAGAAGGCTATCTTACCTGAAGACATACTTCACAGTGGTCTCACTTGGATAGGAATTGCCCTGAGCGATCAAGGGTACAGATACTCTTAAGCCAGCTCCCTCAAGCACAAGGTCTTCTGCAGAGAGGCGAGTATCTCGCCTGTCCACTCGAAAGGAGAAGGAGAGGTTCTGACCATAACTCAACACCTGCTTGCCCAAGAACTTTGCTGGAATACAGACACAATGGTGGGCAAGAATGTGAGACTGAGACTAAACAGAGGCACACAGCAGGTCAGACTGCTTTCTAGCCTTACTTACCAGGAGCAATGAAGTACCGAGGAAAGTAGCTGTCTGAGATCACGGCGATATCTTGCCTCTCAGAGGACCACTCGAGAGATGCTTCAGAGCCATCTCTCTGTTCCGCACGCCACCCATCCTCATCTGCAGGTAGAGAAGGAAAACACAAGCACTTTACACTGTAAACATCCTGAATTCAGGTCCTCTATGTATCATAAAAATGTGTAAGACCACACCTTGTATACAGAAAGGCATCAATAAACCTTTTTGAATAAATGGATCCTACAACAGTACCAATATATGCTATACCACTCAAACTATATTTTACTTTATTACTATTTATATAACATTTGTAATCACCATTCATTGAGATAAATTCTAAAGCCAAAAGTACATTTTCATTAAATTAAAAGGCCAAACTACAAAAACTATGCATGCTAAATAATACAAAGTGTTGCCAACCATCAAAAAGCCCTCAAAGAGTCACTGATTTTATTTTTAAAAATATTTTAAGTGTAATCTCACAGTTCTAACAGGTTGGGGGATGAGGTCTAAATTACCAATCTGAAAGGTAGAGGAGATAGAATAAACACTGTAGCCAACAGCGTTTGTACAGACAGAAGAATGCCCAAAGCAGAAGCAGGGTGTGCAACCCCGAGGATTAGATGATTCCAGATTAAAAAATCCAGGTTTGCATCTGAAAAAGATTAAGACACAATCAGTTACTTTTTTTTTACTTGAAATATGGTAACAGAAAACACAATGCAGCTAGAGAAAGAATGCACTACCTTTCACAATTGAAGCCTTCGACATTGTCTTTGCAAACACATCTTCCTGTTTCAATATTACATTCATCTATGCTGCCAGAGGGATCACAAGAGCATGGCCTATTCAATGAAAAATGGATAAAACAATCAGAGAAGGGAGAAAACTTCCACTCTTCAAGTCAGCCCTTTGTTTTACATGTTAACAGATTTTTTTTTTTTTGAGACAGAGTCTCACACTGTCGCCCAGGATGGAGTGCAGTGGCGCCATCTCAGCTCACTGCAACCTCCGCCTCCAGGGTTCAAGAGATTCTCCTGCCTCAGCCTCCTGAGTAGCTGGGACTACAGGCGCACGCCACCACACCCAGCTAATTTTTGTATTTTTAGTAGAGACAGGGTTTCAAAATGTTGGCCAGGATGGTCTTGATCTCTTGACCTTGTGATCCGCCTGCCTCGGCTTCCCAAAGTGCTGGGATTACAGGCGTGAGCCACAGGCGCCCAGCCAACAGACTTTTTTAAAAGAAATACACATAGAACAAAATGGACCCTAAAGTCATTTTTTTTTTTTTTGAGACAGAGTCTCGCTCTGTCACCCACGCTGGAGTGCAGTGGCGCGATCTCGGCTCACTGCAAGCTCCACCTCCCAGGTTCACGCCATTCTCCTGCCTCAGCCTCCCGAGTAGCTGGGACTACTGCTGCCCGCCACCACGCCTGGCTAATTTTTTTTGTATTTTTAGTATAGACGGGGTTTCACCATGGTCTTGATCTCCTGACCTCGTGATCCAGCCACCTTGGCCTCCCAAAGTGTTGGGATTACAGGTGTGAGCCTAAAGTCATTTTTATATTTGGTTTCAGTTTAAGATAGTCATCCCATTAAAACTCTGCTTACTCTCTGTACAAGCCAAACCCCTTGTGGCTCACCATTACAGCTAGTCCTCAGTCTTGTTGACAATTATTACAGGAAAAATGTTTACCCTGCTGCCAATAAGCCATAAGATCTATTAATATGTGTTGACTATATATAGATTCTGCCCCCTTCTTCTGGCTTTGAAAATATTTTACCTGCATCCTGCTTCAGTGAGAGAATGGAATCCAGGCTGGCAACGGTCACATTTGTCCCCCATCACTCCTGGCTTACAGCTGCATCTGCCGTAACTATCACACTGTGTGCTTAGAGAGCCTAAAATGTAAAATGCCTATTGTCAAACAAAAATTCGGCCAGATACGTAAGTAAAATCAATGTGTTAAAGAAAGATAACTGGTAATTAAAAGCAATGCCTGAGAACCAGTATGCAATCTCCTGATGGTCACAAAGGTAATAAAAACCAAATTTTAAATCAGAACTTTCTCAAAATCATGACCCTTTAAGTCATGGCATTTTAAGTTTCTAGACACATGCTAAGATGAATTTACTCATCAATGTTGAAAATCACTTTGTACCCAATGAAACACTGCACACAAGATCAGTTACTTCTCTGTGGGTGATCACAGCCCCTTAAGGCCCATGTCTAGAATTTAAGTATATATAGGCCTAAATGACAAATATAAAGGTTAAACTCTTGAAGAATGGGCTAGACTAAGAATGCTGTGCATCTCTGTACACACGCAAACATGCTAAGAATATTTCAGCACTCTAAGGAGATTAGACTAAACAAAATCATCAACAAGGAAGAACTCACAAAGCAGTTAACCTTTTACAGTCAAAGTTCAAATTGTCTCTATGATCCTGCTGCTAATTATTTGCAGAACCATTACTCAGGCCACCACCCCCCTCTTACACACCAGAAACTCATCTGAAAGTTCAACTTGGTTAAAAAAGGTGGAGGCATGGGGTAGAGACAGATCTTGACTGATTTCTGTGTTACAATAATGTATACATCTCCACATTTAGTTGTCCAAATGCCTTGGAAACAAAGCTTTCCTTTCCGGGGGTCCACGGAACTATCATTTTGTCTTTCAATCCATCTTCCTGTCACTTACCCACAGGACTACAGTGGCATGAAGAGCAGGCTTCATTGTTGCCAAGGCGGAAGAAGTTCTCTCGGCACCTCTCACAGTGGGCGCCATCTGTGTTATCCTGGCAGTTGGTACAGTGGCCCCCATGGCCAGTGGAACGATAGAGTTCAGGGTCGAAGTAGCATTCCTGGGATCGACCATTGCAATCACAGGCTGTCAGTCAAAACACACGAGTTACATCAGATCTGGGTACCTTTAAGAAGAGCATTTTAAGACTTAAAACCAAACATAATTTCCCACATCTCTGAGACAGACAGATGGTGGTAGACTAAGAATGATTACCAGATGCACTGTTCATTAACAACAACAAGAAGGTCAGGTGCAGTGGCTCATGCCTATAATCCCAGCACTTTGGAAGGCTGAGGCAGGCAGATCACCTGAGGTCATGAGTTTGAGACCAGCCTGGCCAACACGGTGAAACCCCATCTCTACTAAAAATACAAAAAATTAGCCGGGTGTGGTAGCAGATGCCTGTAATCCCAGCCACTTGGTAGGCTGAGGCAAGAGAATCGCTTGAGCCTGAGAGGCGGAGGTTGCAGTGAGCTGAGATCACGCCACTGGGCACCAGCCTGGGCGACAAGAGCTAAAACTCTGTCTCAAAAACAAACAAACAAAAAACCACCACCAACAAAACCCAACAGGATGTCAATAAAGGGTATATACAGCCAGATGATAAAGAAATGTTCCTCCCTCTAAAAAACAGCACCATCGTAAGATACAAGGAATTCTCGTACTTAGAAAATAATCTGCCTCCAGGTAATTGTTCATATACAAGTAAAAGTCAAGTCAAATTATAATTCTCCTGAATCTTTAGCCTTTATTCTAGTATCAACTCCAAAAACAAAGTGCCATTTTATATGCAGGCTTCAATTTACCTTAACTTTTTAGGCCTCAGATGAGTCAAATACATTAAGACACTAACTTCCAAAGTGCCAGATTATTTATATATCTAGACTGGGGTAACTTGAGACATATGGGTCAAAATTAGTGCCACGACAGATGAAAGCAGAATTAAAAAGAAATCTAGATCCTCCAGAAACATCCATGTACAGGGAAGCCTCAACTCCAAATGGGTGATCTGTTAAGTAGCTATATTCCCTGCAGGGCACAACCATATTTCAAGACCAAGTATCTGTAGTCACAAAAATTCCTTACTATATTTATAATAAAAAGATTTTTTTCTGAGTTATTGATTCTTCCCAAAATGTAGACAGTATCTTGAAGAGTAAATAAAAAGAAGTTTTATTTGGTTTCAAATCGAACAGGATGTTGTTTAAAAAAAATATTCGAATACATCTTTTTTGGAATATATTTTTCTTTTTTAATGCAGACTTCTTCTAACCAAAATCATGAACACATTTTGATTTGTTTGTTTTTTGGAGACAGGGTCTCACTCTGGAGTGCAGTGGTGTCACCATAACTCATTGCAGCCTCAAATTCCTGAGCTCACGTGATCCTCCTCCTGCCTTAGCCTCCCAAGTAGCTGGGACTACAGGTGTGTGCCACTATACTCAGCTAATTTTTAAAAAATTTTTTGCAGAGACAAGGTCTTGCTCTGTTGCTCAGACTGGTCTCAAACTCCCAGGCTCAAGTGATCCTTCTGCCTCATCCTGCCACGTAGCTGGGAGTACAGGCACATGCCACCATGCCTTGCTAATTATTTTATTTTTTATTTTTGCAGAGACAGGGTTTCACTATATTGCCCAGGTTGGTCCCAAATGAGTCTCCCACCTTGGCCTCCCAAGTGCTGGGACTGCAAGTGTGAGCCACCATACTCAGCCCCTTTTGTTCTTTTTCTCTCTTTCTTATGATCAGTTATTTCATAGTACAGTATTACAACTGAAAACTTTTTTAGAAACTTGAGTTATTGCCACCAAAAATTAGAGTTTTGTTAAGTTAGTTTTAAAGTGCCCTTTTCCTTCCTTCATTAGCTATTTCTCTTCCCTCAAGACGCCCTAGCTTATCCCTCAATCCACCAAGCCCAACCCACCTGAAGATCTGATGTTCTGAGACGGTAAAGCAGAATAACACCACTGTCCACACTGTCCCAACCTACAGCTAAAGCAAATGCCATGGCTCCCTCCTTGAGAGAAGGTAGTTCTCTTCCCTAGCCCTAGCATCCTGACAATTAATGTAGTATTGTCACAACATCCAGAAATGTCACTCTTTGAAGTGTCACAGTGCTGAAGGGACCAACGAGAAAAGCAAATTGACTTAGTTCCTCATCAAAGTCCTTTAGCTACAGTACTCAGTTCATTTGCTAGAGGTGAATTGGCAATGTTTGGTTCTTTAAGTAACTTCCTGGATAGACTCAAAATACGACATTATTAAGCAGAATGCTTTTCAAGCACACATGTCCATTTATTTAGATGCCACATATTAGGAGTATTTCATTCTTGTACCAGCCTTTATTGTAGAGCTTCCAACACTGAATATTACAGTTCAGTAATGGAATTAAAGAAGGTCAAGCAAGTGCTTACAAATGTTAGAGGAGGCTGTAAATTTTACTTGCAAATCTTAGGATTTGTTGAAAAGATGAATAAGAAAATCTCCTCTCGGCAGTTCAGTGGAAACAGTAGTGAGTTAAGATAGTGGTCCCTTCTCGGGGTTTCTGCCAATAATTTTTTTGTTTGTTTTTGTTTTTTGAGACGGAGTCTCACTCTGTTGCCCAGGCTGGAGTGCAGTGGCGCAATCTTGACTCACTGCAACCTCCGCCTCCCAGGTTCAAGCAATTCTCCTGCCTCAGCTTCCCAAGTGAGTAGCTGTGATTACAGGCGTGCACCACCACACCTGGCTAATTTTTCTATTTTTAGTAGAGACGGGGTTTCACCATGTTGGCCAGGCTGGTCTCGAACTCCTGACCTCAGGTGATCCAACCCCATAGGCCTCCCAAATGCTGAGATTACAGGCGTTAGCCACCGTTCCCAGCCTCTGCCAATAATTTCTGCAAGTTAAGAGTATCTTCTTTTTCTCTTTATTCTTAACAGAATATGATAAACAATATTTGTAAGGACATAAGAAAAGTATTTCTGCTTTAAAATCATGATTAAAAGGTTCCTTTCTCCTGAGATTTCTTTCTCTATCTGTTCAGAATAAACCATGACATTATGAAGGGATAAACAATGTTTCAAGTTTTTTCATTTTACTTTTTTTTCATTTTTACCTTTTTCTAGGAATACTAGGACCTATTCTTCTTCCCAAAGCTACCCACCTCTCCAACAGGGGAGTGGGAAAATTCTCCCCGTTGTACTCTTCAGTGAGATAAAGAAAAAATAGTTTTGAGAAAAAATCTTGTGCGGCCAGGCGCAGTGGCTCCCACCTGTAATCCCAGCACTTTAGGAGGCCAAGGCAGGTGGATCACCTGAGGTCAGGAGTTCGAGACCAGCCTGGCCAACATGGTGAAACCCCGTCTCTACTAAAAACACAAAAGTTAGCTGGGCATGGTGGCATGCACCTGTAATCCCAGCTACTCAGGAGGCTGAGGCAAGACAATCACTTGAACCCAGGAGGTGGAAGTTGCAGTGAGTTGAGATCACTCACTCCAGCCTAGCTGACAGAGTGAGACTCAGTCTCAAAAAAAAAAAAAGAAAAGAAAAAAGAAATAATCTTGGAATGGCCCTCTTAGCCTAGAACTCATTATATTTGATACATGTTAATTACCTTGGATGCCTGAGCATTGATAAAAATAATAGTATTTTAAAGGGGAACAAATACGACTAGAGAAACCATATTCCGGAGTAGACTACACTGGCCCAGTATTTGGATCCAAACAAATTTCTAAACCTTGCAGATGCTGCTCCAACTCTGGGACATGTGTTCATGAAGGAAACACAAAACCCTCAGTTTGCCTTTACAGTGAATTGCCCTCATCTATGACTTTCCTCTGACTTGAATACTACTCAAATTACACAAAAAGCTGGCCTTTCAGAGCTTTCCTTTCAAGGAGGAATAAAAGAAAGTCACCCATTCCTTCTTCCACCCTTGGAAGTCCTTAAGACAACTGACAGACTGACGTCATGGGGCACTCACGCAGGCATTCACTGGCACTTTCCGCAGTTGCCCTCCTCCACGGCCGGTCATTGAAGAAAGGAAGACACTTTTCACAGTCTACTCCATATGTGTTATGTTTGCAATTACACACCAGCTTATCAAATTCGTTCTTCATACACTCGCTTGCGTGTCCATTACATTTACATCTGGGGAGAGAAGAGATACTCCAAAAAATGGAACAGCTGCAAAGTCCCAGAAATGCACACAGAAAAACTATGTACACAAAGAAGTAAGTTTTACCATTCAAAAGTGTAAACTGGGGAACTGAGCAAGATTAAGTAATGGATGTCTGAATTTTTAAGGATAAAAAAAATTAAACAAGGTAGCTTTACTTAACAGGGGTAGGGATTAACCAGGTATGAAAAGAAAGTCCCTAACAATTTCTGAGGCTACCTGTAGGATCAATTCCTGAAGTCAAACCTGTGTGTCAAGAGGTAGCAGAATATAGTGGTTCAGAAAAGCATGGACTCTGAAGCCAGGCTGCCTGGGTTTGAAACCCTTCCCTGTCACTTACCAGTGTAACTTAACCTCTGTGCCTCGCCTGTAAAACAGGGATGATGACAATGCCTATTTCATAAGGTTATTGGGAAGATCAAGGAGTGCTTTATTTATGTGCTCAGGATTGCAAAACCACAAAATAAGTTGATGAACATCAGCAATTATCTGCCATAATGATTTTAAAGTATTCCGACCTAAAGGTGGTGAGACACATTAGATACCTCACCCCCATATGGATGTTTGGTAGTCAGACTAATATCCCCTGAGGTTGTCTGGAGCAAGAATCCCTGAAAGATCCCCTAGATGCAAGTATGATAACAAATTAAGGACTCATGGAAATTCCCATCAATACTAATGTACACCATGGAGTCGTAATGTTCCCCTCACTTGCTTCCTTAATGACAGCAATCAGTCTCATAGCTTCAACTACCATTCACTGATACACTAAAATACTTCAGAATCATTGATAGTGTGGCAGGACAAGTCCCAAATTTAGATCTCCAGCTCTCATCTTCTCTCAAGCTCTTATCCTTGACTGCTGCACAAACTTTGATGTCCCCCATGACCTGAAATTTTACATATGTATAACCAAACTCTTCAGTTTAGCTCATCTTCTTTATTTTGTTAATGGTACCAACCATTCTCCTGATCACTAAATAAAAGGACCTTTGACTGAAGTCCTGGTAACATTTCCTTCACAATAAAATGCATCTATATGTTCCTTTCCATTCTGCTGCCACCAGCTTAATGTCATGTATTTGTTGCCTAATCCAGCATCATAACAGGAATATAAATTCCCTCAATTGTATACTATTTTTACCCTGTTTGCACATTAATCCTCCTGGCCCACTGTTTTCTTACCAGAGTCCTACTCCAAAAATTCTGCCTGATTTCTCATTGGGTACAGTTCCCATCAACTTTCACTAAGCACCAATCCCATACCGGAAACAATGTAAACAAAAATAAGTTTTCTGCTTTTGGGATCTCATGGTCTAACACAGGGGAGGTAAGTCCAAGATTCTTCACCTGCTGTTTAAGGTCTCTGGCCACGAAACTATCTTTCTGGTTTACAACTCTACAAATTTAAGAGATTTTCCTTCAGTTAAATGGGTTTATACTCTCCCGTCTCTAAACTTCTGCTTACAACATGTCCATCCTCTTGCATCCAACCAAGGCATCCTCTCCTTCCTTATCCAAAGCTTTCAAGACCCAGCTTAGATGCCATCTGCTTCTCTAGCCTGGCAGTTTTGGATCATTCTTGATATGTGGCATCTTTTCTACTGCTGCTTTATCTATTTTTTAAAAACAGGTGATTACAAGTATTTCAGTTTTCACATATTCATACATTGCCTACCCTGTTCATGTGTAAGATCCAAGAAGGTCAGGACTTCTCCGTAGGATAAGGTGAGTCTTACCCTTCCTCAAGTGCTTCACAGTGCCCTTGCACTTAAATTGTCAATAAGAATTCACTAAATGTGTGGATTTGACAAGGTTTTGGAAAACCTACATGCTTAGTTTCCAGAACAACAAGAAGATCTCACAGTGAAAATATCCTAGGCTGCTGTCTGTCTTTTCAGCTAAGCATTATCACACAGGAAGGACTGCCGCTCCTATTCTTGGTAAAGAAAACATCTAACAACGGTATTAACATAGTTGTAAACAAGTTGCTAGATTCACCTCTATGCAAAAGCTCCAAACACTTTCAAGACTAATTTAATAGTTTACTTACCTGCCACCTACAGCAAAATCAGAGATGGCATAATAATAGGACTTGAGAACTTTGGGATCGTTAAACACTTCATCTCCAAAAGTGTTCAGGCGATTAAGAGTTACTCTGATGTCAGTGGCAGTTACCCATTCCTGTCAGGAAGCAAAAATAGAAACATAAAAGAGAAGTGGAGGGACTGAAAATGATATAAATGTGACAAAATGTTCTAAATCACTAACTTATTATCATTTAACTTACGCCCTCTTTAGCACTAAATCTATTATAATACTCAATGACTTCTTTAATTTTCTAATATTTTTCTCCTTCTTGACTCTTCCCTTCTTTAATTTGTTACTTTACTACTCGGAGTCTCCAAAAACAAGGATAATAACTAATTTCTTTGCAAGGCTGCTGAGAGGCTTAAATAAAATATAATGTGCAGCATAAATTAGGGACTCGATACACATGCCCCTTCCCTCCATCCTGTATCTGGACCCCAAATCCAGTAAGGGATACCAGCTTAGAGCTCATGGGGCACCACATTTGGATCAGAGATGCTGGTCATTGCCTGCCCCTGTCCTTTTTTTTCTTTTTTTTTGAGATGGAGTCTCGTTCTGTCGCCCTGGCTGGAGTGCAGTGGCGTGATCTCAGCTCACTGCAAGCTCCACCTCTTGGGTTCACGCCATTCTCCTGCCTCAGCCTCCCGAGTAGCTGGGACTACAGGCGCCCGCCACCACGCCCAGCTAATTTTTTGTATTTTTAGTAGAGACAGGGTTTCACCGTGTTAGCCAGGATGGTCTCGATCTCCTGACCTCGTGATACACCCGCCTCGGCCTCCCAAAGTGCTGGGATTACAGGCGTGAGCCACCACGCCTGGCCACCCCTGCCCATTTTATAGCATCTATTCCTCCCTGCCAACCCAATCCCCTACTGACAGATCTGAGGGAGATGCTCAAGTACTCGCTAATAAATCATTACTTAGGCTTGAACCAATAGGATGTTGTCTGTGTTTGTCTTGACCCTCCCCACAATATCACCTTCTCTCTGAGGCCTTCCCTGGCCACCTTATCTAACATTGCTACCCCTACCCAACTCCCTATTTCCCACTCTCATTTTATTTACATTGTCTTTTTCCACACACACCTTCCCCTTCCCACCACACTGTAAGTACCACGAGGGCAGGAAATTTCTATTTTGTCCACTGCCATTTCCCTAGCATGCAGTAGGTATGCGAACTATTATTTGCTAAGTGAATGAATGAATTTGAAGAAACCATAACTTATCAAGTTGGTAGGTGTACCATAATGGCAGAGGACAAGCATGGGGGCTGTAGAGTTTTTCCCTAGGTTTTATGAGATCTAAGCCCTTACACTGAGCTAATTTTAGGCAGATGTTTACATGTGTGGTAGAATGCTATACTAATGATCCCAGTGAATCATGTCTGCTAGGGCCCACAACCAGTGCAGTCTCTTTCTCTGCTGACTCTAGGCTTGGGTGTGTGACTGGTTTCAGCCGAGGGTACATCAACAAATGTGACATAAGCAGAGGCTTGACAAGTACTTGTGCACAGGGACTCACCCTCCCAGATCACTTCCGCTGTGGTGTAAATCCTGGTCAAGCTTCCTGATGATAAAAGACCACAGGGAGACAGAGACCCAGGCCCCAGCTGACCTGTCAGGTGAGTGACCCAGGCTAACACAGAATCATGAGAAATCATAAATCACAGTTATCTAAAACCATTAGGTTTTGGGGTGGTGTATTACATATAACCACTCAAAGACAGCATTTCCATTTTAAGTCTTTCCTAGGGACTGCACAACAAAATCACCTTTGGAGACGTAACAAGCAAGTGCAGAGGTGCAGACATCTATGTTTTCAGAAGGCTCCAGGTGAGTCTGGGAGGCACAGCTCTGATTTGGAACCACTGCCTTAAGCCACACCAAATACCTGGCATATAGAACAACATGGAGAGCTCATAAAAGCTAATCTCCACAAAGCCTTCAAGTATAATTAGAAAGGAAAAGAGACGACGATTTCACCATATCCAAACTTGGAACTCCAATAACAACTCCTACTCATGGCCACAACAGTAGGAATCTTTTAGTCATCTGTAATGTAAATAGCTAAACATATTTCTGTGTTTAATGCTTATTATATCTTCTACAAGGCTTCGACCTTATCACAGCTCTCTTTGAATAAGAGCTTCTCAAAAAGCTAAGCCATTTTTTTTTCCTAATGGGCATCTTTAAAGAACAGACCCCGGAGCTAGACCCTGCAGGTTTTGAATTCCAGTTCTGCCACTTAAACTGTGTGATTTGGGGCAAGTTATGTCCTTTCTGGGCCTCTGATTCCTCATCTGTAAAATGGAGACAATAAAAGTATCTACCTTACAGGGTTACTGTGAGGGTTAACTGAGGTAGAAAATCAAAGGGCTTAGAACAGTGCTTGTCACATTATAGTATGCTATAGTAAGTGCTTTAATAAATGTAAATTATTACCATAAATCAACACATGCTTAGTAATACTTATAATATGGTGAAACCAAAAAGGGTCTCCTTCCCCATCTGGGAGATTACAGCTTCTGCAGGGAGGTTTAGGGAGCAATGAAGAGAGGAAGAGAGGCAAGAGTTCTCTCTCATTGTCAGATCAGCTAAAAGTCAAATTAGCTCAACCTCCTTGGCAACTGGGTATCAGAGACAGAGCTCTTACATCCAGAGACACGTAACTCATGTTACTGCATAATGAAACTGACTGACCACGTCTATGCAGATGCCCACAGCATTTTTTTTTTTAAATGCAAGGTCATAACCCATAGCATTTTTACCACACAGTCTCATTACCTCATATAGTCTCACTAGTTTCTACGGCATAAAGAGCAACAAACATCACAATTCTTACAGTTGGGGAAATGGCTCAAGACAGGCTGACTGGGTGTACAGTTAGCAAAGGTGCCAGAAAACCACAGTTACAACTTTGTATCACTGCATTTTCTACTGACTACACTGTTCTTTCTCTGTTCTTTCTATTGTTGCCTCATCAGGACAGGAAAATGCAATAATTTGCTGTAGGAAAGAAAGAAGTCTGGCAAATGTTTGCTAGCTGATCAACTTAAAGAGTATTTGTAGGTCACCTCTCCACTGGGCATTCGGTCTTCTGCTTTTTCTTTTCTTTTCTTTCTTTCTTTTTTTTTTTTTTTTTTTTTTGAGATGGAGTCTCACTCTGTTGCCCAGGCTGGAGTGCAGTGGCATGATCTTTGCTCACTGCAACCTCCACCTCCCGGGTTCAAGTGATTCTCCCGCCTCAGCCTCCCAGCCAGGGTAGCTGGGATTACAGGCACCTGCCACCATGCTTAACTAACTTTTTTTTTTTTTTTGTATTTTTAGTAGAGACAGGGTTTCACCATGTTGGCCAGGTGGGTTTTGAATGCCTGACCTCAAGTGATCCACCTGCCTCCGCCTCCCAAAGTGCTGGTATTACAGCCATGAGCCACTGCGCCTGGCCCTGCTTTTTCATCTATCAAAATCAGCTATTCTCTCGGCCATTTATTTTGAACACAACTTATCTCCATTGCAAGAAACACTTTTTTGCAAGGTGTTGGCAAGCACACTCATTGCTCACCATAACCTCAGAGTTTACCAACAGCTTTCACATTCATGCTTTCCCAGCAACTTACAGAAATACAATGGAAGGGGGGCAACTGAACCCACAGAAAAATATATTCTTATCTTTTGTCACTGTCCAAAACCATACAATTAGAAAGAGAGTCCCTGAACATAATAACGGTGAGAAAGAATAAGAAGATCCAAATTAGAAACCCTAGAAAAATGGGGTATTTCCTATTTAGAAATCACAATAGCTTTTCATATAATGTACACAGCATTTGAAAACCCATTATCAGACTTTCTTGTTTCAGTCAACTGACAAAGGCTATCCCCATGTGGTTGTTGACTTCAGCCACATGCAGCAGCATCTCCAATTCTGTGTTAAAGTGCTGAGTACAGCATGAGGCTCACCAGCTTTTCCATAATCAAATAGCCAGGACATATGAAAAGTTCACAGAAATATGAGCAACATAGAAGAATTCCGTATTATGGTGTATAAGGAATATGCATGTAGAATTCAGGAGAAAAAAGAAATCCTTCTCAAACAGGGAAAGGTTTCTATCACAATGTTTAAGTACAGTGCTATGGGTACCTAAATTAATATCCTGTTACTAACATCCATATCCTGTTACTAACATCATCCATTTTAGGTGATGAGGAGTTTCTTTAATGATCAGCAATCGTGCCAGACAAATCTAATCAAAATTTTCTTGTGTAAAAATGAAAGAAGATGGCATTCTTAAATATCTTGCTTCAACGGTTCCCCTTTGCTAATTTTAAAAAATACATTTTATTTTGTCAAATCAAAAAATAGGCAAGAAAAGATCCAAGAAATCTGGGTAATTAGGTCAAATGTTCTCTTCAAAAGGTCAGAAGGAAAATGTTTCCACCTCAGGTACAGAGACTAACGTTAAAATTGTTTGACTTTTTAAAAAATGTGTAAAGTTTACATCCCAGAATAGATCTGCAAGTGCATAAGAACAAACATCAACCAGGCAGCAGGAACAAAACTACTTTCCTTCACTTATTAATAGTACACAGAGAGCAGAATCAAGCTCTCTGTCTGTGTTGCTCAAGTATTCTACTCTGACCCCGTACCTCAGAAGTGGGACCACAAGCCCCACTACAATAATCTTCCCACACCTCGCATGTTGTAGAACTAGCTGGCTTCAGGCCAACCTGTGAGAATTTACCTGCAGCACAGGGCTATTGTCAAAGTTATAGGCGCTGGGCCTTCCTTCCAGGGTAGAAAAGGCCACGTTGCCCCCAGTGAGGGGAGAAATGTCACTGAATTCATCAGTACACAAGGCCTGCTGCTCGTCCCCTCCTGTCCTGATGAAGCCGCGGTTTGCCTTGGAGTAGGTGTTCTCACAGGAACCACTGTAGTACTGGTAAGGAATCCAGGGCCCGTCTTCCCGTGTGCGCTTGTAAATGGCAAAGCTCTCCGGGCGGCTGGTGTGGAACTTGAGACGCACATAGGTGATGTCAAAAGCTTTTCCTGTGGGACAAACACATCAAAGGTCATAAATCATACGTATGAAGCAAACAAATGCCCTCTATTCCCAGCTTAGTTTGGAACTTGACAAAGGATATAAATCTCCTTGTACACATCAAACCAAGAAGACAGGCTATTCTAAAACAGAAAACTACGTATTTTCCCCCAAAATGACAAACTGCAGTTGGGTCCATAAGTTGGCTCATAAAGGCCTGTCGTGATGTGCATTGTGGAAATGTTGTGTGCAATGAAAACTGGCGGCGTATGTTAGTACTGTACTTATACTATTAATTAAAACTAAAGTTGAATAAAAAGTACGTTTATTCTTAATGCTGGTACTTCAGCAAAAGCTTAATTAAAAGATACAAAAGCAAATATATGCTAACTTTCTAAATGGGTCTCCAGGCCCTTTAAGACTTTAAAAAAACCTCATTCTCTATTAACTGTAACGTTACTCTTGACGCAGAAAGAATATCATCAGCTCTATTCTTCTACTTATCTACCAAGTTAAGATACAGACATTTGAAGAAGGGAGGACAGTGTTTGAGAGATGTAGCAGGGAGTAGAATAAGAAAGAGGAAAAAAAATTCCTTCAGTGGATGAACAATGAAATGGGGGAAAAAAGACAAAGGGAGAAAGGAGGTTTAAAAAGGTTGTTTCAATATGTTCAAAAGAGAATATATGAGAAATGAGCTCTGAGCAGAGAGGAAAAGACAGCAGTCACTGGGGCAGACAGTTCCCTGCAAAAGCCAGAGTGTGGTCTTATGGTCAGGATGGCTTGGTTGCCAGCCAGTGTGTCTTCACATGGGTAAAATATAAAATCACCATTCATTCACACATTGGGTCTTGCTAACTCTAACAATATCTATACTTTGCTACTTCTATGTTATAGTGAAGATCCCAGTTTGGTCAACAAGAATTTGTTGGGCACAAATCTATGCTCAGCTCTATGCTATATACATCAGGGGACAGAATGTGTGAAGACACAGAGATCCCTGTATTCAAGGAGCTTACAGTTTTTTCTCCCTAAGCCAATTAATTCAAGAACCATCCCAACCCTCTCCTACAAAACCCACAGAACAGCAACTTCTGTGCTCTCAGAAGTGTTGAGGAGAGACTTCTGCCACTTTCACTTCCTCGTACCCACTAGTCCCTGAGAGACAAGGAGCGATTCCTCATGTGTGGCCTGGACCCCGCTTTGTCTCTCTCTGGCTGCCGGCTGGAGTCCCCCTCTCTCCTCTCCTGCACTCAGTGCAACACAGTGGGGCTCTGCCTCTGTGTGGGGTGGGGCCTGCCGCTGTCCTGCTGCTGGATCTGGGAGTAAGTGGGTGAGGTCAATTCAGGGAGGAAAAGAGCAGAAAGCCCATGCGAGCTATGTGTCCAGGCCACATTCTTCAACTGAGCGTTCTCTATAATAAAACTGACAGGATGAGCAATATCCGACTATTTCTCAACTGGCCCAGATCTTAGAGGAGGTTGGATTAACTGTCCCCCACATACATGAAACATACTTGCACACACATTAGCTTCAACATAAAGCCATGTGGCATAACAGAAAGAACACAGGATGGGGCATTTTGAGACCTGAGTTCAGGTCCTGACTCCCTCCTTTACTAACCATATGATTTCTGCTCTGCCATTTTCTCTTTGTAAAAATGAAGACAATCCCTGCCCCACCGACTTCAAGAGTTGTTGGAAGGTCAAACTAAGATCTACACATACTTGACTAATTGTAAAATTCTATACAAATATAAGGCATTACCACAATAGGGTTTATAAAGAAAATCCCTGAACTGGGATTCTGAATACGTTCACATAAAAGGACCTGACTGTTCCTGGTACAGTTACTAAAGGATACTATACAAACATGAATATTCTATCTAGGATGCAGTGCATTTTGCCTAGACACAAGTCACACAAATACAGTTTACACACTTTCTGTTAAAAGAATGCAAGTTTTACCTGTATCTCTTTGTTGCGTCAAAAATGTCAAGACATCACCTTTGAATGAGGGCGAGGTTATAGTACAGTATCTGTGGCATTCCAGAGACTCACTATCTAAGACATTACAGAATGGTTAAACAATGTAATTTTACTCATGAGTAGGTGGCCTCGACTGTTCAAAGGCTTGCTCACTAGTCTGTAGATTATAGATTATCCTTCTTTCTCTATTTTCTCTCTATCCTTCTGATATCTCATTGTTCTTTAGCAACCCAACGGCAGCAGACTGGGCCAAAGGAGAGAAGGTAAAATCAATCAAGGCATCCTGTGTTCCAATCAACATCTGTACTACAAAGCCACCCTCTGAAAGAACCAGGCATATGTCTCTTGCTGCAGCCACAGACACAGAGCCACAAGTAGCAAAATGTCCAGAAAGCAATTATGCTAGCATTAAACTCTGATGCAGTCTACTTGCAGGTGCTGGCCTGGCCTTGCTGGCACTGAGCTTCATTTGCAGGGCTACCTTTCTTATGCCAATCTACAGCCACAGCTGGAAATGAGGGAGCTCTGTGGCAGTCTGTATGGAGGCTCACACACCTCCATGACAAGAGAGTCACGTGCACCACCCTCAGAGTTGCAGTCAACCCAACGGCGCATACAGACAACTGCAATTTACAACTCATCATGAGATGACTCCATGACAGGGGAAGTACATCATGTTTGGAAAGCATGGAGAAGATCATCTAACCCAGATTTATGAGTTCAAGAAATGCTTCCTAGAGGAAGTGGCATCTAAATCCAAGACATGAGGAATGCTTAGAATGAGCTAAGCAAACAGGGACCCATCATCCAGGCACATGAAATGGCATGTATGAAAGCCCAGAGAACACAGAGGAGTGATCACCATAGGAATTAGAGTTGTCTAGGGTAGCTAGAACTACAGAAGTGGCTGGAGATGAGGCAAACAAGAAGCAGAGCACACCAGGCTACGGTCATGTTTAAGGAGCAACTTCAGCTTAAAGGCAATGGCCAGCCACTGAAGGCATTAAACCAGAAAATACATGATCAGGTTTGATTTTTTAGAAAGATCAGTGTGGAGATTAGGTTGGAAGGGACAGGAACGAAGATGGGGAGGTCAAGATGTGGCAGTAATCCAGGAGAGATGACAGAGGTTGAACTAAGAATGGGAACAGAGGAATGGAGAGAAATGAATGGACCTCAGTGAGGTGTAGGAAGCCGTTTTCAATAGTAACTTAGTAACTGATGTACTACAAAGGCGATAGGGAGCTGCTTTTGAAAGGCTCCTCAACTTGTCGCTGTTAGTACCCTGTTTCATTGTCAAAGCTGCTTTTTCCCATTCCATGAGGTGGAAGGATTAAGAATAACATTCAGTTTTCTAGTTTCAAATGAACCAAGTGGAGGGTAGTACTACTCACTGAAATAGAGAACAGAGAAGCGTGGGCAGGACTGGAGGCAGGCGCAGGGGCAGGATGGGAAGATGAATTCAGTTTCCGATACACTAGTTCTGGGATGCCTGCAGGTCAGTAGATGAGGAAATGTCTGTAGGGAGCTGGATGTGAGCAGTTTGACGGGCCAAGAGAGATGTCTGAGTTAGAGACAGAGACTTGGGACTCACTAGTATGCAGATGGACACTGGAGACTTGAGTACAGTTGAAGCATATGGAGCAAGTGTGTTCCGTGACAGCTGACTTCTGAGACCACCCTGAGGTGCACAAACATTCACAGCACACACAGAGGAAGATGACAGAGGAGGCTATGAGGGGGCAGCCAGAGGGAGGAAGGCAAGTAAAAGAATAAAAATGCCACAGAAGCCAAGGAAAGATGGTTTTGAGGAGGGAGGAATCAATGGGGTTCAAATCTGCTAGGAGAGTCAAGTAAGATAATGACTAAGAAGTATCCATCAGCTTCAAGCCACAGAGGTCACAGCTGCACCAAAAGCAGTGCCAGGGACAAGATGGCAGTGGTTGGAATTGAGAATGGGCCGGGCTCAGTAGCTAAGGCCTGTAATCCCAGTACTTTGGGAGGCCGAGGCAGGCAGATCACTTGAGGTCAGGAGTTCGAGACTAGCCTGGCCAACATGGTGAAACCCTGTCTCTCCTAAAAATTCAAAAAATTAGCCAGGCGTGGTGGTACGCGCCTGTAATCCCAGCTACTCAGGAGGATGAGGTGGGAGAATTGCTGGAACTCAGGAGGCGGAGGTTGCAGTGAGCCGAGATCGCGACATTGCACTCCAGCCTAGGCAACACAGCGAGACTCCCTTTCAAAAAAAAACAACAAAAACAAAGGAATTGAGAATAGACAGCAGGCAGACACAGTGAGTGTAGTTAATCTACCATGTAGTCTGCCTAAAGAAGAGGAGAAGGAGGGGAAGATGATATTTGGAAGGGTTACAGGGCCAAGGAAAGACTTTTCTTTTCTTTTTTGTTTTCTGATAGAGATGAACGTGTATTAAATGCTGTTGTATTTGAGTCAGCAGAGAGGGAAAGGTGAAAAATAGAAGCTGGAAAACAAGAATGGGATTCCATGTTTGTTGGGAGACTGGTTCTCTACAGAAGGAAACCTGCCTCTTTGCTCTCTGTCTGGGTGCATATGCAAAGTGACATTGTAGGTTTTAAGGGGCAGAAGTTAAAATTCGAGTTCTACTGATGACTTTTTTTCTGTGTAGTGAAAATCAAGGATACCTGCTCAAGACTGGCGGCAAAGACAGGGAGTAATGTTGGGTGGGGAATATTTGAACAGAGTGTAGAAACTTTATAATAGCCAATGTAAAGTCCAGCAAAGGTAGCTGACTAGAAAAAAGAAGGCTTACTGGGCAAAGACCAGGTGGCTGAGAGGAGAGCAGGAGGCCATGCCTTTGTACAAACATCTCTGTGGAGGTGTGATTTCTGCTGCAGCATTCAGCATCCCCTCTGCCAATGTAAAAGAAAGACAACAAGACAAGGGGAATAAAGTTGCTTCAAGGAATTTGGAATCCAGTCTGGATAAATAAGAAGGCAAATACAGAAAATGGAATAGAGGGGTCAAAGTGCGAGGTATGTGTGTTATCTGGAATTAACTACAACCAGAACTGGAACACTAAGGAGCTTTTTATTCTGTTAAATAGCTCTACCTGAGGGTTACCATGTCCTCTCTCTCACTATACTTCCCTACTCTGTCCATCCTACTCATTTCACAATTGACAAAGTAAGAAGATCCAGTTAACAGGTAGATGAATAGAAAACTGGACCAGGTCTTCTAATTTCCAGTCTGATGACACTACTAGATTATCAACATGCTGCGGGAGCAAGTGAAAGTAGACAGTATGGCTTTAAGGTAAAGTAGCCAAGCCAAATGATTAAGGAAAACAGTAAGTGCATTTCTGGATGTATTCCAGCAACTATTCAACCAGAACATCTTCCACTCCTCACCCCATGTTCACACACACGAAGACTAACCATGGATATACACACCACCAAAAAAATGTTTAGCTTCTGAGTGTTCTACTGCCCCTCTTCCTCCCCCTGCCATATCCCTTCCATAAACAAAAAACTCAAGGGCAGATGTTTAGAATGAAGCACACAAAATTAACCAATACTTCCTGCTCTAGATCCTACAGTTCATGCTGGTTGAGGGAATGAGAGGAGGGGAACAGGCCGCATCGACAATGAGAATCCAGCCTTTGTTCATGTGGGACCAAGCCAAGGAATTCTGCTTAAGCCTCCTACATGGTAAAGTATTTCTCATCTCTCTGAATAAGGGAGAAACTCTTCTTGTCTTAGAATTGGATTCAAGCACTGACTGCTGGGGAACATAAATGCTCCTCTGTTATGTGCTACTCAGAAAAATTCCATAAGGATCTTGTGAAACAACCTCCTTTAGAGTTTAGTAATGAATGACAATAGCCATATAGAATTTTACAAAATTGCAAAATGCCCTTCCACAGCTTGAATTAGAAAAAGAAAACTAGTTCATTCTAAAGTATCAAATTAGGAGTCACTGGTTCACTACTGGCTCTTATGTGTTAACTCTTTGGAAGTCAGAAAAGGAATGCTCTCCTTGAAGCCAGACTTGATTTTAGGCATATAAAACTTTAATAAAGTTGTAGCACAAAGTCAATTAGAGATGGGGTGTGTTTAGGCTACTAAATGGGATCTCCAAACAGTTAACACAAACAGTAGTCACAGAAAGCAACTATTTGAAAATGTTTTCAATTTTGTTAGCATAACTGCTGGCTGAAACAAGAGTTCCCAGGACAACATATCCAGCTGCAAACCAGCTGTTATTGTTCCACCTCAGCGGATGGATTGCACAAATAGAGCCTCACTGATTAAGACGACCCAAGGCCAACTTAATACTGACTGTGGGATCCTCAAGCAGACACAGGCAGATGATCGGAAGCACTACAGAACAACTAAGCACATAAGGAATATACCAAGATGGTCTGGTACAGTGCAGTCACTCCAGATGCTGAAAAACTCAGTCCTCATTATTGCCTGTTGAAGGGCTAGTTTCTATTGGCTAAAACTTATCTTCAAAATTGTTTGTTTTTAAAAACTTATTATCCTGTTCCTTTCCCCTAAATTTCTGTACTCCCTTTTCATGGCCTCCCCCTTGTCAATCGGTCAAATGCCAACAGTGCAAGAGGACAATCCCTTAGAAAGTATATTTAGATCAGCACAACTTAAAAATGCAGACAAATAACCTTTACAGTTTTGTATAAAATAGTAATTCCTAACTAAATTTATGACAACAAATGCAATGGAACTTACAATTTGAGAAAGTATCCCTTTCAAATGAATGAACAAAGGGCTTCAACAGTCATGTTTTCTGAGTACAGGCAATAAGCACTTCCTATCACACTTGGGCCATTGTTAATAACGGAAAGACACGCTAACTAAGATGAACAGAGATGGAATATGGAAAGTCTCAATTCTATGTTGCCACAGTGAAATATAACAAAGCAGGTAGGTAAAATAGAAGATATCATTTTAGAATTTTTTAAAGCTAACAGAATTCTGTATCAAAAGCTATTATAAAAATAATGGTATGATTATCACTATGGAGCTAAGAGGAAAACAAAAGTTCTGAAATAGACAGTATGATTTTGGAGAAGATAAATCCGTAATCTCTATGGAAATTAGATTTTTCGATGAAGTATCAAAATAAAGTTTAAGCCAAAAAGACAATTCTCTTTCCCTATCACCCTCAAAATACTACTTGGTGCTATGGTTAAATAAGATCACAGCACTAACCTAATGCAGAAGTTCTAAAAAATAAAAGCTTTCTGCTTGCATTGCCTAATTGCAATGCCCCAAAATGCCATATACACTTCAGTAAACTGGAGGGCCAAAATTGACTTATCATAGGAATTAAAATGTGATCATAAAACAGCCATTATATGCATACAGAGAGAATTCTTAACTGAACACTAGAATGTCAAACACCCTTGGAGAGTAATTTCAAATAAGTGCAAATCACTGTTAGAGGGTACAAACAATTTCCATTATCAAAACATACGATAAATTCATCCTAATCTGCACATCTTTGCCATTTTATTTGATATACTCACCAAAAAAGATTCCCAAGTGAAATTTTAAGCCAAGAACTGGGGAATATGCCTTATTAACCCAAACCCCATGCTTCCAAGACTCAATACCAGACCTAATTCATGGTGGTAGACTACAGGCATGAATAAGTCCTTGAGCTGGGCTAAAGGAACAAGGCCAATATTCACCCCCACTCGTGTAAGCTGAGGCAAAAAATCCACTCGCTCTGCTGAACAAAGATCCCACTACAGGGATTTGACTGACATGAGATTTAACGGAGTCACAAAGAAGGCAACTAAGTTAATTATAACACTAAAGAAATAAAAAGGCAATTAAATATAAGCTACATAAGCCCATATTTCAGAAATGTGTAATTGTTAAGATATGAAAAAGACACCATAATTGTGTGGGAAGCTATTTCTTGTTCTGTGATATTCATATACTATTGAAAGCTGGCTATAGTTTGGCTTTTATCTATAACAGAAGAGTGAAAAATAGTTTTTTTAAAAAGAGAAAATCTAATTAGAAAAACAAGATTCTAATACCTAGTCACGGTGGTATAGTAATAGACTAAGGTCAACTCCAATAATCCCACAAAGTCACAAAAAGTTGACCAATAGTTTACTTTTTCTATTCAACAACTATTTGCTAAGTGAACTTAAAAGTCCACTGTGATGTGCTATTTAAAATACTCTAATCCACCGGGCGCGGTGGCTCACACCTGTAGTCCCAGCACTTTGGGAGGCCAAGGCGGGAGATCACCTTAGTTTGGGAGTTGGAGACCAGCCTGATCAACATGGTGAAACCCCGTCTCTAGTAAAAATATAAAAATTAGCTGGGTGTGGTGGCAGGTGCCTGTAATCCTAGCTTCTCAGGAGGCTGAGGCAGGAGAATCACTTGAATCGGGAGGCAGAGGTTGCAGTGAGCTGAGATCGTGTTACTGTACTCCAGCTTGGGTGACAGAGCAAGGCTCCATCTCAAAAACGAAAAACAAAAAAACCCCTCCAATCCTTCATTTTGCTACAGTGCCTTTTATTCTTTAGTTTCATTCCTAATAAACTTGGTCCCTAATTCCCCTGATCATGTACTGTTTACATCTGTCCTTAAAAGAGGAAATAATTACAAATTACAAATACCATAAGATATCTTACATACTAAAATGGCTTTCTCAGTTTTCACAATTGCTTATTAATTTCTTACCACAGCCACCCATTAGGTCAAGGTTAACAGCTATGACTGGCCTTGATAATTGCTCAAGTCCAAATTCTTCCATTCATTCAACAAACATTTACTGAAAACCTACTATGTGTCAGTCCCTGTTCTAGGCACTGGGGATCAGCAGAGAATAAGACAAGGTCTCAACCTTGTAGAACTTACAGTAAAAGTAGGGAGCATGCTTGGGTAAGGAACAGATTTTAAAATAAAAATGAAAATTCTGTGTGTCAGATGACGGTGAAAAACGAAGTGGGAATAGAAAGTTTGTGGGGAGCCTATTTAATTCAGCATTATCAGAGATGGTCTCATGACATGGATAAGGTGAAATCTGAGCAGAGTCCTGAAGAAGTAAAACAGTGCAACATCTGGGGGAAGAGCATTCCAGGAATGGGAAGAGCATTCCAGGAATGGCAAGTGCAATACCCTGAGGCAGGCACATGCTGGCAAGTTCCAGGGAGTGGTGAGGAGGCCAGTGCGGCTGAAGCAGCAGTGAGTAAGGTGGAAAGGTATTAGGAGATGAGGTGAGAGAAGCTGAGAGGAGGAGGGAATGCCAACATGGAGGGCTCTGTAGATCACTGTAAGACTTGGTTTGTACTCTGAATAAGATGAGAACCCACTGGAGAGTTTTATACAAAGGAGTAACAGGCTCTAACTAGCATTTCAAAAGGATGACTGGTTGCTGTACTGACCAAAGACTACAGAAGGGATGACAGAGAAACAAGAAGATGAGTTAGATGAGTTTTGCAACAATCCAGCTAACAGATAATGGTATTTTGGACATATTTTGAGGGTGGAACAAACCACTTTTACTGATGAACTGGATGTGGGATGCAAGCTTTGGCTTATACAACTGGAATGATGAAGCAGCCATGGGGGGATGGAGAGTAAGAAACTGGGAGTTCAGTTTCAGATATACTAAGTTGAAGATACCCACGAAACCTCTAAGTGAAAATATCAATTCAGCAGGTAGGATATAAAAGTCTGGAGTTCAGGAAAAGGCTGCAGCAAGAGAGAGAAATCTGGAAGTCGTCAGCATACAGTTAGTATTCAAAGCCATGGGATTAGAGGAAAACAACTAGGGAATGGACATAGATAGATAAGAGGTACACAGACTGGGTCTCGGGACATACCAACTTTTAGCAATGGGGGAAATGGGGAGGACCCAGAAAAGGAGACTGGAGAGAAAAGCCACTGAAGTAGAAAGAATACCAAAAGAGTAGAATTCCAGAAGCCAAATTTTAAAAAGCTTCTTTTAAAAAGAAGAGAGTGACCAACTGAACTTTGTCATATACTCCTGAAATGCTAAGAAAGATAAAGACTGAGCATTGGCTACTGGATTTGGCAACCTGGAGGTGTGACCTTGAAGTGCTTTGTTAGAACTGACAGGAATGAAAGCCATAGAGAATGCTGGGCACAAGGGAAGGGGGCATTGGAGACAGGTAATAAAAACAATTTTCCAAGTAATTTTTCTTATTTTCTGTTAGAGACAGGGGAGAGCCCTAAATCGCCCAGGATGGAGTGCAATGGTACTATCATAGCTCACTGCAACACTGAACTCCTGGCCTCAAGCAATCCTCCCACCTGGGCCTCCCAAGGTGCTAGGATTATAGGCGTGAACCACTGCACCCAGCCCACTAAGTAATTTTTCTATAAAGAAATGAGGTGGTAGCTGAAGGGGGAAAGGGGTGTTCAAGAACAAATTGCTTTTTAAGATGGGAAGACATCATGTGTTGTGCTGATGGGAATGATCCAGTGTGGCAGCTGGATTTCTACTGAACAATGAGGACTTTCTCTGGTGGTTTGGAGTGGATTGGAGTGGGTCTAAGAGATGTGGAGAAAGAGAGCCCCTTTCATCCACAAAGACGTTCTCTAAAAAAGCCTTCCCAAAGATTTCCTAAAGAGAAAAGGCATAATATACATTTTCAGGATCACTGTAAGTATCCAGACTAAAAAGAGTTATCTGTACCCAAACAGTTCAAAACCCCCAGGCGCTCTAGAAGGCCCCTTTCCATTAGAGCCAGCCCAGGTCTATGTCTTCCTGTTATAGTAGTTCTCATAATCTGGCCCACAATAAGGTCCCAGACTGGCTATTAGAATCACCCACAGAGCTTTTGAAAATGCAAATTGTTGAGCCTCATCTCCACAAGTTTCATTTTGGTAGGTTTTGGGTGAGGTCCCAAACTCTGTATTTTTTTTTTTTCTTCTTAAACTTTATGGTCTGTGACAGCCCTTAGGAGATCCCGAGAACATGTGTCCCCAGACTCTGTATTTTTTTAAAGCACCATAGGCAATTTTTATGTACAATTACAGTTGAGAAATACTTCCCTACTGTAAACTCTTCTTCATCCTGGTTCTCATCCTTTGAAGATTCTAACAAAAGGCTTCTGTGGAATGAACTTAAGCTCTTCTGATTTTCATGTCAGACATTTTAATGTGCAATTTATTCCACGTGTCATCTGTAGGCATAGACAATAAACCAGAAAAGTAGCAGTCTTCTTTAAGACACACACAGATGTTAAAGTCAACAGGGGTACTCACTCCACATCCAAGTCTAGGGGTGACTGCACCCAGCTAAACCCAAACTCCCCAACATTTTCCTCCAAGCCAATTTCCTCTATCATTCGACTTGCATTCACAAGGCCCTAAAACCTAGGCAAGTAGAAATACACACTTGATTTTTAGAAAACCTACTTACTGCTGGGGATTTCACAGTGGTACCCTTTATAGGCAGGCACTGGTCAAGATTCCCTGTAAACCAAATTCCCCACCCTCTCTGGTGTCCATCCTTCCTTCCTATAATAAAATGATACAGGACCACCAGCAATTCTCGATGATAAGGGACACATCTGAAAGCAAAGAGTTAACTTCTGCTTCAGTACACTCAAAAAGATAAGAAAACACTGTTTCTTCTTTGTCTAGAAGCCTAGACTTGTTTAATCCCAGTCTGTGTCGGGTAATGTTGGCATTTTCAGGGAGGGTGTTACATTCTGTTGGCTACAGACTAGCATAGAAATATTTATTTTTCAGAGAAGAAATTTTAGGTATTTAAAAAATATACATTAAAAGGGGGGCTTAAGTACGAAGTGCCAGATGTTCATATAGTAATTAGAGAGGGAGGGGAAGGAGGAAGAGGAAGGGCAGAGGGAGGGAGGTAGGACACACTTTAAGTAGCTTAGAATCCAAGACAGAGACTGGCAAACCACAGCTGGAAGATCAAATCTAGCCCACCACCTATTTTTGTAAACAATGCTTTACACTGTTTATCGCTGCTTTTCTGGCTACAAGGGCAGGGTTGGGCAATTGTGGAGACCCTGCATGGCCAGCAAAGCCTAAAATATTAACTTAGTGGCCTCTCACAGAAAAAGTTTGGTGACCCACTCCAATCCAGATCTAAGAAATCAAAGAATACAAAAACAAAGATTTCTACTAAAACCTCTTCTTCTGCAGGGCATACTGTTTTAAAATTTTGTCCAAGGAAGTTTGAATTTTTTCTCTACTATCGTGAAAAAAAAGCAGAAGGAAGTCCATTCAGAAATTTTATAAGATTTAATTCCATTACATTTGATACCCCTAGAATTATCTATGATTTCACAGAAAGAAGCACTTTCTTTCTTAACAAGCAAAAAGATTAGCAGGTAGGGGAGGGGATGGAGATTTTGATGCATTTCAAAAAATGAAATCTGTAATAATAACCTTTAGCTCTTATACAGCTCACAAAAATGAACCAGTGAAGCAGAAAGACAAGGAAAACAACACTCTTGGAAAAAGTGACACCATTTTTCCAGCAGTGTCCCCTCCTATACCCACCCTCCCCCCACCAGGCAGAGGCTTAATAAGCAGCAGTTGCAGTGAAGGGGGGAAACTGATTACTCAAGTCAAACAGTAATCGTAGCTGGGACAGCAGGAAAAATGACATGTTGAAAACTGCAAATAAAGTGGAAAATGGAAGTAGATCTCATTTAGATATCTACAAGAACCTCCCTCCCTTGTCCTCTGGGTAGGAATTCAGTCCTTTGCACAAGGCCTCCTTGTACTTCTGCTCTTCTGAGCGGATGGACAATTTACATCACGCAAGTACCCTGCCAGCTGGCACTCTCTCTACAAGTGACTGATTGTGAGCAGATGCCTTCATAAGTATAAACGAATACACCCCCTTCTTCATTTTTCATTCATCCACCCTCTTTGCAGACGAGTAAGAATGTACACTCTACACACTTTCCTTTAGAAACCAAAGTTAGTGTTCTTCATATCCCTTCATCTCTCATGGGCTGTGCTTGAACTTGTGTTCCTGATTAAATTATACCTTCTACAAAATAGCTAAAATGTATGTAATCCCCCTGGACTACATGTAAATAATCTTGCAATCCTAGATGCATCTGCTTTTTTTTTTCTAATGACTGTTAAGAAATAAAATTACAACAAATTTAAAGGTCTTAATTGGCTTTTATTTGTGATTCCAGAATTGAGCAACATCTTACTCTATAAAATAGAATAAGTGTTCCAATGAGCTGAGCAGAGGAATTGGTTTTATAGACAAAAAAGTTCTGAGAAAAGCAGAAACAGAACAAAAAGCAGATTGACTGTTTCAAAAGTTACTTTCCTTTTAGGGTTAAAACAGAGGAGACTTCTTATCATGCCCAGGTAAACTGGGCCCCTTTTGACTGGTTGTTGTGAATCTTCTGGTTTGTTACTTAAACAAACCAGGCCTGTTTCAGAATTCAGTTTAATTATGTGGTACCTAGCATGAGCAACTCCATTCTAGTTTAGTCTGGTCTGCTGGGGCCTAGTCCAAGAGGCTAGTCTAAAACAATGGGCCCCCATAAACTTTATTTAATATGACTTAGATTAAAAACTATGTCCTAGAACAGCCTCAATTTAGAACATTTGATAATCTGCCACGACAAAGAATCATAACTTTCAATCAGAAGTCGATCTAAATTATTGGTGTATTTAGTGTTATAGATTAAATAGTCATTTTTTTAAAAGCTTCTTTCTAGTTAAATCACCTTCCCCGTAAAGCACATTATCATTTCAGAAACTTCTTTAAATTTATCTTTAATTGGAAAGTAGTAAAGAGTTTGGCAGATAAATATCAAATGTCCCTTTCCAATGAGGAGAAACTTTTTGCAATCACGCTTGAAACTGTTTTATAAATTATGTATATAGCATATTCAGTGAAGGTGTCTTGAGGGTAAGGAGATCACATGACAAATTATTTACATAGCATATTTCAGGTAGGTCAGTCAGGTTCCCAGTACTTCAAAAACATGGGCCCTTTAATCTGCTTTTCCCTTTACATTGAGAGCAAACATTAAACAGTGATATCAGAAGAAATGTTCTTCAATCCATTCTTTGCCGTATTTCAAACAGACAGCACTGCAGTTCTCCTCCATGGGAGTATTTCACATGCACCCACAATGGGACTTGTTCTACCTTTCTATTTACATTCTGGAGAACAGCCAAAGTCCTTTCTGGCTCTCTTTGATCTGATGCCAGAGACTTGGTATCCAACACCTACCTAGAAGAAATTCCCTTAGGAGCTCCCCATGACTAAAGAGGAGTTAGGAAGAAGATGGAAAGTATTCTATAAACCCACCCTATATCATTATCACTCCCCAGCTTAAGAATCTGTGCAGCTTACCTGATCTAATACACACTCCTCAGGCATGTTATCACAAGGCATCCATAAGTCTGGACAATTGTGCTTCATTTTCTATCTCCAAACTATATCCTACAGTTCTCTAATGTAAACTGAAACCTCTGTTCCAGTCTTGCCATCCCTATTATCCATATGCCACGTCTCACCTTTAAGCCATTCTCTAGTCTTCACCCCTTCCAAGCCCTATCCATCTTTCCAGATTTGGTTCAAGTTCCACCATATCCATCCATGCCACTTTCAACTTGTATTATCATCTTACTTTTCCGAACACATAGCACTTATTGTAATTCACTACTTGAGTATTTATTCTTTTGTGTTTCTTGCTCCAACAAGAGTTTAACTTATTCAAAAGCAAGGAATATATACTTTTGGGTATGCTCTATAATAGTGCTTTTCAAGCTTTTCTAACCATGACACAAGTAAAAAAGACACTTTATATTGCAACCTTGCACACATACATACACAATTGAAACTCAAGTTTGATAAAATAATACAATACTATCCATGATGCAATCTGATATTCTATTTTTCATTCCATTTGATTGAATATGCCGGTTATAGCTCACTAAATTGATTTTATGACATTAGGGAGCTGTGACCCACAATTTGAAAAACACTACAATCCCTAGGGCACTGTGCTTGGCACAAAACAAGTGCTCAATAAATATTTATTTACAGTAGACTGACTCATCTACCAAACAAAACAGGCTAGAATTCTAAAACAAGACGATATTTTCTGGATATTGACGTAGAGCTTATGATGATGCCTTTCAAGGCTTTCTTCCATATTTTAAAAACAGATCAACATTAAAAGAAAACCTTTGTATATGGCAGCCTTTAATAAGATCAAAGAAAATAGACCTTTCTGGTTGGGTGTGGTGGCTCATGCCTGTAATCCCAGCACTTTGGGAGGCGGATCACCTGAGGTCAGGAGTTCCAGACCAGCCTGACCAACATAGAGAAACCCCATCTCTACTAAAAATACAAAATTAGCTGGGCATGGTGAGGCATGCCTGTAATCCCAGCTACTTGGGAGGCTGAGGCAGGAGAATCGCTTGAACCTGGGAGGTGGAGGTTGTGGTGAGCCGACATCGCACCATTGCACTCCAGCCTGGGCAACAAGAGCAAAACTCCGTCTCAAAAAAAAAAAAAGGAAAGAAAAGAAAATAAATAAATGCCTTTTTCCTAAAGCTAAGTAGCAAAAATTTCATTAATCAACATGGCATCCCCCAAGAGGGAAAGAAGCCTCTAGTCCTCTATTGGGATCTTAGAGGAACTTAGGAACAGATCCCCTAAGTTCCTTTTAGCAGCTCTGGCTTTCCAGAAGAACTCCTTCAGCCATGAGCATGTGATAAGCTTTCATGGTAGTAGCAAGGATTTCCTTTCTGTGAGATAGATGGACTGAGGCCCAGTGTGTGGGGTTAGATTTCTACTAAAAAGAAGACATTTAGATAATTACTGTCTGATGCTCATGACACTTTTTTCATGGTATTATCAGTACCTGGAATTATCCCCTTTATTTTCTGCATGTTTTATTCACATGTCACACACATACACACATAAGAACGTAAGATTTTGAGGGCCCGGACTCATCCCCAGCTATCTCTTTATTTTGAGGTATGTTTTTGTTGTTGCCTTTTATAGGGAGAGAACTGTCTGACTTGTAAAATAAGCAGCAACCCAATAGAAGAACGAGAGTGAACCCAGGTGAGTCTGACTTGCTGTTTGGTTAATTCAGTCAATGATTCATTCAATTTACAAACATACCCTGAAATTTACTCAGTGCCAGGCAATAGGCTGAGTACTGAAGATACATAGATAAAATAAGGGTGAGTCCCTGCCCTAAAGGAATTCCATATGACAGATGAGATAAGATACAAATAATTAAGATACACAGTGAGAGAAGTATTGTACTAGGGAGTAAGGAGCAGCCATACCTCAATTTTCTTAAGTGTAAAATAAAGAGTTTATACAAGATGAACTTTAATGTATACATCTAGCTCCAAAGAGCTTGACTCTACCATCTTATCTGTTAGATTTCTGAAAATATCTCTATTACTAGATCTTTTCAATACTTTCCTTTCTCATAGTAATGTTCTAGAGAAATGCTAAAATGCCACAGGAACTGATTTTGCAAAGATGAAGGACATCAGAGACATGAAATATCAGCTGATTTCCAATCAAGTTCAGACTTAAGTAATTTTCTGACCCTCTACAATGCTTTTGCCAATATTCTGTACTCAGTCGAGTCCTATATGCCCAGCTGCAGGTAAGTTTGTGTTAAAATAATTTGCAATGAATAATAGAAGGTAAGGTTCTATTTTAAAGGCTTACAATTTTCTAATGATAGGGTTCTCAAATAGTTGTTTCCATCTTTGGAAGAAAAAAGATAACTCTTGATTTCTGTGTCTACAAAAGATGAAACAGTGCAATCTGCATGCTCCAAACAAACAATCCAGCATCTCTATCCACATCTAGCCACGAGGGACAAGTGACATGTAATGTTTTAGAATAAATTCTTTAGTAGCAAGAAAGGATGAATTCTCTGCTCTTGCTTCTATCACTTGAAAAGGTAAATGTCTGAATACCTTTGAAAATTAGCCCAATTTACAAAACAGTGGAACTAAACTGAACTCCCACCACTACTTGGCTCATTCATTCTTCCACAAGTTTGGAGCAAAGACCCCATTGACTTATGCATGTAGGAGGATTATAATCGCAACGCGGCCATATAAGCACATTGCTGCACAGTGATTCTGCACTGTTAAGTCAAGGCAGCCTTCACTAGATTTGTCTCCTTACTTTCCTTCTTTCCACAAAAATATAATTTCAAGTCTACTATATAGTATAATTGTGTAATTTAGCATAAATGAGGCCTGTATATACATATATTTATTTATTTATGGATATAGGCATTCCTGTTTTTATTGTCTGCTTATACTTAGTGCCCTTCAAGGGCTCCCCTAAAAGACCTAAGTGGACACAAATGTATGCTAAGGATCAAGCACTCCAAGTTCTTAAATGTCCAGTGATAAGTGAAAAAGAACAATATTAGTGTGAAAAATAAAAGGTATATGAGAAGGAGAAAAAGAGCTAAGTGGTAGAAAACAAGAGCAAAAGAATGGTATGAGGCTAAACCAATTATCACCAATTTTCCACACCTTTAGAATTTATAAAGCATATTTATAAACTTTTTAAGTGGCACTTACTTTCTAATTTAATTTTCAAGCAGTACTAAATGCCTACAGTAACGGAGCCTATAAGGACAAATGCATTCTCCCCGCCCCTTGAAAAGTATACAGCCGGGAATGCTGGCTTATGCCTGCAATCCTAGCATTTTGGGAGGCCAAGGCAGGCAGATCACCTGACCCCAAGTGTTCAAGACAAGCCTGGGCAACAATGGTAAAACCCCATCTCTACAGAAAAAAAAAACACAAAAATTAGCCAAGCATGGTGGCTTGCACCTGTGGTCCGAGCTCCTCAGGTGGCTAAGGTGGGAGGATCCCTTGAGCCTGGGAGGTCGAGGCTGCAGTGAGTCATATTCACACTACTGCACTCCAGCCTGGGTGATATAGCAAGATCCTGACTCAAAAAACAAAACAAACAAGAAAACAAACAAAAAATGGGGACAATTCAGTGAAACCACCAGTCAAGGAGCAACACAGAGCAGGGTGTACTAAGCCTTAGGAAAGGTACAAACAGCAAAAACTGAGCCCAAATGGATGATTTCATAAACTTTTTTTTTTTTTTTTGAGACAGAGTCTCACTCTGTTGCCCAGGCTGGAGGGCACTGGCGTGATCTCAGCTCACTGTAGCCTCCCACCTCCTAGGTTCAAGCAATTCCCATGCCTCAGCCTCCTGAGTAGCTGGGATTACAGGCACACACCACCACACCCGGCTAATTTTTGTAGTTTTAGTAGAGATGGGGTTTCACCATGTTGGCCAGGCTGGTCTCGAACTTCTGACCTCGTGATCCCAAAATGCTGGGATTACAGGCGTGAGCCACCATGCCCGGCCAAATTTACATTTCTTCCTCTGAATAAGTAATAAAATATGAATGGATGGTTTTGACACAATGGACCAATAAAATATACACCCTCAACTACATTTTCTTTCAGGGCTTCTCCTGACGTTTTCATAAATGAATTTTAAGAATATTCACATTGAGTAAAATGCCTAGCATTGTCTCTCTTAATGACACAATAAAAAAAGGATGCGTCGTAAGGAAACCACGGAGAATTTAAATGAATACATGTACAGATAGGGACAGAGTCTAGTTCTAAATACAATATATGCCTAATATAATGAAAGAATTTCTCCTCTAAGTTGTCCTTTCAGAAAAGGGAGAACTGTCTTATCTTCTAGTTCTTACAGAGCTTCCCAAGTACTTCATTTTAGACCACCAATTACTGTGGGGAAATCAAATTAGCTTAATATGACTTCAGATAATACAAGTTTCAGAAACTTATTTGGGATATGTAATCTAAAGTGTTTTGTTTCGTTTTCTTTTGCTTTTCTTAAGAGAAAAATAAATTAACCCAGGTTTATGTAGTCATTCTTAGTAGGTATGGCTTTAAAATTAAAAGTGCTGATGTTGTAAATAATATGCTTTTTTTTTTTTTTTCTTGAGACGGAGTCTTGCTCTGACGCCCAGGCTGGAGTGCGGCGGCGCGATCTTGGCTCACTGCAAGCTCCGCCTCCCGGGTTCACGCCATTCTCCTGCCTCAGCCTCCTGAGTAGCTGGGACTACGGGCGGCCCGCCACTGCGCCCAGCTAATTTTTTGTATTTTTTACTAGAGACAGGGTTTCACTTGGTCTCGATCTCCTGACCTTGTGATCCGCCCACCTCAGCCTCCCATAATGCTGGGATTACAGGCATGAGCCACAGCGCCCAGCCAATAATATGCTTTTTAAAGAATACTTTGAGGCAGGAGAGTGAGTAGTTATATTGTAAAGATCCCACATATAAACCAGTAAGAAAAACTATCCTAATGTTATGTAGATCAGTATGCATGGCTTGAGATAAAACTTCCAGTGACTTCCAGTGACAGCAATCTTACGCAAATTTAAAAAAGCACTGTATCACAATTTATTCATGAAAATTAATATAATATATGGGAAATTATGCTGATGATTTAAAAGTGACTTCAATAACTACTGATATCAAAGATGTATGTAAAAAAACTGGAATAAAATTGTCCCGTAAAATGTTAAGAATGTGGAAAACAATCCCAATTCTGTATATATGTGATTTAAAACATGTAAATGAATAAATATTTTAAATATACATCTGATTATTTCACCTATATTAAAATTTTTACACCTTCAAGTTGGCAAAAACCTTTTTAAAAAACTTCTAAAAGGAAAAATGATAAATAGCCTAATGTTTTACACATACTTATATAGTAAATTTCATGTTATGATTCAAAAGAAACAAGATGGTAGCCCAAATGGGATTCTGTGTGAGAATGACCTACATTTAACTGAGCAGTACCTATACCAAAGTTTCAGTCTCAGGACATACCAGCATACATCAGGTAGTATATGGGCAGCTGGCTGGCAACTCGTTCCGGTGTGATTCTTACTGTTTCTGGACATTAGCTACAATTCACCCAGATGGAAGGATGCCTTGCTTGAGATGCTTCCATCTGCTTGCCATTTTACTCTTACTTTACAAAAGAAAACTCAACTTTAAAGTTTAAAGTTGAGATCTACCTTTAAAGACAGATAGACCATCATCAACTCTAATCCTGTGGAATGAAAGAATATTTGTATATGGCAATAGTAGGGAATCTACCTTTGATGGTAACAGAATAATGTAAAAGAAAGCCCAACACTTCTCTTCTTTACCTGTCTTGCACCAATTCAAAAAGTTATTGATCTTTTTTCACTTCTTCCAAGTTCTCCCACCAGAACAAGTCACAGTTAAGGCCAAAAATATTGAAAGATTCAGTATCACAGACAGCAGAAGCATGAGCATTTCACTAACTTCACACAAGCTATGTTTTCTGAGGCCAGAGAACTCCTGCTCCACCATATCACAACATTACAAATGATGGTATTATCCACATCAAGGCTGAGGCTGGCAGAACCTCACAGGACACTACCCTGACCTTAAAGAGCAATGTCCAAAGTCACAGTTCTAACTTTGACTCCCAGCACTGGGATATGGTTGCCATACGGTTGACACTAATCCTAATAAACCCCCAATTAAGACATCTTTACAGGCCTAGTTACATGCCTAAAATGACAAAGATACTTTCATCACCAATACTAATATAATGAAAGCACATCAGTGCATAATCACATTAACAATATAACTCCATTTCCAGCAGTGATTCTAAAATGTAAGACACAGTATCTGGGTGGGCTGTGGTAATTTGGAGATGGGAAAACATTGGGAAGCCCTTGCCCTTCAACTCCTGCGTACACACACACCTATCACCAGTAACCTCCTTTACCATGACCCTTCATGGTCCTTTGCTTTACCGTGCTTCATGGTCCTTTGCCATAATGATATCTCCACAAGGAAATCATCAAAAATACATTTAACATTGCAATCTCTTTAGTATTCGAAAGCATTACTACTCTCATTCATTGCTTGTGGGAATGCAAAATGGTACAGCTACTTTGGAAGACAGTTTGGCAGTTTCTTCTAAACATACTCTTAGCATACAATTGCTGAATGGTATGATAAATGTATGGTAATCCATCCCTTGAATTTGCTCAACTGAGTTGAAAATGTATGTCCACACAAAAATATGTATACAGATGTGTTTATAGAAATTTTATTCACAATTGACAAAACTTGGAAGCAACCAGTATGTCCTTCAGTAATTGAATGGATAAATTGTGGTACATGCATACAATGGAATATTATCCAGTGATAAAAAGAATGAGCTATCACGCTACAAAAAGATACAGAGGAAACTTAAATGCATATAAGTAGATGAAAGAAGCCAATCTGAAAAGGCTACATAATATATTACTCCAACTATATGACATTCTGGGAAAGGAGACAGTAAAAGGGTCTGTGATTGCCTGGAGGTGGGGGAGGAGAGAAGGATGAAAGACAAAGCAGAGGATTGTTAGGGCAGTGAAACTATTTTGAATGATACTGTAACAGCACATATCATGAAACATTTGTCCAAATCCTTAGAATGCACAACACCAAGAGAGAGCCTAAACTATAGACTTTAGGGGATTATGACATGTTAATGTTTTATTGATTATAACAACTATGCCATTCTGATAGGAAATGTTGACAATTGCAGAGGCTATGTGTGTGGTGATCCAGGAAGGAAATATGTGGGACTTCTGCACTTTTGACTTAATTTTTCTGTGAACCTAAAAACACTCTAAAGATTTATTTATTTATTTATTTATTTATTTATTTATTTATTTATTTATTTATTTATTTTTGAGGCGGAGTCTCGCTCTGTTGCCCAGGCTGGAGTGTAGTGGCACAATCTCACCTCACTGTAGCTGGGACCATAGGTGTGTGCCACCATGCCCAGCTAATTTTTGCATTTTCAGTAGAGATGGGGTTTCACCACGTTGGCCAAGCTGGTCTCAAATTCCTGACCTCAAGTGATCCGTCTGCCTCAGCCTCCCAAAGTGCTGGGATTACAGGTGTGAGCCACCATGCCTGGCCATAAAGTTATTCATTTTTTAAACAGTATTACTAAATTTCATTTAAAACACTTGTTTTAGAAGCCAACTGAACTGTGTTATAGGCTTTCAAAGGCAGTTTACATTCAAAAGTATTAAAACCTGAGAACAGGCCGGGCGCGGTGGCTGACGCCTATAATCCCAGCACTTTTGGGAGGCCGATGCAGGCGGATCACGTGGTCAGGGGTTCAAGACCAGCCTGGCCAAGATAGTGAAATCCCATCTCTACTAAGAATATAAAAATTAGCCGGGCGTGGTGGCAGGCACCTGTAGTCCCAGCTACTTGGGAGGCTGAGGCAGAAGAACCGTTTGAAACCAGAAGATGGGGGTTGCAGTGAGCCAAGATCGCGCCAGCGCACTCCACCCTGGGCAACAAGAGCAAAACTCCGTCTCAAAAAAATAAATAAATAAAATACATTTAAAAAATATCTGAGAACATTAGTACTGCCAAACAGTTGTCCTAAGGCCAGCTGTTAGGTCCAAATCAGCAAAGCCAAGGACTGTGTTGAAAAAAAAAAAAACTAACTAAAAACTAAAACCTTACCACACAGTCTAACAACGTAAGTTTCTTGTTTAACACAGGATTTAAAACACTGGCATCAAACTATAATGGTTGAGATTTAACTAGCTACTGAGTATGGAAAAAAAAAACAGGAAGAAACAAAACCTCTGATCCCCAGCAGGTCTGACTCAACTCAGTGACCAATAAGTGGAGCTGGGGTTATTATCAATCATCCTAAGCCCCAAGGCTGCAGCTGAGGGAATCCTTAGCTTCCAGAGAAAGGGAGGTGACAAAAGTGGGGCTGATCCGCTGAAGACTCCAGTTATACCCACTACCTCACCCTGCCCCACCCCATCCTGCCACTTCAGAAGCTGCAGCTAAAACTAGTGTCCACATCTCCAAGTTTTGCACATGTATATTTCATCAGTGATCAGCTATCTGGATGTAGATAATCAATGATGAAGGACACAGCCTAGAAACTGTGATAACTTAAACAGCACTGTGGAAAAAATAGCTAGTACAATTTTTAAAAAGCAAAAAAAATTTTTTTTTCTTTTAAGACAGAGTCTGTGTTACCCAGGCTAAAGTGCAATGGCATAATCTCGGCTCACTGCAACCTCCGCTTCCCAGGTTCAAGCAATTCACCTGCCTCAGCCTCCAGAGTAGCTGGGATTACACATGTGCACCACCACACCCGGCTAATTTTTTGTATTTTTAGTAGAGATGGGGTTTCACCATGTTGCCAGCCTAGTCTCGAACTCCTGACCTCAGGTGATCCACCCATCTCGGCTCCTCAAAGTGCTGGGATTACAGGCATGAGCCACCACACCCATCCAAAAAAAACACGTTTTTGACATTGTCATGGATGGCATTATCATTACTCAATGAGATCATGAGTAACACTGTAAAACGACTACAGTAATAAAAACATTTATGTTTCTTTTTGGCAGAATTCTGTGTAATCTAATAATGCTTGTTAGTTATTTCAAGTAAAATCACCTGATCTACCGCTCTTCAAATTCAGAATTTTTATCAGTCCATTAAATGCTGATTAGGTTCTAGGGAACTGACTTGTGATAATCAAACTAATTTAAATACCATAAACAATCATATGTAAAATTTCAATGAAAGCTATTTTTGTTAAAACAATGGGAATAGATATCTGCACAGGACAAGTCCTCAAAGAAGACCAGATTAGAGGGCTGGGCACGTGCAGTGGCTCACACCTGTAATCCCAGCTACTTGGGAGGCTGAGGAAGGTGAATTGCCTCCCAGCACTTTGGGAGGCCAAGGCAGGCAGATCACTTGAGGTCAGGAGATCAAGACCAGCCTAGCCAACATAGTGAAACCCCGTCTCTACCAAAAAATACAAAAATTAGCTGGGTGTAGTGGCATGTGCCTGCAGTCCCAGCTACTTGGGAGGCTGAGGCAGGAGAATCGCTTGAACCTGGCAAGTGGAGGTTGCAGTGAGCTGAGATCACACCACTGCACTCCAGCCTGGGTGACAGAGTGAGACTCCATCTCAAAAAAAAAAAAAAAAAAAAAAAAAAAAAAAAAAAAAAAACCAGATTAGAGATCAGAAAGTTGCTTGATAAGCAGAGAATTGGAACAAATGAAAGTTGAACATTCTTAGGCAACAGTTCTATCAAATTATGGCAAACTGCCCTTCTGTAGCAATGGTTCTGTCTAAAAATAATGTCTAGTTGTCTAAAATTAGAGCACTCTCTCTCCCAGAGAGCAGGACAGAGATTAAAATTTTCACTCTTCACTCCTCCTTATTTCCAATATTCTTTTGTTTTTTAAGACAGAGTTTTGCTCTTGTTGCCCAGGCTGGAGTGCAAAGGTGCAATCTTGGCTCACCACAAACTCTGCCTCCTGGGTTCAAGCGATTCTCCTGCCTGGATTACAGGCATGCACCACCACGCCCAGCTAATTTTTTTGTATTTTTAGTAGAGATGGGATTTCTCCATGTTGGTCAGGCTGGTCTCGAACTTCTGACCTCAGGTGATCCGCCTGCCTCGGCCTCCCAAATTGCTGGGATTACAGAGGTGAGCCACCGTGCCCAGACTCAATATTCTTTATATGTTATTAAAGCTTCTATTATTACAATTTCTTACATGAATTACATGTCACGATCCCCTTCATCTCACAGTGTTGCCTTTAAACAACAACATAAGAATGAGTTAAAATTACTCCATCTATTTTTTTTTTTTTTGAGACGGAGTCTCACTCTGTCACCCAGGATGGAGTGCAGTGGCATGATCTTGGCTCACTGCAAGCTCCACCTCCCAGGTTCATGCCATTCTCCTACCTCAGCCTCCTGAGTAGCTGGGACTACAGGCGCCCACCACCACACCCGGCTAATTTTTTTGTATTTTTAGTAGAGACGAGGTTTCACCGTGTTAGCCAGGATGGTCTCGATTTCCTGACCTCGTGATCCACCGCCTCGGCCTCCCAAAGTGCTGGGATTACAGGCATGAGCCACCGCGCCTGACCAGCTCATCTGTTAAAGGTTTAGTTCCCTCCCTTGGCTCAAGATTTTGGGATATGAGGATCCTATCTTATTAACTGAGCTTTGGGCCTTAAGCACATTTAAAAAAGCAACTAACATTCCAATGTGATAAATATCTTTCCAGTTAACATCTTATCTCCAGATGCAGAAAACAACAGGATACATAACTAGTCAAGAATATCAAATATAATAAAATTCTTGTTGGGAGTAATCTTTCTGAACCAAAAGCTTTTATAAGTACACTAAAATGCAAACACACAAACACACACAAGCAAACAAAAAGCAAAACACAACTTTTAAGGGATAAGAAAAATATAATGTCAGGGTTGAATAAATTTAAGAGACAACTTATTGCCCCAAACACATGAGAGAGAAAACTGGTAAGAGCTAGTCATCAGTTTTATAACAGCACAATTCACAATCGCAAAATCGTGGAACCAACCCAAATGTCCATCAATCAATGAGTGAATAAAAAAACTGTGCTACTGTATATATATATATATATATACACAATGGCCATAAAAATACTATTCAGCCATAAAAAGGAATGAATTAACGGCATTTGCAGTGACCTGAATGAGACTGAAGACTCTTATTCTAAGTGAAGTAACTCAGGAATGGAAAACCAAACATCCTATGTTCTCACTGATATGTGGGAGCTAAGCTATGAGGATGCAAAAGCCTAAGAAAGATACAATAGACTTTGAGGACTTGATGGGAAGGATGGGAGGGGGGCAAGGGACAAAAGATTACAAATAGGGTGTGGTGTATAGTGCTCGCGTGCACCAAAATCTGACAAATCACCACTAAAGAACTTATTCATGTAACCAAACACCACCTGTACCCCAATAACCTATGGAAAAATTAAAAATTTGTTTGGAAAAAGAGCTAGTCATCAGAACAGCACTGAGAACAAGCAACAGGGAAGAGGATACAGGGAAAGGCATTCCTGCAAATAGCCAGCATTGTCTGCTATCATTAGTCTTCCCTCTCCAAAACGACTAACAGGATCACAATGTAAAATGAAAATGCTATATAATTATTCTCCTAGGTACTTCAAAGGAATCACTTCCCTAAGACTTTCACCAAGCATCCATGCTTTTCAAAAAAAAAGGAGAAATGCAGGGGCAAGTTGGGTTTGAGATTGTTTTCCTTTTAGGTCCTTTCTTCTGTTTTCTCTAAATTAGACAAAAGCAACCCACACTGTTCTCCAAAGTATCTCTTAATTACATCAGTTACCAAAATGAACTCATGAAACGCAATCTTGGCTACTTCAAGAGACCGCAGTGAAAAGTCACTAGGTAACAACTAAAATCAAGAGGTCCTTCTTTAAGTACCTGGGTATAAAGTTACACTATTTTTCTGTGTTTAAGTATTTAGGACAAGGTATTAGATGGTAAGGGGAGACACAGTGGGGTCTCTAAGAGATTTTTCTTCTGCATGTGTACAAATGTTTTGAGTGCCAGTGATTTTCTACACAAATGTATATCCAAGCTTCAATAACCAATGGTCAAACCTACAACATTAGACAGTATATCCACATGATGGACTGGCAACAAATGGCAGAAAAGAAGGAAAGCAAGTGGCAGACGGACTTTGTCTTGATGGGGGATTTGATGAAATATGGTCTGGGTACACTGTCTCTTCCTAAAGGGCTACAAAGGTAGGATATGCTGGTGTGAGGGGGAAGAACTAGGGAAGAGAAAATGGAGGCTAGCCCCTCCTGCCTTCTCACCCAGCTTGGTTCCACTGCTCCCCTGGGCTGATGGACAAAGATGGTAAAGAAGGATGAACAAACGGTCATGGAAAACATCGAAGGAGCAAAGTACAACTACTGAGGTGCTTTCCCTCAAGTTTCTCATTTTTCATCAAAAATCCCACTGCAGCACTCTTTTGTTCCTTACTGCTAACAATTAAAAATGACAAATCTCAATTAGACAAAATGTCCTTCTTCCCTACTCAGGGATAAAGGAAAACGAAAGGAAGCTGAAAGCATGAATATAAAGTGTGCCCAACAATAACAAAAAAAGCTTGGAAAGCACGCAAACTTCCAAAGGGTGATGGGATTCTTCATATCCATCCTTCTTTACTGTGGAGGCATAGTTACAGGTTTACTGTTGGAAAGGAATTGCTAAAGAAAAAAAAGTTCTCTCTGTACCCATTGCTATAAGATCTGGCAAAATGACAGAATGAGGTTTTATGAGCCATTGCTTATGACAGCTGCAGAAACATTTAGAGAAATTGACCAGACAACATAATGTCAAATCTACTGATTTCATATGTCCCAGAGTGCCAAGAAATTAAGAAACTGTTATTTTAATAGCTCTTATTCTTCCTCTCCACAAAGGAGGTGGCTGAAAGTCACAAACCAAACATTTCAAATACCCAGAACTCAAGGATCTGTTTGAAAGGAAATTAAGTTTTAAAAACTCTCCCAGAATATGAGAGTTTTGCTCCATCAAATGCTTGTGGCTACTCATTCCAATCACTCTACTATACAAACTAACACAACACTTGAAATGGGCTAACTCTAGAAAGTGTAAATTCCCTGTTTCTGAGAGAAGGAGTGGGGAGTCTGGATCATCAGTATCCAAAATGAGTAAACAAGAGGTCCCTTGAGATGTGGAGAAAATATTAAAAACACTATATTTAGTTTTGCCACATCCTTCTGAGCTATTTCCTATCCTTGTAATACATATATTACTATACCATATATGTGTATTATTTGTAAGTATAAATCAATTTACAGGCATTACAGGAGTATGCCAAGAAATATTTTACTACTAGCATGCTTAATCAAAGTTTAGAGACCACAGGACTGATAGCCACTTGGAACCCATGCTTGTAAAGAGATTAAAAACATCAGATACGCTGGGCGCGGTGGCTCATTCCTGTATCCCCAACACTTTGGGAGGCCAAGATGGGTGGATTGCTTGAGTCCAGGACTTTGAGACCAGCCTGGGCAACATGGCGAAACCCTGTCCTTGTAAAAATTAGCCAAGTGTGGTGGCGCACACCAGCAGTCTCAGCTACTTGGGGTTGAGGTGGGAGAATCATGTGAGCCTGGAGAGGTCGAGGCTGCAGTGGGCTGTGATCACACTACTACACTCCAGCCTGGGCAACAGGAGTAACACCCTGTCTCGAAAAAAAAAAAAAAAGCCCACATCAGACAGAACTCTGAGGTAACCCTTTTCTTTTTCATTCTTGCTCAAATGTATCTATAATTTTAATAATCTATCTTGGAAAATACTTTCCGTTAGACAAGAAAAATATAAGCAGTGGGCAAATCTTGTTTCAGTATAATTCTTTTAGTCTTAAGTGGGATTGAGGTTGTGTCTGAATTTGGGAGGAAGTAAAAACTAAATGAGATGAAGGCCAATATATATACCCAAGGTAGATAAATGGAAGAGGTTTCCGTTATGTCTATTCAGTTACCTAGTATTCAGGTAAAGTTTCATTTTTCTTTTTTGCAGCACTAAATAAAAAATTTCCAAGATTTTAAAAATAGACTCCAGTAATTCACAGTAAGATTGGGGATTAAAGGTATAAAACTAACAGATCAGAATGAAAAAGATAACTTTTTCTAACTCATAAAATGTCAAAAATCTCCCATAATAGAATAAAGAGAAAAGGTCTAGCTCTTCCTTCAGTAAGTACTTAGCCTCCTCTTCCTTTATAAAACCTGCAACTCAGGCTCAATATTACTGTACAATTATGTTCATACAGAAAATGTCTTCTCTTCCCCAGGTCCTTACAGACTGCAGCCTTTCACATGCTGACAGTGCCAGCTTTAGACCAGGACCCTGTCAAGAGTGGCAGAACACTTAGTAAACCACTACTAAGTGGCTTTATTGCTTTTGTCTTCTATTCATGTCCAAGGGTGCACACACTGTACGGTAAACTTTTATGATGTATTTTTTAGATAACAGCACTTATTTTACACATGCACATGTCACTCTTAGATTCCAAATACTCAGCATTTCCTGAGTTGTACGTCCCTAAAACTCAAGAGAATAAAAAGTGCTATTAAATTCACTGTTTTTTTGTATAAAAATACTCTATGAACAGAAACTTGTGAATACTTGGTGGCACTAACCTGTCAGTCTGTAAAAGATACATATGACTAATGTTACTATGTATTCCATTTGAATAATTGCATAATTTCATTTTTTTAGAACAGAAAAATAAAGAATATTTTCCATTTCACTTTATGAAGCTAGTATAACTTTGATACCAAATCAGATAAGGGAAAAAGGAGTAAGAAAAATTATAGGTCAACATGTGTAAATCCTGCAAATTAAACCCAGCAATGGATTTTTTTAGTTCCAGAATTACAAGGTTGTTTTCTAATCTATGTAATCTATGCCACTTTTTTGTTGTTTCCAGTGGCCTGATCTTCAAACTTGTCCTTTTTTCTGTTAAGCATACTAAACACAGCTGTAATTTCTATACCTGAAATTTGGGTATCTGCTTCTCTTGTCTATTATTTTGCTAGGTTTTCTTTCATTTATAGCCCTATTTTTTAATGTGCCTAACCATCTTTGACTATGTGCTGGACACTGTATTTTAAAACAGACATACACATATATATGAGTACTTTGAGGCCTAGTATCTTGCTCCAAAACAATGTTCACTTGCTTATACCAGACACCTGGGAGTAACACCAAACTGGCTTGACCTTAACACAAGTTCAAGGCTTGAGTGCCCACTGGGTTACCTAGGTGATGCAAAGCTGGCTCCAACTCTACTCACAGAATGGTGTATTTCTGTTTTCCCTTTACACAGATGATAAAAGCTTTTTAGAGAACAAGCTCAAAGGTTTGGGAGGTTATCAGACCACATATCTTTGAAAGGCCCTGAACTCTGACTCTGTCTCCCCATAAGCCTGCCAAAACCTTTGTTTTTATAGCTATTTCTTTCAGATTGGAAAAGGCATTTAAGGCTTACTTCTGTGGTTCCTAACTTCTCCTAGGTTTACATCCAGAAATCCCTACCTATTTTGTTAGCTGAGATTTTTTTCTTGTCCCACAGACAGACCATTCTAAAAAACCTAGCTGAATATCACCAGAGACAGAAGTAAATCCTCTCCAGCAACATATAGAAGTAAATTTAAAAAGCAAAACTTAAGTCTTAATGCTACTAAAACACCAAGCAATGATGTTACAATGATGTCCAGCTGACTCTGTCCTTTAATCCAGCAGTCCCCAACCTTTTTGGCACCAGGAACCGGTTTCAGGATGATTCAAGCACATTACATTTATTGTGCACTTTATTTCTATTATTATTACATTTGTAATATATAATGAAATAATTATGCAACTAACCATAAAGTAGAATCAGTGGGAGCCCTGAGCTTGTTTTCCTGCAACTAGACGGCCCCATCTGGGGGCAATGGGAGACAGTGACAGATCATCAGGCATTAGATTCTCATAAAGAGCACGCAACCTAGATCCCTCACATGCACATTTCACAACAGGGTTCATGCTCCTATGAGAATCTAATGCTGCAGCTGACCTGACAGAAGGCAGAGCTCAGGCCATAAGGCAAGCAACGGGGAGTGGCTATAAATACAAATAAAGCTTCGCTCGCTTGCCTGCTGCTCCCCTCCTGCTGTGCAGCCCAGTTCCTAACAGGCCACAGACTGGTACCGGTTCGTGGCCCAGGGGTTGGGGACCCCTGTTTTAACCTGCAATACCCAAAAGACATTCATTAATCACACCTCAATAGTCTCTCACAGCTCCCAGTAACAGCAACTTGGAAAAAGTCTCTTCCACCATTTCCCAGCTTCAATTGAGGCATTCGTTCTAGAAGTGACCACACCCATAAAGAAGGGTCTTTGCAAACGGAATACAATGTTGAAAATCTGAGGAAAGAGGGCTCTCTATGAAGCTGGCCTCTAAGGAAGCAGACAGATACATAAGTCAGACAGGACCCTTGGAGTTTAAGATATTCAAAGAGCTGTCTGCAGACCCTGCAACGAACACTTGAATTAAATGTCCCCATGCCTCATCGTCTTTGGAATGTGTTGTAACAAGATTTCATCCATACTCAGAAGCTCACTATGGTCACATTATGACAAACAGTGCCTCCAAATAGCAGACTTAAAAGAATTCAGAAAGTCAAACTACCTATGTGCTATTATTTGTTCTTAGCTCCAAATCAAACAGTTCCTTTAATTTTCAAAAGGTAACTTTTAAAATATGTTTCACAAGGCATAAAAATTCCCCATGTTCACCCAGATATGTGAACCATGACTAGGACCAATTAGCTTCTACTCTAAATACAATTTTTACTGCTCATGGTACTTGTATTTCTATAACATAACACTGCATTAGAGAATACAGAATCATTGTTTCAGAAGTTGACATCTGCAAACCTCTGGTCTCAACATTTTCGTCAACTGGACAGAATATAACCTTGTTTTCCATGTGTTTTGCCTGAACAAAGCTTACCCATCACATGCACCTTCTCCCTAAGGCACACACCTTCTTGTGTTTGGGAACTTAAGACGGCACTTCAGCACTATGCTTGAGGGTCATGTTAGGCAGTGAAATCACCAATAAAAAGGACAGAAATGGGGAAAATACGGCATTAAATAGGCTAAGAAAGTGATATTTATTTACAGCAGTGCAGCTGAAACAAGAAGGCAGAACATCACCTCCTTTTACTTCAGCTGAGCTGTGTGTGTTTCAGGGACTCAAATTTTTCACTGCTCTGCAGATGTCCCAAATGACCACAAACTACCATAAAGATTGATTTCTGTGGTTTCAAAGCTTAGCAAGCAGGCAAACATGCAAATATCAAACCTCCAAATAATGAGGCCGGAATGTAGAGTCACACATGAACCTCAAAGAGCTGTAGACTTGTCTTCCCAGGGCCCAGAAAAACAAAGACAGTACTATGCTTGCTATTATTCTGAATTACAGCTGTATCTGGACACAGCTTCAATTTTCAAGTGAGAAACTCCACAGGGTAATAGCTACAGAACACAGCATCAAGTATTTTCCTCCACCCACGTGTAGACAAAACATCCATACAGGCACAATCCCAAGTTACTCATTGTCTTCCTTTCTGCATCAATCACCAATTTCCTAAGTTGTCAACACACACACAAACACACACATACACACCAAGTTTCATATAGAGAGATGCTTCCTGGATCAGTCTTTAATGGGACTCAAAAAAAAAAAAACAAAAACAAAAAAAACCCAGCTTCCTGACATATAAAACATGATTTCCTAAACAGCAATCTTTAAAAGTGATGTTACTTTGTATAGCGACACAGCAGGTGGCAGGCTGTGATGAAACAGGAAATGAGAACAAATGTCTCCCACACACTCTTGCAGACCACCACAGGGAATACATCAGCACACAATCCTTCATATTTATCATCCAACCAACCATCGTCTGTAGGATTTCTCTTCTTTGAACTCATCCCTACCCACTGCTCAGTTACCCTTACCACCTGTCCAACAATTCTTTCCATATCAACAGAAGAAATTTGCCGAGGTTGACATTACAAGGGGAACTGAGAACTCCCATTTAAGATTTTGAGGAAGACCCTACTGAATTCAAGCAGGAAAAAAAAAATCCCTAAATTAAAGTTTATTTTCTCCTTAAGCCCCAAATAAAAAATATGAGTAAAGTTTTCCTAATTATTAACTAGATACAGCATTTATTCCATTTCTAGTTAAAAAATCTAATAGGAGCTCTTATCTCACCACCCTAGACATTAAATACAAATGGTAGTATATCCTTCAAATCACGGCCCAGATGACAAAGGAAGAACACACAGACATTACCATCACCCACAAAACTGGAAGTATCCCAGGAACATCTGGGCATCCACAAGGCATCCCAGTCATCCAACCTCTGTGACAGGCCAGAGAGATGCCTAAAGAGCCAGGACAGCAGAAGAGGTTCAGCTCTGAACCCCCAACAGAAGCACTAGTTGGTCCCTGTCCCTTTACTTAAAATCATAGCTATTCTAAAGATGGAAGGAATAGAGGAGTTCTCAAGCCTAACTACCTTGTTTATAGGTGAGGAAACAGGCCCAGAGACTAAATAATTTGCAAATATAACTAGTGAATCACAGATTGAACTTTATGACTAGGTATTTACCTTATAAAAGGGCTATGGAAGAATGATTTACTAGGCAATTATGATCAAGTCTAAGAATCTCTTACCTAATTCCACGCACATGCCACAATCTAGCCCATTCATTCATCTGTCCACTCACTCAATCTTTGAGTAATCATTTATGAAGAGACTGTGTGCCGGGCACTGTGCCATCTCAAACTACTTAAAATTATTCAACCGGGCCATTCTTTTTTCAGGCTTGGTGCCTTTGTCCACACTATCTACCTGGAATGCCCTCCCTATCTCTTTCAACACCCACTCCTACTTCAATGATGGTCCACTGGTGCTGGCTACCTGGAGAAGCATTCTAAAAACAGGCTCCTCAGAAAGCAGCACAAGATCAGCAAAGAGACCTGCCAGGGCCAGGGAGGTGCAAGGAGCACCCAGCTCTCCCCTCAGACTCAGCCGATGCTCCTTACTGCTGTTACCACACAACTGTGACATACCAGATGGTCTGGGCTGTATTTCTTTAAGTTGGGGGACTGACTGCATTACATTTCTAACTCCCAAAACAATCTGGTTGGATGCTACAAGAAGGAGGCATTCCCTGACACACTGGACACCCAGACCTCTCTTCAGGCTTTCTGTTTAACTTACCTTTCTCTCCCACAACAAATCCCACTGAAACAACAGAATAAATAGTATAATATACACCTCCAACTAGACTGTAATCTCCTTGAGGATAATGACTTAACTTTTACCTTTCCTGGATCTCCCAGTGCACAGACATAGGACATTACATTTTTTTAATAATTAAGTTTTACATATATTGATGAATAGCTAATCATTTCTCTAGGTTTTACATATATTGATGAACAGCTACTCATCTGTCTAACTTTAAACATGCATTAGCACAACAGTGATAATGAAACTCCCTATTTATTGTTCCCAGACATACACAAGGCTGTTTTGAAAATATGGCAAGAAACAAGTTAAAATGCTTATATGCCATATAAATGGACCCAGAGTCCTGACAATGAACCTAAAACCATTCACTGAGTTCAGATGTTGTTGTAATACACAATATAGCAGGTACAGTAGAGAGTCTGTAATATGAAGTTACATATTGAATTTTAAAACATATACTCCAGGCAGAATTCAACAGTGGAAAACTGTCTCCCACAAAACAAGTCCCTGGTGCCAAAAAGGTTGGGGACCACTGATATAAAGTATATACCTGTGTCACTTTTCTTTCTTTTTTTTTTGAGATGGAGTCTCGCTCTGTTGCCAGGCTGGAGTGCAGTGGCGCGATCTCGGCTCACTGCAACCTTCGCCTCCTGGGTTCAAGCGATTCTCCTGCCTCAGCCTCCCAAGTAGCTGGGACTACAGGCGCCCGCCACCATGCCCGGCTAATTTTTTGTGTTTTTAGTAGCAATGGGGTTTCACCATGTTAGCCAGGATGGTCTCAATCTCCTGACCTCATGGATCCACCCACCTCAGCCTTCCAAAGTGCTGGGATTACAGGCATGAGCTACCGTGCCCAGCCCATGTGTCACTTTTCTAAAAACCTAAAAAAGTCATGAATTGTGAAACACCTCTTGCCTTGAGTGCTGGATATGCAATTAGAGACCTGCAATAATTTGATATCTACTTCATAGAGTTCTTGTGAGGAAAATGAGCATAAAATATGCTTACACATAGTAGGTCCTCATTCAGTGGCTGCTGCTAACTTTCTTAACTAATTTGAAGAACATTAATATCCCTAAACCTTTCTGGTTTGGTTTTCTTCTTCATGCTCACCTAAATAATTAGTAATTTGCTTAGCACAACAAATGAGTACTAGCTTACTGTTTCTTACCTTAGACTGTAATATCCTATGCACTTGAAAATAATTAGTTTACATTTCAAATTCATTTCAGCATTGAGATTGTGTGTATTCTTTACACACACACATACACACACAAAAAAAAACAATACAAAATGGATAACCCATTAACATGTTACATCATCTCAGGCAATAAGATTGTAACAAAGGCCTTTTTTAAAAAAAAGAAATCCATTTTCAATTTGGTACTAAGAAACTCAGTACTACCAGATCCTTTTGATCTAGCCCCTAAGCCTCAGTAGGTCACTCACTAGGAAACAGGCCCTAAGCTCAACTCCCATTATGCTTTGGGAAGCTTGGGTTAATGGACTCCAATCCACTTATTTTCTGGGAGATTTATCCGAAGCCAACAACTATAAATGGTTAAGTCTCTTTTCACCATTCATTTTATTACAGAAGCACCCATGTGAAGCCCTCTAATAATAGATTTTCCAAAGTCCTTTCTGCTATCATGATACTCCCAATACTACAAATATTAAGGTCAATACTGACAAGCCAAAAATAAAAAAATTTTTAAATATATTGACAAGTGGCCAGGCGTGGTGGCTCACATCTGTAATCCCAGTACTTTGGGAGGCCAAGGCAGGTGGATAACGAGGTCAGGAGTTTGACACCAGCCTGGCCAATACAGTAAAACCCTATCTCTACTAAAACTACAAAAAAAAATAGCTGGATGTGGTGGCGTGCGCTTGTAGTCCCAGCTACTCAGGAGGCTGAGGCAGGAGAATTACTTGAACCTGGGAGGCAGAGGTTGCAGTGAGCCAAGATCCTGCCACTGCACTCCAGCCTGGGTGACAGAGCGAGACTCCGTCTCTCAAAAACAACAACAACAACAACAACAACAAAAATATATATGTATATCTATATATATAAGTACAGAACAGCCAATAGGAAACTACTACTGCCAACAAAGAAATGCAAAAAATACAATTTGCAGTTGTGTGGTCAACTTTAGGAGACACACTCATCGTTTTATTAAATTAAAATGAGTGCTTTAAAAATGCAATGACAAAAAAAGAATTCTAAACAAAACTGAAAAATTGTACAGATGAAAGATTTTTTTTAATTTCTGAAAAAAATCCCAGAGCTACTCAATAAATCATCAATAGTTAGACAAAGTCCTAGATTTAAAATCTGTAAGAATATGACTACTTTAAAGCTTTTCTAGAAAATATTGTTCCTTTTTAACAAACCCTGGTATCAAAACAAGAAATTAACCTTATAATGCACTCTTAGAATGTAATTAACTGTAATGCATAACTTCAGAAAAGCTATATACCAATGACTAAAACACAATAAACCAAACTTATTGGCCCAAGCTCTGTGGCAGATGCTTTTCTTTACATTTTTTTTTAAATTATACTTTAAGTTCTCAGATACATGTGCAGAATGTGCAGGTTTGTTACATAGGTACACAACATGTGCATGGTGGTTTGCTGCACCCATTAACCCATCAACCTGTCATCTACATTAGGTATTTCTCCTAATGCTATCCCTTCCCTAGCCCCCAACCCCCTGAAAGGCCCCAGTATGTGATGTTCCCCTCCCTGTGTCCATGTGTTCTCATTGTTCAACTCCCACTTATGAGTGAGAACATGCAGTGTTTGGTTTTCTGTTCCTGTGTTAGTTTGCTGAGAATGATGCTTTCCAGCTTCATCCATGTCCCTGCAAATGACATGAACTCATCCTTTTTTATGGCTGCATAGTATTCCATGGTGTTTATGTGCCACATTTCCTTTATCCAGTCTATCACTGACGGACATTTGGGTTGGTTCCAAGTCCTTGCTATTGTGAACAGTGCTGCAATAAACGTATGTGTGCATGTGTCTTTATAGTAGAATGATTTATAATCCTTTGGGTATATACCCAGTAATGGGATTGCTGAGTCAAATGGTATTTCTGGTTCTAGATCCTTGAGGAATCACCACACTGTCTTCCACAATGGTTGAACTAATTTACACTCCCATCAACAGTGTAAAAGCATTCCTATTTCCCCACATCCTCTCCAGCATGGCAGATGCTTTTCAGGATACCTCAGTTAACCTTCGTCCAACCCTCTGATGGCATAATGTCAATTGTCTCTTTTAGTTGTTCAATTACAACATTCTTAGAAAAAAGAACTCTAAAGTTGAGAATGCTAGATTTTGATTCAATTTTTCCCACAAACTACAGAAAGTACAGTACACTTGGTAAAAGGATATAGTTTAAAAGATATAAAGGGAAATAAAAAACTTTGTAATATAAACCTAAGCTTATAATGATAATCACTATGACAATAATGCGTTATCATGTATTAAATGCCACTATATGCCAGTCACTTCAGTGGGAGTTTTACAAGCATTCTCTCGCTTATTAAAGTAGCTTGATAAAGTAATACCTTATTTTATTAACATGGAAATTGAGACTCAAGTTCAAGAAACCTGACCAAAGTCACACAAACTGTAAATGGCATAGCTGGAATTTATTTGAACCCAAATCACCCAGCTGCAAATCACTGGCTCTTTCAATACCATTTGCCTCTCAAAGTAAACAACTACTTGTCATTCTTCTCAGAGCTCCAGACTTCCAAAGACATATTCACACTGAATCAAACTTAATTTTAAAATATTAATGTTTCAAAAATTATAATCAAAAATATACACGTGACAATTAATCTCATGTGTCATCTTGGCTAGGCTACGGTATCCAGCTGCTTGATCAAACACCAGTCTAGCCATTGCTTTTAAAGCATTTTTAGATGTGATTAACCTATTTAAATCAGTAGGCTCTGAGTAAAACAAATCCATAATATGGGTGGGCCTCATCCAATGTGTCATAGGCCTTAATAGCAGACTTAAGTTCCAGAAGAAGGAATTCTGCTTCCAAACTGCAACCTAGAAATTCTGGTTGAGTTTCCAGCTTTTGGACTCAAGATTGCAACATCAATTCTTATCCAAATTTGCAGCCTGCTGGCCTGCCCCACAGATTTTGGACTTGCCAGCCCCTACAATCACATAAGTCAATTACTTAAATCTCTTTCTATATATATACAGTCTCTGTCTCCCTCGCTATACATACAGTCATGCACTGCATAACAATGTTTCAGTCAAAGACGAACCACATATAAGATGGTGTTCCTATAAATTATAGTACCGTATTTTTACCGTACCTTTTCCTATCTTTTGGCATGTTTAGATACACAAATACAGCAGGTCCTTAAGTAGTGTCATTTTGTTCAACATTGTTTCATTCAACACTGTTCAGTTATAATGCTGATAAGAAAAAAAAAAATCAGTTCCCAGCCAGGGCCACTGTCTTTGTGGAGTTTGCACATTTTCCCCATGTGCACATCCCAAATATGTGCACTTTAGGTTAACTGGCATGTCTAGATGGTTCCAGTCTGAGTGAGCGTGGGTGTGTGTGAGTGCACCCTGCAGTGGAATGGCATCCTAGCAAAGTTGGTTCCTGAGCTGCTGGGATAGGCTCCAGCCACATATGACCCTAAACTAGAATAAGTCAGAAAATGAATACAAATTATTGTCAACTACAAATTCATTGAATAAACAGTAATCATATAAATGTATCATAATGAACGATACAGTACAAAAGTATGTGGTGACCTGCCATATTTGTTATTTTGTTTTGGTTTTTTGGTTTGTTTTTTAATTATATGGTAACAGGAGGTGCCCCTTACAATTTTTGCTTTACAAACTTCATTCCTTGATTTAACCCAACACCACTACGGCCACTGTTACTCATTGATTCACCAAAAATTGGGTAAAAATTGTCTTACTTGTTTTTATTAATCTTTTAAAAATATACATATAACTCATGCTTATTTCAAAGTTTAGTTTTAGAAGTGTTTATGTTTGGTTATGTTTTTGTGACCAGAAGCATATTGAAGCCAGTAAGTAAGGACTTACTATACTTACCAATGTGTTACAATGGCCTCCAGTATTCAATACAGTCACATGCTATACAGGTTTATAGCCTAGGACCAATAGGCCATCCCGTATGGCCTAGGTATGTAGTAGGCCCATACCATCGAAGTTTGTCTAAGTTCACCCTATGACATTCACACAATGACAAAATCACCTAACGAGCATTTCTCAGAACGTACTCCATTGTTAAGTAATGCATGACTATATATACATATATATAGAAGCACTTACATCATTACTGCCCTGTACCATGCTCCAATGCCAGAGAAAGCCTAAACACATCTGCCTGGCTGGTGCCTGTACTTGGTCATAGTTTAAGAGTCAATTCTACAATAATAAAGTTTACCCACTTTGCTTCACAATACCTAATACAGATTTCAAATTTCAGGTCTTTTTTATACTTAAAGCCTGTCAATAAAAATTTAAGTAATTTGTCATTCAAAGTAAATTATCATAACACAGAATGAACTACGTGCGAGGTAAACATTATCCAAAGGCAATGGAGGGATCCGTATCAATTACGATGGATGAGCAAGGTATTACAAAAATAAAATTAATAAAATTAAGAGCATTATCCTCACAAAACCACCTGGGGAAGATTTCAAGCAAAAGCACCCTCTGTATTTGATAAGTTCATCCGATGTATGAATTTGACTAAACTCTTTATAATGATTCAAATGGAATTGATGAGACAGATGTGTCTCTGTCTTCCTGTGTTTGTTTTTGTTTCTGCAGAAAAAATACATGGAAGATTTATAAGACATTACAGTGTACTGTTTAAAGCAATGATAGGAGAGAGCAGGAGAATAGCATGGCCCCTACAAAAGCAACTGCTGACACATGTTCTAGTGGTCAGTTAGAAACATCAGATGTCAGCATCTTCCAAATAGTAACAGACAACGCCATTTAGGCTGTCATTTTCACTAAGGTACCTTGGAAGTTCTCACTACCAGGGTATGTATACCCAATACATTACAACTCCAACTTCTAACTTATTTTCATTTGCTTTGTGGCAATGTGCAGATCTGAGTATTTCTAATGAGGTGTTTTAAAAATAAATCACTTTGGTTGATAAATTATGTCAATTAGCTCTGAAATAAAACTCATATGCATGAACTTGCCTATCTTGCTGAACAAGCTCCCATCTTACTACACTAAGGACTGCAGAAAAGTGTTCATTTAGACTCAACATGTAAAACAAAAGAAATTTGACTATTCTGGAACTTTGAGTAAAAAGCTGACAGCCTTTTTTGACTGTTCAAAGTAACATCTTAAAATATTACAAGGTACATTCAAAAACTGTTTTTCTGCCAAACAATGAATTTAATATTGGATGTGGAGGCATTCACTAACTCCCTTCCTGCCCTCAAAATGTACTTAACTGATAACTACTGTGGATGTCACTAAATATGATTAGTAATACTACTTTTTTTTATTATTATTTTTTGATACTGAGTCTTGCTCTATCTGCCCAGGCTGGAGTGCAGTGGTGTGATGCTGACTCACTGCAACTCTGCCTCCTGGGTTCAAACAATTCTTGAGCCTCATCCACCCAAGTAGCTGGGATTACAGGCATGCACCACCAAGCACAGCTAATTTTTTTGTGTTTTTAGTAGAGATGGGGTTTCGCCATATTGCCCAGGCAGGTCTCAAACTCCTGGCCTCAAATGATCTGCCCACCTCAGCCTCCCAAAGTGCTAGGATTACAGGCGTGAGCCACTGCACCCGGCCAGTAAATAAAAGTTTTTTATTTTTTTAGACAGAGTCTCGCTCTGTCACCCAGGCTGGAGCGTAGTGGTGCAATTCTGGCTCACTCCACCTCCTGGGTTCAAGTGATCCTCATGCCACAGCCTCCCGAGTAGCTGAGACTACAGGCACGCCCCACCACGCCCAGATAATTTTTATATTTTTAGTAGAGAAGGGGTTTTGCCATGTTGGCCAGGTGGTCTCGAACTCCTGACCTTAGGTGATCCATGCACCTCACCTAATACAACTTTAAAACAAAATTTCCTCCTATTTCTCAAGTTTTCTGCACCCATATAATCAAATGCTGCCCTGAAACTACAAGACAAACTATTTAAAAAGCTATTAAAGTTCCACATTGTAATTTTTATCATGTTCTGACAAGAAAATAGTATTGATGCAGCAAAAAAGCTATTAGAATCTTCGTATCTTTGAAACTTTGAACTTTTTTAATTTTGCAAACAAAATATATAGAAATAAGTTTTAAGATGAAACCAAGTGAAGATTGAAACATAGATTTCCACCTTAAATTTAACGTACCAAATACAATAAACGTATATAACTGAACACTATTCTTACCTGTTTTATATATTGGGAGTCTGATTTCATGGGATAAAGGATTCTGTTACTAAGAAGATCTGAGAACTGCTGTATGCAAACGTGCAGAGTCAACTGGCACTATAGTCAGAAAAAGACATAGGCTTCCTTCTCTGCCATGTCCCAATGACGTACAGTGAGAATTTAATTGCCCAAAGTCTTAATTGCCTTACTAGATTATTAATATTTACTTTATCAGGTATTATGAGCATTCAATATAAATGATGTCTGTGAAGCCCAAGACTGGACAGAATAGGCACTCATTAGTTATTCTCTTCTTATATGGCCTTACATGTGTGTATTCACCTCAACATTAAATGAAAATAAGAGACAGAATGTATTAACTAGAATCATTTAAATTTCAATGTACAAATTCACAGAGCAAAACTGATTTCTGATTAGAATTCCTTTTGACATTTTTCATAATCTATGAACAAAAGAACTTACAGTAATATCTCAAAGTAACATAAAACTTAAAAGATATAAGCACTTTTTAAAAAAGAAAAAAAGATATAGATGTTGTTTTCCAAAAAGCACTATCAACAACAACCATAACAAAATGTCAGGAAACCATGTTATAATGAGACTATAGGAACATCTTGTAAATGCCAAAGAATACTGACAAATTATTTCCCAACTTTCCTTCTGGGCTCACAGTCCTATACAGATGAGCCTAGGGGAAGAAAAAAAAAACACCAACCAAAAAATCTAAAGACAAAAATTAAAACTGAAAGAACTGTTCCTCTGACAAATCAGAGTAGAAAGTTCAGGATTTAGGCAGAGTTTTCACACACTAATAACCAAAGACTAAAATGGAAAGGACTTTATTTTTGAAGGGAGTATGGGGGCTGGGAACCTTGGCACACCAAAATGTGAGATATCTAAAAGTGAACTGGTTTGCCAGAGTTTTTGTGGTTTGCTGTTTTCAGTGTCTCTCCTTTTGCCTTTCTGATCGACATCACCCTAGTCCTATCCCTCATTAACTCACATCTGGATTGCTACAATAACTTAACCTACTACCATTATACTAATTTTCCTGCAACTCTGCTATCTAACCATGTCACTTCTGACAAAAAAACTAAAATGGCTACCCTTCCTAACACATCTCAATTGGTCAGCTTCATATTCAAAGCCTTTCATGAAGTGATCATATCTTCCTATCTCTATTTTACACAAACCTACTTCTCAACACGATATTTTCTCAAACTGTCTCATTCTTGCCATCACAATAGCACTGATTTTGCATCCATATTTTGCTCATACTGTTATATCAACTTAAGATAACTTCTCTACTTCTGCTTTTCACCCATTCATTCGGTCATATAAGCATCTAATAAGTGCCTACTGTGTGTCTGGCATCAACTTAGTGCTAAGAATACAAACATGATTAAGATCTAGCTCTTGTCCCCAGGGAATGTAATGATAATTATGAGTCAGACATGTAAACAAATCGTTAGGACACAGTGTAGTAAGCACTGTAATATTGTGTACAGGGTACTATGGAAACACAATAGGCGTAGTGAGTCACTGCAAGAGAAAGTAAGACATGAGGAGAGCCTGGTCCAAGAGACTGCACAGTAGAAATAAAGTTTGAATTGAGTCTTAAAGGATGGCAAATGCAGGACAGAGGGACAGGGTAAAGGGGTAATTGCTTTTTTTTTTTTTTTCTTTTTTGAGATGGGGTCTTGCTATGTAGCCCAGGCTGGCCTTGAACTCCTGGGCTCAAGCAATCCTCCTGCCTCAGCCTCCTGAGTAGCTGGAACTATTGGTGCATGCCATACTACTTAAGATGAAAATGAAAATGCATGTCATGTTCCAGGAACTGCCAGAGATACAGCACAAATGGATTGCAAGGAGCAAGTGGGAAAGGCACATTCACAAGGACTTAAAAGTCTAGCTACATGATGAGGGGCCAAGGGTGATTTCTAAGCAGACAGTGAGTGGCATGATCAGATGTGAGGTTTCTAAAGGCTTGCTTTGAAAGGACTCTCCTTTCAAAATCAACAGAGCCCTCCCTACTATCACAATCCTCACGTTTCCTTCCTTGCTCCCCTTCCCACTTCAGGTACCAGAACAATAACAGCTGCCATCATGGAACATGTGATGTCCCCTACACAGTGCCAGAAACTTCCAACGTGTCATCTCATTTAATCTTTACAACATCTCTATAATCAAGGAACCTACAGTCAGAGAAATTAAATTTCTTACTCTGATGCACGTAGTTTGTAAGTGGTAAATGAAATCCAAACCTAACTAACTTCAGATTCTGTGGTTTCCTACGAATATGCCACACACGATCCCAGCCTGAACTGCACTCTCCTCACCCTCTCACTATTCCACGTTTGTGTCCCCTCTGTTTTACCTATCTTATAATTTGCTCCGAGACCCAGTTCAATGTCCTGAGTGGCCACAAATTAGTTGTGGACTTACACTGAGCAAGTCACTTACCTTGGCTAGTTCCTTCACTGAAATTAGGTGGCCACTCAGATCATTTCCATTATCTCCTGTCACACAATCTGGGTTAGTTATTTTTATTATTGGGCCAGAGTTTTGCTCCTGTTGCCCATACTGGAGTAGAATGGCATGATCTTGGCTTACTGCAACCTCCACCTCCTGGGTTCAAGCAATTCTCCTGCCTCAGCCTTCCATGTAGCTGGGATTACAGAGTTATTAATACAAACCACAAATGCTGGTATATAACAGGGCAAGTGGGCTTATCCAGTCTGGGATGCCAAGTTCCACCATGATGTAATGTATTAATAACCCATCCATCAATATGTATTCAGAACATCTCTCAAACCAGGAAGCTGAGCCTGAGTTAATAACAGCATCAACAATGAAGCTTCTCCCTTATCTCTGAGTAGGTTTCTTATTTTGCTAATACAGCCTCCTCAAAGCATGGATGTTCTGCCTGTGAAGACCTGAGCTAGAGGCCACTTCACTACCAGATGAGTCTAAGAAAATACACACGCACTAGGCTGCAGGGAACACAATAGAAGCAACTGCCTATGCATAACAAAAACAGAGCCTGTCATATCATAGTCATCTTGCAAGAAAATCTTCTGTGAGACGTTTTTTCCCAAGGGGAGAAAATTTTACATGTTATAAAACAGAACAACATATAGATATTACCTTCCTTGAAGAGCCCTTGCTGCTTTGATTGCAGCTGACAGGCTTTTCCTTTAAAATACATGTAAACATGTAGGTAGCTTTTTGTTGGTGGCTTTTTGTGAATTTTTTTCTACCCCATTAATCACCTTCTTTCATGCTCCAGGGAAACCAAGTAGGTGGGCAAAAATTCCTGGATGTTTTTGGGAAGGTACTCACACCCACACCCACAGACAGAAGAAATATTTCAAGTCTACATAAACAGTCTTAGGAGATAATTTGGGTAACAAGAAACATTAGTATAAGTAAAGACAAAATATTTACATATTGAGACATAAGAAGACATTACAGAAAAATGGGAACCGTGTATAAGAACTAAAAAACTTAAACCTGAATCCTTTAAGATGTGTTTTCACACACCAGACTCCCAAATCACCAAATCCATCATTCTTCATTTCAGTGAGTATTTGCTGGAGACAGAAAACAATATGAATCTCTATTATCAAATAACTGTCTAGAAGAAACAAAACCAGACTTAAATATACACCTGCCAAGCAAATTGAAATAACCATAGATGGGTCTTTATCACAAAAAGCAATGATTTCAAGAAGCAGACACATATAAAGATGTACAAAATGCAAAGCATTGTAAAATTCAGTCACCCTCAATATCCTTATGTTACAGGTATGAAATAGAACAACTGACCAAAAACTAGCATCCACTCAACTACACAAGTCAGCAGGCTTAAGATAAAATCCTTAAATTGCCTCTAAGTACACTTCCAAGAACTTACTACATTTAGAACAGAAATGAAGTAGCCAATAGAGACGAACTTTTAGAAAACTACATCATAGACAAAAAATAAATATGAAAGAGAACCTCTTTTTAGAAGGATCAAATATACTCAATGACATAAACTGATGGTTTATTTTTAAAAAGAGATGAAGTCTGCTATTATCTGTCAAACAAGAGCAAATCCTTCTAAAGAGGACTTCCAATTGTGATTCAATTCCTTATGCATTGAACTGCACATAAAAATATATAATATGTTTAGTTAGAGCACATAATATTTATGTAAGAAGGAAAAAAAGAACATCTCAATAGAGATTAAATGAGCATGATATATATGACATATATTTTCAACTTCCCAACCCTTCAGGCTTAGGCTACAGTTTGACAGCTGTCAAAAAAAAAAGTATGACAGAGTCTTGCTCTGTCACCCAGGCTGGAGTGGAGTGGTGTGATCTTGGCTCACTGTAACCTCCCCGGGCTCAAGCAATTCTCCTGCCTCAGCCTCCTGAGTAGCTGGGATTACAGGCGCCCACCATCATGCCCGGCTAATTTTTGTATTTTTAGTGGAGACGGGGTTTCACCATGCTGGCCAACCTGGTCTCAAACTCCTGACCCCAGGTAATCCACCCACCTCGGGCTCCCAAAATGCGGAGATTACAGGCGTAAGCCACGGCACCCGGCCAGCTGTCAAACTTTTAAAATAAATTTCTATATGGTTTGGGATAGTCAGGAAGTTTTCAGAGAGTCAGGCAACCTAGTGAAACGAGAGACTGGCCTGCCTCATGAAATCTGCTTACCCATCAAAGATAGCAAAGGGAGTGGTAAGGAATGAGGGCTGACCAAATAAAGTCCCTCACCACATCCAGAAAGCTGTGAAACAGACATCATTGTGCCTTTGAAATATAAACGAATATACCTTCCACTACTAAATACCTTTTCTTGGAGAGGGTACAGGAGAGAACAAGGTAAGAACACCAATCTGTGTTTCTCTGAATCTGTTTCCTTTTAGTTCTTGTGGGGAAACAACACTTTAGAAAGCTCAAGAATCTCAATACGGATTGCATTTTCCTTATCCTTACAGCTTTTTAACAGCCCAAGTAGGCCCTGAAAGCGCAGACTCTTTTATGAAGCTCACAGTCCTCAAAGCTTTGCACACAGGAGATGCTTAGTAAATGTATGTTTATTAATTCATGTGTTACAATTTTAAAGAAAAGAGAATTACTCATATAGTATACCTACCAACTAAAGTAAAATAAAGCATACACCTTCTGAGCAGAGTACAAACCCAGAAGCAGCTCTCTGTCCCATGAAGTACAAGTCTGCATACATAATCTCCTATTTCCAGGTTTTGGTGTTTATTGTGGTGTTTGTTGTTTTACAGGCTTAAAAACAGAAACGGTACATAGGGTGGTGGAGAAAGCTCTAGTCTAGAAATGGGAAACCTGATCTTAAGCAATTGCTATCTCCCTGGACCTCAGCTTCCTCACCTGTATAATGAGCGTGGTCGACTAAATGACTTCCAAGGTCTACGAGGTCCCTTTATGCCCCCTCATGGACTAGTTAAGTGCCAAACAGGTATTACTGGAGAAATTCAGGACAGATCAATGAATTGGTGAACGGGGGGATGGGGGGAGGAGGGTGGAAGAACTCTTCAAGGATGAAGATGGCTCAGGTCAGGCCTTGAAAGACAGTGGGACGTGACTGGTGGATAATAAACACACCAGATTTGGTAAGGTCATACAGGGAAGAAACAGAAACTGGGAGCAAGAGGAGCCCATATATGGCAAGCGTCAAGTATCAGAGAAAATGAAAAGGAAGCAGAGGGTGGATCGACCATGGGGTGGGTGCTGCACTGGCTGCTCTATGTTCACCATTCTATTTAAACCTTACAATCCCATAAGGGAAACACTATGGCTCACTTTTAATACCTGAGGAAATTATGGAACTTTATATCCAAGGAGGCCTGACACATGGCAGCAGGCAGCTGAAGCATGGCTGGCCTGAGATCCATCTGCCTCCACAGCCCATGCTCTAACCACTGCACCACACTGCCCTTTCAGCAGCACTGGGCAGCAGCAGAGGGGACTGGGCCAGTTCTACTCCATCTTTACTAAAGAAAGAGGACTGAAATATAAAAATATAAAAATGCCACTTGATTCTTATTCCATACACAAGACACTTTTTAATCCAACAGTAACTCTATAATCTCTCTCTTCCAAAAGGTGTCCCCAGCTACACCCTCAATTTTATTAAGCTCATGAAAAATAATCATCAATTGTATGCTTGCTTTGCACCAAACACCACATAAACACTATTAATGCCTTTATTTCTTTTTTTTTTCTTTTTTTTGAGACGGAGTCTCCCTCTGTTGCCCAGGCTGAAGTGCAGTGGTGTGATCTCAGTTCACTGCAATCTCTGCCTCCCAGGTTCAAGCGATTATCCTGCCTCAGCCTCCCGAGTAGCTGCAACTACAGGTGCACGACACCATGCCCATCTCATTTTTGTATTTTTAGTACAGATGGGGTTTCACCATGTTGGCCAGGATGGTCTCAATCTCTTGACCTTGTGATCTGCCCGCCTTGGCCTCTCAAGATGCTGGGATTACAGGCATGAGCCACTGCACCCGGCCTAATGCCTTTATTTCATTTAATCCTCACATCAATCCTATAAAGTAGGTTTTTTTTTTTACACAATAGGGTATATTTTTACCCTAACTTTTTTTACAAATGAGAAAACTGAGGCTTCAAGAGGCTAAATTAGTCACCCTAAGCAGGTATCAAGTTCATAGCTGAGTCAATCCCTAGTAAGTGGTTATAAACATCTATCGCCACATTTCACACACTAGGAAGAGAAATGATAAAGAAAGGATGTGTCCGGGCGCGGTGGCTCATACCTGTAATCCCAGCACTTCCGGAGGCCAAGGCAGGTGGATCACCTGAGGTCAGGAGTTCGAGACCAGCCTGGCCAACATGGTGAAACCCCGTCTCTGCTAAAAATACAAAAAATTAGCCAGGCGCGGTGGCAGGCACCTGTAATCCCAGCTACTCGGGAGGCTGAGGCAGGAGAATCGCTTGAACCCGGGAGGTGGAGGTTGCAGTGAGCCGAGATTGCGTCACTGCACTCCAGCCTAGGCAACAAGAGCGAAACTCCATCTCAAAAAAAAAAAAAAAAAGATGCACAAAGTTCTCACTAATCAAAGGAATAAGATGGCAGAAGAAAAGGCAACACAATAGAGCACCAAGAACAAGGAATCCTGATACCATGAGGAACCACTGGCTTCCTGGCCTGCTCCTCTTCAGTAGAAGAAGGGGTCAAGTGGGAAAAGCCCCTAAGGCTCTAAGGTGGCTGTGGTCCTAGAAGTCTATGAATAATCAATGGCTTCCCTCTTAATCAAAGCCAAATGCTCCACATTGAGTTTTGTAGTCTCCAAGCCAGGAACTGTGTCTAGCATAAAGTAGACACTAAAGAAATAAAATGTCCTGTTTTTCACCTAAGTAAACTTCAGGCTGAGAAGCGACCTTGCAATATACGGGGTGGGTTAATCTTGAAACCCTAAGCAATCAGTTCATTAAAATGTCAAAAGACCTTATTTACCCCTGCTTTCTTCTCAATATAACAGAATATCAGTATCCTAGGGGCTGTGTTATAGTATCGTTGCCATTAGAATACTGGAAATGACCCCAAAATTTAGGAAAGAGTAACAAGTGATACCAGTCCCCAGAAGTTAAGGTTACAGCCACGTTGTATAGAAGGCATTTTATTCTGAGGCAGAGCACAGTGTGATTCAGAGAACAGCCTCTATAACCAGACCCTAGAGTGCACAGCCTGAATCCTCACAAATAGCTGTGTGGCTTCTATGCCTCGGCTTCCTCCTCCGTAAACTGGGAGAGTGCTCCATCCGCACTGGGTTGTGCTGAGGATTAAATTAATCTAAGAAAAGCACTCAACACCATGCATAGCACATAGTAGTTAATAAATGTTAGCTATTAAGTGCTGATATTAATGATGCTAGCCTTACAAATGCACCTGAAAATCAATGACTTTAAAATGAAATTGGAGGTGGCAGAACTATTCAGAACAACAAATCAACCCACCTCAATAGGCAGTACTGCTTGTTGAGAGAACATTCTGCAAAACACTAGTGATGACACTTAGAAAATAAAAAGCAACATTTGAGCAAAGACTATAGATTTCACCTATCTTAACACTTTTTCCCAATAATAAAACCTATCTTTGGCCAGGAGCAGTGGCTCACACCTGTAATCCTAGCACTTTGGGAGGCCGAGGCGGGTGGATTGCCTGAGCTCAGGAGTTTGAGACCAGCCTGGGCAACATGGTAAAACCCCGTCTCTACTAAAATACAAAAAATTAGCCAGGCATGATGGTGTGCGCCTGTAATCCCAGCTACTCAAGAGGCTGAAGCACAAGAATCGTTTGAGCCCAGGAGATGGAGGTTGCAGTGAGCCAAGTTCGTGCCACTGCACTCCAGCCTGGGCAACAGAGCAAGACTCTGTCAAAAAAAAAAAACCAAAACTATCTTTCATTATGAATGTTTTGGATTATACAAGATCTTCACAAAATGTAAATGTTCTGATCAGATTCAGCCACCAATGCAGTCTAAGAACACCAATTCTCTCAGGAGAGCTGATGAGACTCAGAATCAGACCCTTACCATTCAAGCAACTATTATGTAACTCAATACTTTTCAAACAACCCATTAGTTTGAAATGAAAAAAAAAAACACACACAAAAAACAGATCCAGATGAGCATTTTTAAAAAAGAATTAGAAGTGAATAGAAAATATCAGAGTATGATACAGGAAATAATGGTTAGACTTGCTTTGATAAACCTGTTTCAGCTATATGTACTGACTAGGTGGCAATACAAAATATATTTCTTATAATGGCTATAGTCGAAAATATCTGGGGAAAATATGATCTATTAAATATGGACACGGAAACCAAGTTTTTCAGCAAACTTTTCAAGTTTTTACATTTAACGCACTGGAAAACCCTAACAAGGGATTTGATTTATAGCATTTTTGTCCCATAAATTCAAACAAATAAATTCAGAATGACGGATCTCTCCCTCCTTGGACAGGAAACAGAAGTACAGAGAACTCCAACCAACACTAGGAAGAACAGAGTAATCGTTGTTTACATCTCTTCCCTCATTTACCTGTGTTTGGATAAGGAAACCCACATACCCTTAAGACAATAATTCTTTAAGTTCCCATTCTCTATGCACATCAATCCTAGAGAACATTAGTGTAGCTTTTTTCAGTAAGGGAGAAGAAAATGGAAATAAAGGGTTTTATTTAACCCAAATAATTTGATGAACACTCTTAAGCATTATGACTGAATAGAACCTTCTTTATTCTCAAGTTGCTTATAATTTACTAAGTGATATATTATTATAAGACACACACCCAAAAACCCAAGCAGGCTGTGCTTAAGGTGAGGGAGAGGAAGGGACATGAGCAGGAGGGATAAAGAGATGAAAATGTAAGAAAAAGAAAGTTAAGTGGCTGAGCATGGTGGCTCACACCTGTAATCCCAGCACTTTGGAAGGCTGAGGCAGGCGGATTACCTGAGGTCAGGAGTTAAGAGACCAGCCTGGCCAACATGGTGAAACTCCACCTCTACTAAAAATATAAAAATTAGCTGGGCGTGGTGGCGCATGCCTGTAATCCCAGCTACTCGGGAGGCTGAAGCATGAGAACTGCTTGAACCCAGGAGGCAGAGGTTGCATTGAGCCGAGATCATGCCACTGCACTCAGCCTGGGCGACAGAGTGAGACTGTGTCAAAAAAAAAAGAAAAGAAAGAACAAAAGAAAGATAGATAGATTAGCCTTTTAGTATGACCAGAATATCAATTAGCAGAGTTTGGGAGAGATGGGAAGAGGAATGGAAAGTAGGGTAATTGTGAAAGACAGAACAGAAAGAAAAAGGGATGAGAACACAAAAATGGATAGGTAGCTAGCCAACACATGCAACAAAACAGGGGAAGCAGAAGTGATGGTTACTCTTGGATACGCAGTGCAGAGCACCTTGAGTTGCAATCAGGGGGCTGTATGTTTTGACAGGTAACAAAAGGAATGATTTTTTTATCAGATGAACAAGCAGAAACCAATGAAAGGAATGATTTTTTATCAGAGAAATAAGCAGAAACCAAGAATATGAACATAGCTTGTTTTCCTACTGTTACATTTATGGCTCTCCTGGAGAACACCCTGAAGATGGATCCCTGCACCTGTCTTCCCTTCATTAGACACACAAGGATACTGACCAGAAGACAGTCTGCTCTCTCAGACACAAGATCCCTGTGATAACTTGGTTTGAAATTTCTGCCAGGCTTCAGTTAGAACTCAGAAATGCATAGCCTCGGGATATTTCTGGCTCCTCTCCCATGGCTCTCTAGTTAAAGCCAAAGAAAAGTGTAACTTCCTCTGGGTGTCTACAGGTTCTTCTAAGCAACCATTCCAGGAAGGAAAAAAGGCTGATTCCCCTTGGGAAGAGCAGCATAGGCACTCCAACTCAATAATCCCAGAGACTCAGTAAGTGTTCCAGTTATCTACTGCTGCACAACAAGCTACTCCAAAGCTCAGTGGCTTAAAACAACCACCATTTTTATCTCATGATTTTGAGAGTCAAGAATTTGGGAAGGGTTCAGCTGGATGATTCGTGTACTCCACACGGTATTGACTGAAGTCACACAGTGGTACTCAGCTGCCAGGTGGGCTCATCTGCCTGGTGCCTTGATGGGGATGGAGGAAAGGCTGGACAGAGCTAGGAATGCTCACCAGAAATGCCTGCTCATGTCCTGTCAAATATGGTGGTCTCAGGATAGTTGAACTTCTAGAAGGCAGTTCAGGATCCAAAAGGCAGGTGGAAGCTGCCCATCCTCTCAAAGGCTAAGCCTAGAACTGCCATATCATCACACATACTGTCCCATATTGGTTAAAGCAGTCACAGCCCAGTCCACACACAAAAGGAGGAGTGTCAAAGCATCTGTGGTCATCTTTAATCCATCATAACAATCAAAATCAGAGTTGCATCCTAGACAGCTGTGACTTATTAACTATTGAATATTGAAAAGTAAACACCTCAGATAAAAAAATAATTTGAAAGGAGAAGAGGAAAGGTAATTCTCAGAGGAACAGATATTCTCATAACCTGCTAACTCAGAATTTAGGACTGTAACATCTAAAGGCCTTAAAAATATCCACGTCTTTTAATTCAGTAATTCTTTTTTTTTTTTTTTTTTTTGAGATGGAGTTTCACTCCTGTTGCCCAGGCTGGAATGCAACAGCACGATCTTGGCTCATTGCAACCTCCACCTCCCAGGTTCAAGCGATTCTCCTGCCTCAGCCTCCCAGGTACCTGAGATAACAGGCATGCACCACCAGACTCAGCTAATTTTGTATTTTTAGTAGAGACGGGGTTTCACCATGTTGGTCAGGCTGGTCTCGAACTCCTGACCTCATGTGATCCACCAGCCTCAGCCTCCCAAAGTGCTGGGATTACAGGCGTGAGCCACCGAGCCTGGCCCAGTGATTCTATCTTTAAGAATCTGAGAGGCCAGGCACGGTGGCTCACGCCTGTAATCCCAGCACTTTGGGAGGCCGAGGCGGGCAGATCACGAGGTCAGGAGATCGAGACCATCCTGGCTAACGTGGTGAAACCCCTTCTCTACTAAAAATACAAAAAAATTAGCCAGGCATGGTAGCGGGTGCCTGTAGTCCCAGCTACTTGGGAGGCTGAGGCAGGAGAATGGCGTGAACCTGGGAGGTGGCGCTTGCAGTGAGCCGAGATCACGCCACTGCATTCCAGCCTGGGCGAGAGTGAGACTCTGTCTCAAAAAAAAAAAAAAAAAAAAGAATCTGAGAAAACAAGCAGAAACATTGATAAAGTGAGGTAAATATATCAAAGAACTATTACAACAGTCACAATGTAGAAGTAATTTCTAATAAGAGATAGGGTTAAATAGAGACAACACTATCTTTCAAAAGATGACTAAACAACATAATAAAAGCTCACATGGAGAGTACACAATATAACCAACACCAACTTTGAAATCTGATTGATAAAGGTCAACTGGCAGATAACACTACCTTGAGTGGGAACGACATCTTTAGCACATAAGATTCTAAGTGTATTATGCAAGGAGACTGAATTTGAAAAAAATAATGCACGGAAACACATGTGAAATGGTATCTACTACAGATTTGATTTACTATTGATGCTGCCCAAACTATTCCTATTATGCCCAGTTTAAAAAATAAAGAACACAATTGACACAAAGGAAGAAAATCCAGAATGATTTTTTTTTTTTGTTTTAGTTTGGTGAGAATGGGAGAGTATGGTATTTAAGGAGATAAGAAAACAGACACTTTTGGCTTGGCATGGTGGCTCACGCCTGTCATCCCAGCACTCTCAGAGGCCAAGGCAGGTGGATCACTTGGGGTCAGGAGTTTCAGACCAGCCTGGCCAACATGGTGAAACCCCGTCTCTACTAAAATTACAAAAATGAGCTGGGCATGGTGGCACATGCCTGTAATCCCAGCTACACGGGAGGCTGAGGCAGGAGAATTGCTTGAACCCGGGAAGCGGAGGTTGCAGTGAGCTGAGATCACACCACTGCACTTCAGCCTGGGCGACAGAGCTAAACTCCGTCTCAAAAACAAAAAAAAAAAACAAAAAAACCTTAAATTCAAAATTGGAGAAAATAGTTACAAGAAAATAAATCAAGAATATGGTATTGACACAACCTCTGTAGATAAACTTAAAAAATTAGATTTCTTTTACCACAATTATACAATTTTTTAAAAAGACTTCTGCCACAACTTATTCTAATACTGTAATTACAATCAGACCAGTATTAAAGTCTTTCCATTTCTGTATGTCTTCTCTACACCTGGGGATGCTATAGATGGCATTTTACCAAGAAAAATATTAAGATGATTCTGCTGAGAACTATTTAAAGAGCAGTTGTATACAACAAATATGAAGATTTAGTAAGAAAACTTGGAGAATTTGCTCCAAATTTAGTTTCTTCTATAAGAGTGGGAAAGTAGACTAGAAATATCAGCAAACATTTCTGGAGTACACATTAGATGCAAAGAACTATATTAATAATAAAGACAGGAAGAAATTCAAGATGTAGTCCCTGCCATCATATCTCCAGTTGGTGAGACAATATATATACCACAATGTTAATACTAGGTAACAACTTGGCTAAGAATCTGAATAGGAGGAAGTGATACCTGGTATTTTCGAGAGGGCTTTGGCTTCCTGTGTACAACAGAGCGGAAGGGAGAGAGAATATAGGGGCAGAAGACTATTTAAAAGACACGTGTGAGGATGAGGTGCTGTAAAGTGAAGATTTTCAAGCCCAACAGACACTCATGTCCCCAATACTATAACAAATATTTTAAAATGCTTCTCCTTTACCATCCCAAAATAAAACTCATAAATTATATAATCTACAACATATATAACTTACAAGTGGGGTGGGTGGTGTACATGTGTGTAGCTCTAACTATAACATAAAGCAGAAGTTAAAAGGAAATACACGCCTTTTAATAGGTAATAGCTCAGGGATTACTATACTAGAATGTATAACAAAGCTATCAGACATTTGTACTTATTTATAACAAGTTTATACTTTTAAAAACAGAATTGGATGTCATTCTGTACAAGGCATACAGGAAATGAAAGGATAGAGCTATAGGTGGACACTGCAATAAAAATCATTGTTGGGAAACGTAGCACCAGCAGATTTACCTGTATGTTTTAAGATAAAGAGGACATTTTAACTAAGTAGGTATAACAGGTCAGAACAAATTACACTGAGGGACAATGACGTATCTCTGCCAACTTTATCAGCATGTTTCCTTGTAAAATGTTCACTTACTCTTAGTGATTTCATTGTTCCGTAAGAAGAAACAAGGTAGACACAGTAATAGCTATTCACATTTAGGAAAAGATGGTTGAAAGCAAATTTCAAAATTTCAGCTACTATCAACACTTTTATTTACATTTGATATTTTAGAAAAAAAGAGGCTAAGAATATACAAATTGGTACACAGATTCACTCTGATTGCTAGAAAAGCAGACTGATTTACATATGTGTTGTATGGGCAACTTGAATATCATGAGAGGCAGCGTTGGCAGAGATGGGGCCTTCCGAATTGGTGAACTAACTCTCGGTAAGCTAAAAAAATATTTATATACATGGTGGTTGTATTCATGGGAAATTACATATAATAAAGTTATGAAAAAAACTGTTTATGTGTAAAGACAAAGTTATGTTCTAGGCTCAGGTATTTATAATCAGGTTTTTTAATAGCACAAATGTCCCGTGAGAAATCCAAAAGTTAGGCAGGATTTGGGCAATTCTTTGTTGTATGGGACTGTCTCCCATCCCCTCCAATTCCCCACAATCCCCTCCTGTCCACTAAATACCCCTACGGGGACAGTACCACACTCATTTGAGAACTACTTCTGTAGTGTTTACAGACAAATTACACATGGGTCTATCTATCCCCAAAACTTAAAAGACTCATATCTATCACATTTTACAAGACAACATTTTAACAAGGTCCCATACATTCAACACTCTTTGTTCCAAGTCTTTTAAATGCAATCCTTTCTCAGATGATAAATAAGGTTTCAGAGGGCGTTAGACAGTTTTGAAGAGAAAGAGACAAAAGAGCTTAAAATGCATGATCCACAGAATTGATATAAAAATATAAAGACTGACCTAAAATATCTCAGAAGCTTGAGAAATTTATCACACTCTGTAATTGAGTGATTTAGTTATGAAGAACAAAACAAAACCCAAGTCCCTCTATCAATGCTTCCTTGAGTTACCACTGGTTCAGTTTGCTTTGTTTTTTAGGGAAATACATGTATTAATCAAATCTCCAGTGAATTTTATGAATAGAAATGTTTCCATTTTCCAGATTACCACTTATTGCATCAAACAGTATGAACAGCAACTAATTTGGTAGCTAATTTTACCAAAAAGGTGAATAATATCTGTATACTACCTAATTTGATATTTTAGAGCTATTTTAATTAACTGAAACCTGTACCCAAAACATTTCTTAAAATGGCCTTACAGCAAAAGAAGTTGAAAACTAAGCTGAAAGAAACTGTTAGTATCATACCTCTTTACAAAAAAAGTGAGGTAGCTTACAGAAATAAATATTATGCAACAGAATTAAGAATGGCCTTCATAATTATAAAAGAGATAAACTTTAAAACATATCTCACCTATCAAATTAGCAGAGCTTTATAAAGGCATAATATTTAAGGGGAATTTTTTTAAATGTATTCTGTATATTGTTCTAATCAACAGAGAAAAAAGTAAAAGAGTTAAGGCTTGGTAAGGAGAAACAAAACTGTCATTATTACAGATGATGACTACCTACATATAAACCCAATAGAAGCTAAAGACAAATTATTAGAATAAAACAATTAAGCAAGTGGTTATAAGGTCAACACACACAAAAAAAGTTTTATTTTTATATACCAGTGACAAAAGAGTTAGAAAGTGTAATTCAGAAAAAATTATAATAGCAATAAAAAATAAAATGTATCTAGGAATAAATCCATCAGGAAAAGAGCAAGGCTCATGAGGAGAAAACTATTAAATATTATTGGAGTTAAACAGAGAAGATATAAATTATACCATGTTCATGGAGAAAAAAATCAATAATAAAGATGTCAATTCAATCCAAATGGATACACAAACTCAATGCAACTTCAATCGAGATGCAAACAGCTTACTGAGGAACTTGACAACCTGATTCTAAATTTTACATGGATAAGCACAGGCCTAAACATAGCTAAGATATTTCTAAAATAGAAGAATAAGTTGGAAAGGAAATTGTCCTAGCAGATAAAGACAATGCACATGAATCGACTCCAGATAAACTTAAATGTAGAAAGGCAAAACTTCAGAAGATCCTTAAAAGAAAATATAAGGAAAGACTTCTTACATAAGACTCAAAAGGGCTAACAGAAAAAGTACCCACAAATGTGATCGCATTAAAATTAAGACATTTTGTTCAAAAGATATCACAGAAAAAATGTAAAAGACAAATTATACACTGGACACACTGGAAGATAAGGAAAACACATAACTGACAAAGGATTAGTATAAAGAATATATGAAGAATTCTACAAATCAATAAGGGAAAGAAAACATGATGAGACATTTTGCGGAGAGGAAATATGAAAGACCAATAAACACATGAAAAGATACTCTCCTTTATAAATAAAACCACTAAGATACAATTTTATACCACCAAATGATCAAAATTTGAGAATTCTCACAATACCCAATGTGGATCAACAGGCCTATTAACACTGCTAGTTGAGCATCTAAACTAGCACGATCACTCTGGGAAACAATTTGCATTATTTTATAACATTGAAAAACTCATGTATTATGACCCAGCAACCCAGGTAGAGAGAATCTCACACATAGGCATCAGGAGACATGTGTGAGAATGCCCATAGAAGCGTTCTATTCGTAAAACAACAACAACAACAAAAAATCCATCAGCAGGATAATCAAAAGCTTAGGTGTAGTATAATCTTAACTAGACAGGAATGCAAATGAATGAACTACAGCTACACTTCAAAAATATACTGAACTTTTTTTTCAATTGGCAAGTTGCCAATTACCACATATAGAATACCATTTTTACAAAGCTCAAAAACAAACAATACATTGTTTAGGAATTACAAAACTATTTTCTTTTAAAAGCAAAAGACTAAAACATAAAATCCATGGTAGTAGATACCTGGGGTGAGGAAAATTGGAAGAAATGTCCCTAGAGTTACTAATCTACTTCATATGGAAACTTTTATTTCTACTCCATATTTATGTGCACTAAAACAGAATACTTGGCTGCATAAACAATTATCTATTTTACCTTGTATTGACTTGCAAGTACAAAACAATAATTCATACTAATCAACTGGCCATATACATTTAAAACAAAAAAAGCCAAAAAAAAAAAACCTACTGAGAAGATTCTAGTTGTTACTGGTGAGCACTTGGTAATTATTAGCCTAGGTGACAACAGAATTTCCTCTCTGAGAAATAATCCCTGGGTTCACTGGAAATCAGTATTAAGAATGTACAAGGGAAGTATTACATTTTAATAACCTTCAAATGACAAGAAGAAGGCTTTAGTGGATCTTTTTTTTTTTTTAAGCATTGAGACACCAACTTCATGACACTTTACAATTAATATAACAGAAACGTTTAAAAGTCTCAGTGTGAGAAAATCTGCTACCCTAAAAAAAGAAAGGTATTTAACTTGGCATTGTGGATCCTGGAAAGGAAGACAACGCTTCTTAAAAAGAAACAATTTTGTGGTTGGTTTCAGTTATTTTCCAGTTCTTAAAGGAAAGTTCAACAGAACAGACAGGTCTTCTATTACTACTGTCCACAAAAGGGGGATGTCTTAAATCTTGAGGAAATAGCTCCGTGGCCTTTCTCCAATGATTAGTGAACACAGCTCTTCCAAACACCCTTCCAAAGCCATGGCCTGGATATATTTTTTTAATTTAGTCCTAGGTTTCTCTGTCAGTTTAGAATTGAATCTTCTGATTCATCAAAAGAGCCAAAGAATATTTAAATGCCTATCGTTTTACGAGTCAAGTACCCAGCTCTAAGTTACTGACCTAATGGTTTAAAACACGGTTCCCACGCTGGGTGCATATGAAAATAAATAAACATAAAAAAGATTCCCAAAGAAGATGGTATGCTCAAGTGACCAATGAGTGATACAGTAAGCACTGCTGTGTCACACTTCTAAGATGTGGGGAAGAATTTATAGAGAAGGCATTTTTCTTCCAAAAGAAACTAGGACAGTAAAGCCCAGAGGACAACATGATGTATTTTGGGCAAAGGACTCTGCACAAATAAAGAGAATGAGTTTGACTTTAAAAAAATAAAAAAGAAAGATGTCAATTCAAGGAGACTGTAATCTTTTAGAAAGCAAAAACCAAGCTGACAGAACACAACAGGCAAAAGCAATCATTTATAACCATTTACACAGTCATCCTCAAAACTGAGTGACTAAAGATTCCTAGACACTGATTTACTAAGGATTAAAAAAAACTGGACAGAAAGTTAGTTGTGATAAGCAGGTAGGTAAACAGATAAAGAGCAGACAAGAAGGACACAGACATCGCCAAAATTATCTGCTTCTGAAAACAAGAACAACAGAATAACTTTCAATTCAAAATGTATCTCAAATGAAATGGCTTTAACATAGCCAGGTTTCTCACAAAACTATGCATGGTAGTAATGTCATTAAAAATGACATTGCCTTTCTAAAATGATTTTTAAAAGGCAACACCTTTTTACAAAAATCAATGAAGCAACAACAAAAATTGAACGGATGTCCCTAGAGGAATAGAAATACTTTTCTAATAGGTCACTTTTTATCAGAATTCAACCCTATTTCTTTTCTTCTTTTAAACATTTATGTAATGCCCTATCTGTAGTTCTAAATATTGTTACCATAATTTCATAATCCATTCACTCAAATTGTTAGAACATGTCAAAATTCACCCTTTCAATGAAATGAAATTTCCTATTAAACTTTATCTGCTTATTTAGATAACCAATTTACCAGATGCCTATTGTTCACATTTTTATATAGTCTTCAGTAGTTTTATCACTATCTGTAAAAGTGATATAACTTACGTAATCAAATGTGATATAAGTCCATAATCCTTCATCTGTGATTCTCAATTCAAAAAGCCCTAAACAGCAGGAGATTTTCATAATGTGTGACAACAATACATGACCTAGTGTGAGGCTATGATAGCCTTTCATCAGTCTGTTTCGTACGAATACATTTTACTGCAGATATATTCAATTGCTTGGAGATGGGGGTCCTGCTGAGGGTGTTATGTAACATACACCCATCTTCCTAAATCTACTAGATCATAAGCACCCCACTCTAAGTTGGACACCTAATTAATGGTTAAAACATGATTCACAGCTGCCTTCAATGAACTCGCAATGAAGAAAAAGATAAATATACATTTAAGAAGATTCCACAACAAAACTGTATATGTTCAAGCCACAAAAAGCACTGATTTATCACTTCTGGAACTCTCATTCCTAAAAGACATCTGGATTTTAAAACAGCTCTGATTGGTCTGTCACAGCTGAAGGTAAACACCATCAGCATCGTCAAGTGAATTCAGACAATGCCCATGTGGGATGTGCTCCTCCGAGGCAGATAGACATAGAGCCCATCAGTGTAAGTACACAACACCAAGAAGGTACAGTGGGATCTCAGTGCCAGGAGAGGGCTGGGGGTGTGAAAATGGAAAAGGTCAAAGAATAAACCAATTCTGTAAAGTCAGGGAGTGAAGGCTGTGCACTAAGAGCAGAATGAGTACACACCCTTTCTTCAGAGGCTCTTTTACTGAAAAGCTAAAGTTGTGAGGATCCACAGTGAGCGTGGTCCCTATTTTTCTATATCCACTCCCTACAACTGCCAGCCACAGAATGGGAACCTCTGAAGACTCTCCAGAAAGACCAGAACTTGGGAGAAACCAGACTCTTCAGCACAGGAGTTGGCATGGCAGAGCTGTCTGCCAAAAATCTGTTCTCTCCCCACCAACCCATCCATCACTGTAATAGATCTGTGGCCAGGCACAAGACCACCCAGCTAGACCCCATTTTCCAGCCTCTACTGTGTTTATGAGGTGGCCAAGTGACTAAGCTCTCTCTGGTGGCAGATAATACACTTTCAGGTGTTATGGCACTTTGGGGAGGTAAGATTTTCAAGTGTTAAGATTTAGGCACACACTCCTCAATATCTTCCCAATTGGAAAGCACAGGGGCCTATCACCCAGCCTCAACCAGGCACATAAGAATGATACCCTAAAGGATCCCAGATTATTTCCAGGAAACACTCATGAGTCCCTGAATGTCAGCGTGGAGAACTACCCTGCTGTCCTGAACCACTGACCTCAGAATTACCACCTGAAGGAGAAACAAACTTCAATGATTTAAAACTGGGTTTTTATTTACTTTATTACTTTATACTGGGGCTCTTTGATACAGTGACTTACTCTTCATCTAACAATGCTGGTGAGGAAACTATACCATGTACTAGCCATCCTATTCTGCCTGATCAATTTTAAAAACCCTATCTACAAGGCAAATTCCATCATGGGAAAACCTAAACAAAATTGCTGTTTCTTGCACTCATCTGCATTCTGTGTCCATAGCCTCAAAGAAATAGAAATTCACTCATTCAGCAAACTTTTTTGAACCCCTACTACCATATAAAAGGTATTATGCCGTACACTAGGGGCATAAAAGTCAGTGGGGTGGTGGAGGGGAAGCCAATGAAATCCTCCCTAGGTCAGGTCCTTTGTACTGCATGCTTTTTTACCCAGAACTTAAGCTCTAGGTCTTCTCTGCCCTGTCTCCGGTACTATGCAGTACCTTTTGTGTAACAGGTGCTTAATAAATCTTTGTAAATGAATGAATTAAGAAATCTATGGATTCGTCTTGTCTTTGATGAACTCAGCTAATGGGGGAAAGAGAGAAAACAATACAATATAGCACCCCTCACATCCTAGGTATGCAATATGCTTACTGGATTTTAGAAGTGAGTGGACGTATAAACATCAAATGACATAAAGGCAAGTGCTCTGGAGGGAACAGAGGAATTAGAAATTAGCAAAATCTTCTTGGAGGAGTTGAAATTTGTCAGGAGTTTTAAAGATGATTAGGAAGTAGCCAAAGGAAAAAACAGAAAAGTAAAGAGTCAAGAAAAAAATGTAGTAGTACCCACACGGTGGGAGCATGTTTACTATGAACAGTTTACCATGACTGAAATTAAAGGCAGGGGAATAAGATGCACAGAACTTGTACTCCTTTGAATACTATCACTTCCATTAATTAAGCCTGACACAGTACTCTTTTCTGTAGCATTTGCATCACCCCACTTGCTTAATATAAATTGCTATGAAACCAGAGCTCCCCCTTCTTTGACTTCCAGATTTAATTTTCATTTTTAAATCTAAAATCAGGATTTATTTGACTATTTCTGGTAAGTCATTTATCACATAAACAAGGAATCCCAAGGTCATAAGGAATCTTCACGGTCACCAGATCAACATTCTGGGAAGCATTTATTTTGATCTTCTATAGTCATATCTCCTTTGCAATCACATGGAATTTCTATCCTTCTCTCACGGCACTTCATGTTTTGTCTCAGAGAAAATTTGTTGATACACACATTCTTACTCTCCCACTGGACTGCATGCTCTTTAAGTGCAACCTACATTCTTCTTTATCTCATATTCCTCCAGTGCTCAATCATCAAAAGCTCTGCATAAAATCATCTTTTAATCCAATTCTGTCAGCTCTAGCAGCCTCTGTCAAGTCCCACCTATGTGCTCACCCCGGGTTACAGCCTCAGGGTTACCTTCAGTCAAGATGAGCTGCTCCAGCCTTTCTCCTGAAACCCAGTCAAGCCACAGGCAGAGCCTCTCTCCTCTTTTTAACACTAATGATGCCACATTATATCCTTTTTTTTCCCTCCACTTCTATTTTACGAAGATTTAATACCCTGATTTTTAAAAAATGGAACAAGTTCCAAATAAACAAACCAACTTGTTTGTAAGCTATGGAATATCTGTATTTCAGAAATTGTCAGATTTCCCAGCAGATGTTTGAAGCCTAGAATCATCAATAGCCTTTCCTGTCCCATCTTTTGTTCCTCTGACAAAGTTACTGTGCTTCCTTGAGACTTCCTGTTTGAATAACCACACACTTGGGTGTTCAAACTCCCATGTGTCCATTATTCACCATAAAAGGGACCTGAGGAAGTAACCAGGCAGTTGAACACAAAATGATGTATGAACAAAAACAGCTGTGTGTTAGCGGGAGGCACAAAAAGACAGCAGGGATCCAGGCAATGCTGTGAATTTCAAACACAAGTTCTCTTCAGTCAGGCATGGTTAAAAGGCTGCTGACTCAGAGCATCAGTTGCCCATTTCATAATTGAAAACCACTAGAGATGTGAAGAAGTCCGAATCTAGTTACATTCAGAGTCTCACCTCCAACACCACCCTCACCAACAGTCTCCCTCGAGGGAACAAAGCAGCCTCTCCTCTCACAGAAATGTCAATACCCACTCAAAGGTTTTTACCAAAAATTTAATACCTATTCTATTTCCCAATCCAAAAAGCAGATACCTACCTTTCCCCAGGGGTTCTAAAAGTAAAAACAGAGGAAAGCACAGATAGAGACAGACACAGCAGAACACATGAAAGACAGCACAGAAAACAAATCTGTACTACAAACATCTGGGAAGTATGTTAATTCCAGAATCAGTGTCCATCTTGAAATGGTCTGGATTCACCATTGACGTCTGTGCCAGGACATAAAAGCTCTAAAGTGGACATATGTTTAAAACCCAAACCTGATTAGAATGCCTACAAAACTGAATGATCCTGAAGTCTACCCAGGAGTTGATGCTATTTCAGGGCGTATGGCAAAAATGCTGAAAACAATAATAAACAACCCAGCAAGAGCCTCTAAAGCAATCCTGATAATAAACAAATTTTATTACAGCTGCATTACAGATGTTCCCACAAATGCTCATAATTTGTAGAATTCTAAGAATTTATAGTCTCCAATAGACTTTCTATCCCATGAACTTATCTAAAATACCACAAATTCAAAACTATGTATGGACTGCTCCGAAAGTTAATCCAAGACACTGAAGGCCACTGATCACGACCCTTTACCCAAGAAGGGGCAATCACATGACCAAAGCAATTCAAGTACACAATTGCTCTTTTGGTTTCTAACCCTCCCCCGACCCCACCACAATCTTTATCCTTAGTCCCTTGTTTATTCCCACCTCCAAAAGAACACAATTTCAATGAAAATTCCGGCATGCTCAGCTCTATCAGATCATGATCCAGAATTTTTTTAGAAAAAATTCTTTAAACTTAGTGGCATCAAAACAGATGATGTCACCAGCACCATCATAATAGGGGTATGATGGATGGGAACCACTGAAGAATGGTAGCACAGATGCACGAGTCTACAGGTAAAACTGCTCACCCAAGGCAACTACGCCTACCTTAAATTATTTGGTAAGAGATTAAATAAATTAAACCAGGACCTATCCCTAAAACTTTTTTTCTTTTTTTTTTATAGCTTAAATTTTCAACTCCAAAATTTTATGATTTTATTATTCTAGTTAGCCAAATATTTTTCAGAGTCCACGGATGTCTCTGTGGACATTCCAGAAAACTAAGAGTCTATTAAACTCCAAATCTTGATCTAACCATTTTACACTGTCAAATTATTTATTCCTTACAGTTTTTGATAATAAAATGGTCGAGGATTTTGAGAACATGTGGGCAGCAGATTCCTGCCTCTAATTGGGATTCGTGATGCCAGGGCAGGAAAATATCACTTCCCAGTCCCTGCCAGTGAAAACTCAAAAAAAGCTGTTCAGCTCATTTCATCATGCTGTCACTACCCTCTTTCTAAAAACTGCAAAACTCTTTTCTTGGAAATCATTATCCCTTCATTCTCTCTGAAGAAAGTTGATGGAAAAGTCCTGAGAAAACATTTATGCATTTATAGTTTACCAACTGACCAAAAACAAAACAAAACAAAAAACAGCAGAGAGAAGGGAGGACACTGAGGACATTTTAAGCCCAACACTCAGCCCTCCGGTGTAGCACAGGGTGCCACCCACTCTCCCTGTAAGAAAGGAAACTGAGCAAGGGCATTTAAAAATCATCTGTGGGCCAGGAGCAGTGGCTCACGCCTGTAACCCCAGGACTTTAGGTGGGTGACTCACCTGAGGTCAGGAGTTCGAGACCAGCCTGGCCAACATGGTAGAACCCCATCTTTATTAAAAATACAAAAATTAGCCAGGCATGGTGGCCCACGCGTGTAGTCCCAGCTACTCAGGAGGCTAAGGCAGGACAATTGCTTGAACCTGGGAGGCGGAGGTTGCAGTGAGCTGAGATCACACCACTGCACTCCAGCCTGGGCAACAGAGCAAGACTCTGTCTCAAAAAAAAAAAAAAAATACATACAATGTATACTAAACAGGTCTGTAAAGAAAGCAGAAAAGGCAGGGCAGTGATTCAGTAATACTTAGTATATTTAATCAGCCAACTTCAAACCTGTGAAGTTCTACTATAATAAGAGTTTTGACTTTTTTTAAAAAGGGGATAGGGCATGAGGGAGAAAAAAACAATCCTAGAATTTTAAGTTCTAGAAGTAGTGGTAGAGTGTGGTGGGCAAGCAAAAGAAAACACATTGTAAATACATGTCCTAATGGGAACGATGATCCCTTTCTTCAAAAATAAAGCCAAAAAAAATTAAGGTATCTAAGAGTCCTCTGATTGAACCTTAGCTCGGCAACACTCTGGGGAAACTAAAGAGAAAAGGAGGGAGGCAGAAAGAGAGAGAGGAAGAGGTAAAGAGAGACTTACAGATTTGCAAATTCACATACACAGACATCAAAGTGAATAGTATCACTTCTGAACCTGAATAATGTTAATACTGACAAAGAAAGCTCCTGGGACTACAGTAGCTAGCTATTCATCAATTAACAAAAGGTGGGTTAGACCTATTCAGTTAGCAAACTTTAACAACAAAACATACCATGTAAGGGTTAGAATTTACTTGGAGCAGAGAAGGAAAGAACTAGAATGTGAAGACAGACCAGGCAGCCTTATCTTTAATAATGTCAGATAAAGTAAGCAAGTGAACTAACTCAGCAATTCTCAACAACCAGAAAGAAGTCATGGATAAGGCAGAAAGGAGATAAGATGGTGGCATTCCCTGTATAAATGAAGCCACTGATCATCCCTCAGGAAATGAGGTAGGGTACACTTTTCCTGTCAGACACTGACAAAATCCAGGACCTCATCCTGAAATTCAATAAATTCCTTAGAAATTCCTAGAACCATTAACAACTGAATATCATGCAACTAGTTCAAGTACCCAAAACCTACAAGTCTTCCACTGAAAACAATCCTTTGGGGCCAGGTGCGGTGGCTCACGCCTGTAATCCCAGCACTTTGGGAGGCCAAGGCAGATGGATCACCTGAGGTCAGGAGTTCGAGGCCAGCCTGACCAACATGGCAAAACCCCATCTCTACTAAAAATACAAAAATTAGCCGGGCGTGGTGGTGGGTGCCTGTAATTCCAGCTACTCAGGAGGCTGAGACAGAAGAATTGCTTGAACCCAGGAGGTAGAGGTTGCAGTGAGCCAAGATCGTGCCACTGCACTCCAGCCTGGGCGACAAGAGTGAAACACCATCTAAAAAACAAAACAAAACAAAACAAAAAAAGAAAACAATCCTTTGTTCTTCACAAATAAGCGTAATGTGTTTTTTACAGAGGATCCAGTTAAAAGAATTCATTCAGCTGTGCGCAGTGGCTCACGTCTGTAATCTCAGCACTTTGGGAAGCCGAGGCGGGCGGATCACTTGAGGTCGGAGCCTGGCCAACATGGTGAACTCCCATCTCTACTAAAAATACAAAAATTAGCTGGGTGTGGTGGCACATGCCTGTAATCGCAGCTACTTGGGAGGCTGAGGCAGGAGAATCGCTTGAACCCAGGAGGCAGAGGTAGCAGTGTGCCGAGATCACGCCATTGCACTCCAGCCTGGGTGACAGAGCGAAACTCTTGTCTCAAAAAAAAAAAAAAAAAAAAAAAGACTGGCGTGGTGGCTCACGCCAGTAATCCCAGCACTTTGGGAGGCCAAGGCAGATGGCTCACCTAGTCAGGAGTTTGAGCCCAGCCTGGCTAACATGGCGAAACCCCATCTCTACTAAAAAATCCAAAAATCAGCTGGGCACAGTGGCAAGTGCCTGTAATCCCAGCTACTCGGGAGGCTGAGGCAGAAGAATCACTTGAAGCCGGGAGGCGGAAGTTGCAGTGAGCCAAGATTGCGCCATTGTACTCCAGCCTGGGAGATAGAGCAAGACGCTGTCTTAAAAAAAAAAAAAAAAAAAAGAATTCATTCAAGCACAAAGTGTGAGGGTAGTTTTCCAGGAAACATGGACACTGAAGAATGGTGGTCAGCACTCCCCAGCATTGGGAAAGGTGAGAATCATTTATATAGGAAAAATAGGGGAGTGGAACAGGATTACAACATTTTCTGCATAAGGCTAACATAGAGATACAAGATTTGATTGGTTACTATTATACTCTAAGGGGGTTGCTTAACACTCCATTGTAAAGCAGTAACAATCACAGGGGTCTCTACCTCCAGCTGCATTTAGTCTAGGTTTGAATAAAGAATAGGGTATCTGGTTACAGGTAACATCTCAACACAAAGGTCCCTAAGCAACAGTCACACACCAGAGAAGAAAAACAGCCATGTTATGTGACTCAGTCTCCAGGGCCTAACTTTTCCGCTTGGCATAATAAATTCAGAACGTGTAGAAATTTTCTTTTCACAGGTAGAGCATATTTTTTCTATCAACAGACACTGACAAAATCCAGGACCTCATTCTCAAATTCAATAAATTCCTTAGAAATTTCTAGAAGCATTAACAGCTAAATATCATACAACTAGTACATATGCCCAAAACCTAAAATTCTTCCACTGAAAACAATCCTCAGCTGGGCATGGTGGCTTACACCTGTAACCCCAGCACTTTGGGAGGCCAAGGCAGGAGGATTGCTCGAGGCCAGGAGTTCGGGTCCAGTCTGGACAACACAGAGAGACCCCATCTCTACAAAAAAATTAAATTAGCTAGGCATGGTGGCATATGCCTGTAGTCCTAGCTACTCAGGAGGCTGAGGTGGGAGGTTTGTTTGAGCCCAGGTGTTTGAGGCTGCAATGAAATAGGATCGTGCCACTGCACCCCAACCTGGATGACAGAGCAAGACCCTGTCTAAAACATATATATTTTTTTAATTAAAAAAAAAATCCTCTGTTCTTAAGTGTAAAGCCCTTTTAACAGAAGCAGTCGAAATCCAGAGATCCTAAAGCAGTGGTCTATCAGAGAAACAATGCTTAGTTCCTTAGCACTCTCATTTTACTCCTCAATTTGAGGTCTTTCTAGAATTCACTATCACTTACAGCAGGTCTGACCTAAAATGGCAGAGTGGCAAAAACATAATCTATGTACCACAGCAGGTCTGGATTTCAACCTACGCAACCTCAGAAAAGTCACTAGTCATATTATTCTTCCCCGGGGCTAACAATAGTTCTCAAGACTGAAGAATTCAAAGAGGTAACCAGGAGGCACTTGACAAAAGGTAATTTAGTTTCTTTTGTCACCCAGCTTTCAAGTTCTCCTCAGAATCCATCTGGCACGTCCTCATTGCTCCATGAATGGCAAATAATACCTTCACCATTATCTAACTACTTTTAGATCTTTATTCAAACAACTCAACCTTCCTGGAAACACCCTACACTCATGTCTATTACTTTTCTTCAAGATCCGGGAAGCTTTTCCGGGCTGACTTCAATCCCTACTCTTCAAAATGCTCTGTAGGTATTCTCCTAACAATTTAAAAAGTTTCAACTGGGCTGGGCGCGGTGGCTCACGCCTGTAATCCCAGCACTTTGGGAGGCCGAGGCGGGCAGATCACGAGGTCAGGAGTTCGAGACAAGCCTGATCAACATGGTAAAACCCCGACTCTACTAAAAATACAAAAATTAGCTGGGCATGGTGTCATGCACCTGTAGAGTCCCAGCTACTCAGGAGGCTGAGGCAGGAGAATCACTTGAACCCGGGAGGCGGAGGTTGCAGTGAGCTTAGATCATGCCACTGCACTCCAGCCTGGGCAACAGAGTGAGACTCCATCTCAGAAAAAAGTTTCAACTGAATTATTTTGCCTACAGGTCAATGTTTTTGTCTGATCTCAAATACATTACGAATAAATCTATCTTTAGGATATAAAAAGTATCTTCAACATCTATCATAACTCACACATCCCATACTATAATGTCTGAGTGAACCATTTTCTCCCCAGCAGTCTTATTTACATAAGTCCTTTGTCCACTAATTAGAATCAAAATGCAATAAGCTCATCTCATTTTAAGTGGGTAGATCTTTTCAGATCACTGGAAATATTTCATAGCTTTATAAGTTTCTCCAGCCAGGCACAGTGGCTCACGACTGTAATCCCAGCACTTTGGGAGGCCAAGGAGGGTGCATCACCTGAGGTCAGGAGTTCGAGACCAGCCTGGCCAACATGGTGAAACCCGATCTCTACTAAAAAAAATACAAAAAACCTAGCAGGGCATGGTGGTGTGTGTGCCTGTAATCCCAGCTACTCGGGAGGCTGAGACAGGAGAATCGCTTGAACCTGGGAGGTGGAGGTTGCAGTGAGCCAAGATCACGCCACTGCACTCTAGCCTGGGCAACAGAGTGAGACTCTGTCTCAAAAAAAAATAAAAGTTTCTCCAAGAAAGCCACATGATTCAAACTTCAGACTTTTTATTTCTAAAAGGCTCAATAAGAGAAAGCCATTACCTAGACCATGTTTAAATGAATGAAGATGGGGTCTTCCCATTATTTAAGTGATATGTGGAACATTTACATTTCACCATGGAAATTAAATAGCAAGTTACCTAAGCACCAGATATTGTGACCAAAGCATATGCCACACAAAGACATTCTTAAAGAATTCTCTAAACCTGCAGCAAAACCCACAGACTTACCATTTTACCACATCAAACGATGAAGCATCAACCAAAACCACTACCTGCTTAAAGTGAGGTGAGAACAGAGGACAGCTCTTCCCCAGGTTTCCCATGCTCCACTGCCTGAGGCGTCTACCAAGCTTGATTGTATGAGAGGGCTCTGCAGGTACTTCAATGAAAATGGGCTCATAACTCAATTAAAACCAGCCAGTTCACTGATTTGATCACTCAACAAATATCTGTTAATGTCTATTAATGCCAGCAACTTCTGGTACAGAGGAGAAAGACACTAAGAGAAATATATTTTAGATGATGAAGCCTCACATTGTGTTCTCTCCTAAGCCAAAAATCATATGAAAAACAAACAAAATCAACTATATTATAGTGTACTACAATTGGCTGAAAGTTTCTTAATTCATTTTTTTATTCAAGGAATAATTTACATATAATGAAGTATACAAATATTAAATGCATAGCTCTGAAATTTTACATATGTAAAATTTATTCTTGAGCTCCACCCAGCTCAAGAATAGAACACAAAATCAGAACTCTAAAGAAGATGGGAAAAAAAAGAGACTGGTCATTAACCATGTCTCTGAAAACAGACAGGTACCTGTATAGTCACTGCCACAAACAATCATTCTGGTTAGCAGAAACTTTCATATATACACAGTACTGTGATTTATCATCATGAAACAAAATTTACTGAGTCCTTAACTCTATATAAGGCCACGTACCAAATTCAAAAAAAGAAAAAAAAGAGGCCAGGCATGGTGACTCATGCCTATAATCCCAGCACTGTGGGAGGCCAAGGCAAGAGGATCACTTGAGCCTAGGAGGTCAAGGCTGCAGTGAGCTCTGACTGCACCGCTGCACTTCCAGCTTAGGCAACAGAGTGAGACTTTGTCTCTTTAAAAATAAAAAAAAAAGCAAGCAATGTGAAGAAGACTGATTTTGAATTACTATCTCCTCCAACTTTCAAAACAAAAAGATAAAATAACAAAAATCTAAAAATAAAAGAATCTAATGTTGCCCTCAATATAAGAGGAAGCGGCCACACACAGATGGAAACAAAGAGTAAAAGAAGGGAACTGAGGAAATGTAACTCCTAAAGTTCAAAAGAAATAAGGTAAATCCCCTTATTCATTTCCCAGCCTTACCATAAGATTCTTCTCCCACAAGAGATCTGAGGGTGCCATTGTCTAAGAAAGAGAGAAGTCTGCTTTATTTTATTTCATGAATATGTAGCTGTACCAGGCTGACTGGGCCCACGTATTTCGGGCTGGCCCCTAGAAGAGCACACACATAGAAAAGCAGACATACTTAATTAGTGCCACCCTAGTCTGGTGCAGTACTCTAAAATCTCAGGAATGTTTCTATAAATGGGTTTTCTGGTAACCCCATTAGCAAGCTGTCAATTTTAGACCCAAATGAGCAAACACCTAACTTTATATCACAAGAAAGGAGATGCTTGCAAATTCCAGCAGGGCCCTTTTACATATGTGTTTTTTTTTCTTTAATCTTTTTTTTTCTTATTTTTAAATTATTTTATTCTACTCTATTCTTCTCCACAGGGCAAGTTCTATCTTAAACAAGTCTTATAGCAAGCAACCAAGGCAAAGTAATAGGATCTGCACAAAATCATCTTGAAATTTTACACTTTCAAGCTGACAACTTGAAGAAACATTAATCCCATATTTTTAAAAACCTTCTCAGAAATTTTCAGCAGTAAAAATAAACAAACAGCTCTGCTCTAAACTTTAACACCTTTCCCTAAAACCCAAACAGAACAGTGGTACAGCTGTCAATAAAGTCCAGTAGGAAAAATGAACAAGTAAAGAAGCAGGGCCGGGTGTGGTGGCTCATGCCTGTAATCCCAGCACTTTGGGCAGCCACGACGGGCAGATCACCTGAGGTCGGGAGTTCAAAACCAGCCTGACCAACATGGTAAAACCCTGTCTCTACTAAAAATACAAAATTAGCTGGGTGTGGTGGCACATGTCTGTAATCCCAGCTACTCGGGAGGCTGAGGCAGAAGAATAGCTTGAACCCAGGAGGCAGAGGTTGCAGTGAGCCAAGATCGTGCCACTGCACTCCAGCCTGGGCGACAAGAGCGAAACTCGTCTCCAAAAAAAAAGAAAAAAAAGAAGCAACTGTTGCTGCTGCCTATTAACTTTAGATGAATATGTGGTTACTGCTCATCGGCCTAACCACTTTAATGTGGAATACACTGGGCTATACCGTACTCTACATTTACAGTCCTTTCACTATCCTAAAGAAACAGTATGCCTATCTTCTAAATCTACTCATGATGACTTCACTAAACTTAAAAGGATGCTATATACAACAAGCAAATATTTCATTGTAACCTTTCCCCTCAGCTGCTTAATAATTCCCTTTAAGAATCTATTTCAACAATGTACATGTGAATATATACATTTTATTTATTTAATTTTTGAGATAGGGTCTACGTCGTCCAGGCTGGGGTGTAGTGGGTATTCAACAGGCGCAATTATGGTGTACTACAGCCTCAAACTTCTTAGCTCGAATGATCCCTCTGCCTCAGCCTCCCAAGTAGCTGAAACTACAGAATATATATACTTTAAATAAAATTTGCTTATGTCCATTTTTAAAGGAAAAAAATACAAATTAACATTTCAGAAATACATATTCACATGTGAGAATTCATGAGTTTTCGCCTAAGATTTATCTAGGCTGCCTTCAAGTCACATAACAGTCTAATTTTTACCCAAAAAAGGACAGTCATAGGCCTTTCCAATTCCATACCAGTTCCATACCTTAGTACTTTTTTAAAAAATTTACAGAAATAAAACCACATACTACATTTAATATTAGCTATTACAGTGACATATATCTTATAAAATGGAGAGATGGCACTGATAAAAAATAAACACAAGCTCAAAAGTTTTGCTTTGAAGAATTTAAGTTAATGTTCAATGTTCTGGGAGTTTTATAATTCAGGCATTCATTTATTCACTCACTGTACATATATTTTTATGAACACTATGCCAGACAAGTGTCACTGGAGACAGAATGCCTCCAGCCTCCACCCAAACAGTCAGTGAAGTGAATCCTCTCTGTGCTTGCATCTCTCACTTAGGACTTACTATATAACATGAAAGTACTGCTCTAGAACAGAGGTCAACAAACCTGTGCTATGAGAGCCAGATAGTAAATACTTCAGCCTTTGTGGGCTGGGACATATGGAGTCTGTCGCTATTACTCAACTCTGCCCTTATTGTGCAAAAACAGCCACAGACAATGCTTTGTTACATGGGCTAAACTGTGCTCCAACAAAACTTTATGGGTAACTAAAATTTGAATTTCATGAAATTTTCACATGTCACAAAATATTATTCTTCTGATTTTTTCTAACCAATTAAAAATGTACAAACCATTCTTAGTTCACAGCCCATACAAAAATAGGCAGGACTGGACTGGACTTGGCTAAGAAGGCCATCATTTGCCTACCCCCAAATCGAGAGACATGGGTCTCTGCATCTACACCTCATCTAAGAATGAGGTCAGGGCAATGTCCCATGAATCACTACACATCCAGGAATTTGCATTGTTGCTAATACATAACAAGCAATTAACCAATATTAGTCATCTTTAACTGAACTAAAAGATTACTAAACCCCTGACTCGTCCTTCAAAAACTTCATGGTTTAAAGGTAGAAACAGACAAGTAAAGAAACAGATAATCCTATGTGATAGGGACTGTGATAAATACCTACAGGGTGGCGTCAGTGGGAGACTTAATCCAAGCCAGGGAGTGGGGCAGAAAGGGGAGAGAGAGAGAAACTGGGGAAGGAGTCCTAACACCTGGGAGAAGTGTTCCAAACCAAAGAACAGCCCTGTGAACACGTGAAGCAACAAAAAGGTCCAGATCCTAAGTACCCTGTACACCACGCCAAGGAGTTTGGACTTTATCATAAAACCTTGAGGAACCACTGCAGAATTTTTAGCTGCAAAATTGTATGATCAGATTTGCATTTTAGAATCATCACTCAGTCCAAAGGATGGCTGCCCAAATATAAAGGGCAAAACTGGAGGCAGAAAGCCCACCAGTTTATTTGGAGGCTGTGGCAACAATCCAGGTGAAATGCAATGGGAACTTACAGTAAGGAACTTACAGTAAGGCAGAGACAAAGAGGACGGAGAGAAAGATAAGCATTCAAGACACATAGTGTCTGGATATAGAAGGTAAGAGTAGAGTCTTGGACAGATTATAGTAACGATTGGTGGGAAAGAAACGGGTGAAGTTATAGCTACCCAGAACCGACCGACCACACAGCAGTGGATCCTATCTGTTCACCAGAGTAGTCTTTACTCATGAAGCCTGTCAAGCATGGTTCTTTCAGGAGAGACGTGGGCAACATCGGTTGAGAAACTCAGTGTTAGACAGCAGTGTAGTTCACTGAGATAGGGAATACCAAAAGAGCTTTGAGTTGGGTGAGACAACAAGGAGTGAATTTAGTTTTGAATATGGTCTCTGGACATCCCAAATTGACCATAACCAACAAGATTTTAGATCTGGAAAAAGAGCTGACTAGAAATACAACTTTAGAATTTACAAATTTACAAATGAAATTGCAAATAAAGCCTTGAGACAAACACGAGTTCATCCACGAAGCGTGAACAGCATGAAAAGAGAGGAATCTAGGAACATAAATAAAAAGAAGTATGCAGAAGAAAAAACAAGGAAAACCAAAGGAGTCTGGTATCTCTGAACCAGGGTATACATGAAATTTTAAAAGTGGCTTAGAATAAAGTAGACTTTCTTTCGAGAGACTCGTTAGAGAAGCTGCAAGCTGCAAGAACGAATGCAATCAACTAGGTAGTCAAAGACCTATCTCCCACATGACTTTAGGCAAATCACAACCTTAGGCATCTTTGCCTTCCTTGCGTTGTGAGAAATCTCATCAGTGATAAACTGGAGGCCTTATAAACTGTAAAATATTATATAGACACCCTTGATTTATTATTGTAATGCCATTATGAGTGTGTAAATTCCTAACAAAGTATAATCTTCTGAAGATAGGACCCTCAATCTTCTACATCTTTCTATCAGGTACAGTGGTATGTATTTCAAGAGTATTTTTTAAAATGTTTGCAGAATATCCGGCAATAACATGAGAATGTATGCACAGGAGGAAGGAGTGCATAGCAAAAGGCACACCCAATTTTCTAAAATTATTTAGAACTGAAATAGTCAAAACTTGATTCCTCCCACAAATGTGACCAATGACAAATGGAAGAGGTGGGGGGGGGGAGGAATGCCTTATAGCTCCAACTTCTCCCCTAATGTGTAAATTCTTTTTTGAATGCCCTTAGAATGGAGAAGGAATTTGGAGAAAAAGCAGTGAACTGTAGAACAGGAAAGCAGCCAACAGCAACTTTATAAAACTGTGTTCAACAACTGCTGGCCATTAAGGAAGAGCTCCTTAACTTCTCAAGTTGAAACCTGCAAAATGTAAATCAGGCCTTTGTGAGACAAACTAAAATAGTGTCCCCTCAGGGTGCACAAATACCACAGTGAAGTCACCACAGTGAGCTATTCCCTGACATAGTCAGAACCCACCTTGCAAAGGTTTTCCTGGGGGGAAAAATTGCCATTTGTTCCATGTTAAATACATACACACTCAGCAGAGGACCAAAGAGAATAAAAGGCAATAGCCTTATATATCAATTATTCTAACTTAAACACACAAAAAAGATATGCAGATGCAGATTTAAAAGCTTCATTTAATCACTATTGGTTCCTACAGTTTATGAGGAGCTTGGAAACTAATCTGGTTTCAGTGTTAATTTTAGGAGTTTCATAAACTTTGATTGGGTTGGTTTTATAAGCACTCTTTTCCTTAATCTAATTGTTTTTAGAAAGAGGAAAAGCTACCTTTCTCAAGATTAGGATCCTGTCTGCCAAGTTTCCATCCACAATGATTATCAAATTAATTAATGGGGCTGTTTGATAAAAGGCAAATCCTTAGCTACAATCTTAGTATCAACTACTACCCCACTGGTACTGATAAAAACTTACTATAACTTATAAGACATAAAACCCAAACTTTTTAACAGCAACTGAATAATCCATCCAGAAGTTGAAGGTGAAACAAAAAAGACTTCTTCTTAGAAAAGTGGCTGGTGGAGATTTCTCCCCACAACAAGCAGAAAGTGCAATTCTGGTTCCCATAGCAACTTTAACTCTTTTTATCCGAGGATGCACTGCACCCTGCACCCTGGATGACTGTGTATGGTGCTTAAGAGAGCGCTGTTTTCAGAATCAACACTGATTTTCCTGGCTTTTGTACAGCAAGTGATGATACAGGCACAATAATCAGATTTGTATTTGCCATCTGTTAAAATACGCCTCAGCCTCCCAAAAAGTATCAGTTAAAATGATCCTATAATTTTATATACACATGTGTATGCATGAAAAATTTCTAGAGGGTCATATTAATGTAAGAAATTGTGAAGGGTGGTCTCTAGGGCATGGAGCTTAGCAGCTAGTGATAAAGAAACTCACTTGTCATTACACTTACTGTTTGAATTTACAATGTCATGTTTCATTTTCATAATTTAAAAAAGTCAGTGCCAAAACACTTACATAACTACTTACATTTCTTATGTATGATTTGACTGCTTATTTTAAAGTTTACTGTATTTAAAGTTCAACATCAAAAGAAAGGCTAGAAAAGTGGTGGCTAGACCTAGTTCTTTCACACTACTCATTTCTAGCTTCACATGCTCTGTAATAGCAAAGCACAATATGCATCACTTGTTTAAGGGTATGTGAAATTTGAACTGGGAGGGAGATTTAATAGATGCACAAAACAGTCACGGTACTTTAATTCATGGGAAATAATTAGTTAGCTACAGCCCATGGAGTAACTGGAGTTGGGGAGTGAATATGCTAAACATCAAAACACACAGTGACACATGACACCTTGCCTACTTGTCATAAATTGTTGATCGAAACATACATGTATACATATAACCTTGTCATTAAAGGGGGGGGGAGGACAGAAAGAGAAACCTCAACCTCACTACACACAAACCTTTCCCCCTTCCCACCTCCTCCACTATGCATGATTTCTTCCAGGATGTCATTTCTGATCCAAGAACAAGTCAAGTATCCTAGTCAAGTTAGTTTAAACTAGAAGTTTAAAGTACATATTTTTACAGTTAATCACAATGCTTGTAAGAAAATACTTTAACTTTTAACTTACAAGTTTTAAACTCATAGTTTTATGAATTTCATTTAGCAAGAATATTACCAAAAGTTGAGGAAAATTTCAGCAAAACCAAGTCCAAGCATAAAACATTTCATAGTAAAAAGTGATGTTAGAGGTAAACTCTAAGATCTCTTTTGACCTTTTAATCAACCATGACCCAAAGTTAACATATCTGCCTCCCAGTGGGAGCAATCTAACGTAACTGATACTGGGTTACTCTACCGCATTATCTTTGCAACAGGGTAGTAATCACTGAGTAATCTATCTACCTCTGAAATCACCTTAAATAACCTTTAGCTACACAGTGCCTACAAGAGAAAATTCTGAGAGCCAAGATTGACAACCCCACCTTTATGTAAATAAGAGACTGTTGTTCAGTAATTGTCAATTGAATTTCAGGCATCTGAGATTTCAGACATCAGGCAACGCCTTTTCTTTGAAAATTTTAAAATCTGAAAATGAAAAAAATAAGACTTCAAGAGTATTCAAACTTGAACACAGAAACTTTAACAAGTCAAAAGTTAAACAGAAATACTTAGATACACATTTCAAAAATAATTTTGGCCAACTTAAAAAATATAACAGGAGAAAATAAAGAGCAATCTCACAGATCTTAGGAAATCCTCGGTCACTAGCTATGTCTTCAGAAAGGCACCTTTAAAAAACTGAACTCAGTGCACTTTACTTCTTCAATCCCTGAAAAACAGATACCTCATAGTATCATTTTATGAAATTATTTTCAAAATGTTTCATTTGTTTAATGACTCAACTGCAAATAAGATGTTAAATAATTCTGCTTTTCTAACACTTATTCCACACACAATAATTTAATCCCACTTTTCAAAGTACTTTTTGTTAAGTCCAATTCTTTCTCTGGAATCCTGATACTTACATAAAGTTTAGTGTACCGGAGAGCAGCAAAATCATGATCAAAAGAACCATTTGCCTACAACATGTTCCTTTCCAACACCCCTAAGTGATATTAGCCTTACAAAATTACCCTCCCTTGACAGAAGAATGGCTTGAGGCAGTCTGTTCTCTCTGGAAGTTCATTAGTACCAGCTACTGGTAATAATCAAGCCTTCCAAGGCAATGGGGAGTGAAGTGTTAAGTCAAACGTGTTTCTCACACATAGATTCCTCTGTTAAACACAATAATGAAACTTTCTGCCTATTTACGTATCTCAATGATGAAGAAAACCTTAGCTAGACCGAACATTATTTTTGGTGCTTCCAGATACATATGTCCATCCTCAATCCACTGCCCTGCCATGAAGTTTTCTACACATCCCTTTCCTGATTTCTGAAACATCACTTACACGTGTTTCTACAGTTGCTTTGAATGAAAGCAAAAGGGAAGACAGTAAAGGAGAGCCTTTTTACCCAGGGACAAGGCTATGCCCAGCAATTACAGTGAGTGCACTTCCTTTTGTTCATTCTGCACCAGGATTAGCAGTCAAATCGCTTTGTGGTTCTTAATTAAGGCTGAGCAGCTATAAAGAACAATAACTTCAAAAGTGAATTTATGTTTTAATTACACATAGGCAATATAGGCAGCGAAGGCATTTGCTCCCCTCAAATTCCCCCTTAACTCAACAGAGCAATCACCCTCAGCCCTGGAAGGACATCTAAACATTTTAAAGGCGAAAGTGTTTAAGGCGGACCTTCTTGTTTCCGATCCAAGAATGCGCTGTGATGACCTTGCTAGCAAAGAGAAAAGTGGGGATGGGAGTTTCTGATTAACGCTTCAGAAAAAAAAGGGGGAAATCACAATCCTAACAGCCGAAATGCAGAATAATCAGAGAGCCAGAATCCCGTTAAGTCAGAAAGAACAGGAAAGCAGAGAGACTCGTGCGGAACATCCTGGCCCTCACGGGATGTTAAAAGCAGTATCTATTTAAGAAGTTGGAGAAAGGAGTTTCTGTGTGGCCCATGCCGGGGAACAGAGAGCAAACACGCGGCCGTCTGCGCCCGTGAGGCCGGCCACTGGGACGGAGCCGGTCCGGGAGCTGGGCTGCTGGCGAGCAGTAGCAGGGGACGGGGCTGTCACCGCTTACCCAGGTGCAGCGTGAGGTTGATGGAGCTGGGGTACTGCACCCCGGCCAGCATGGTCTGGCTTTGCCACCAGGTGGTGTCGGCCTGGTTGTTGTAGTCGGTCAGGAAGGCTGCCCCGTGCTGCAGGTGGGGCTGCCCGGCGTCGCACAGGTGACAGGACTTGGTGACCCCGGTCACCCCGGTCTGCACACAGTATTCCTCGGGCGGAGTCCCACACGTGTTGGTGGCCACCACAGTCACGTTGAAGGCGGCGTTGACGAACTCGGGCATGCAGCGCTGCGGCCGCCCGCCCTCGTCCGTGCACTCGTCCATGGCTGCCTGGGCACAGCCCGCCGCGGCGGCCGCCGCCAGCACGGCCAGCACGGGCCAGAGCCGCCCCCGGGGCCGCAGGGCCGGCGCGGCCCGATGGCTCCCTCTCATCCCGCCGCCCGCACGCTGGGTCACGGCGAAGGCAAGGGCACCGGCGCGTTCCTCTCGCCTAGCGGCGTCCCCCGGAGGCCGCTTCGCTGCTTGAGCCTGGGGGCCCAGGGGCCTGACTCCGGCGCGGGCGGTGGCGGCGGCTCGCGCCGGAGAGACTGACGGGTGGGCGCCCCTAGCGAGGACCGCGCTGCTCGCCGACCACTGCCCCCGCGCGCCGCCTCCGCGCTTCCCTCACCTACCCCGGGAGCAGCCTGCACTCCGCGCCGACCCCCGACTTCCGAGCGCGTGCCCGAGTGCGCGCCCCCGGGGAGGAAGGAGCAGGGGGTGGGGTCGGCAGGGTGGGGTGGGGTCTGGGCGAGGAGAAAGCCCAACCCTGTCTCCTCTCAGCAACTCCCGCGGCCCCTGGGGCAACTCCCCGGCCCACCGCGCCCCATGGACTGCGCGTCCGCCCCGGCGACTCCAGGAGGCGGCGGGGGCGGGAGCAGCGGCGTCTCGCGCTCGGGCCCGCGGCGCGCGACCCGGGGGGAGGGGCGCGCGAGGTGGGCGGGGAGCCGGGGGAGGGGGTTGGGGGAGGGGAGGGGAGAGGAGGGGAGAGGAGGGGAGGGGAGAGGAGAGGAGGGGAGGGGAGGGCGGCTGGGTGGTGCATGCCGGGAGGGAAGGGCGGCCTCGCAGACCCGCTCCCCGCGCGGGAGTCGCTGGGGTCCTTGGGCTCCGCGGCCTGGGAGACTCCGGATTGCGGGAGGAGTCGGGGGAGGGCGCCTTAGAGGGGCGATGCCGGGTCAGGAGGTCGCTCGGGGTCGTCCCTGGGGCCTCGCGCCAATTTGGGCTGCGGCAAGAGGGTCCCCGCCCGGCCAGGTGTGGGTCCGAACCGGGAGCGCCCGCTGCTGCCCGGGGCCCCGCTCCAGCCCCTCCCGAACAGAGGTCCCGGGGCGTTCATGGGGCCGACACGGTCCCTGGAGAATCAGAAGGGCCTGGTCGCAGCAGCCAGATGAGTTTCGTGAAGCGATTTCCTGCCGCTGATTTAAAGTGTAACCAGTCGTTTTACCGGGGCAAGGAAGGAAGTGAAAAGGCTGGGAATGGAATGAATTTTTCCCTTGGGTACGCACGACCCACTGCGAAATTCTTCCACTGTGTTGTTTGTGTTCCTCGGCTTGCCTTTAAAAGACTCGAAATTATGTGGATTCTGACATCCTCCTTTTCGGGCCTGCTGAGTCACGGAATATTCTCAGTGCCAGAATGACTCAGTTCACAGAACCTGAGCCAGAAGATCATGAGTTTTAGTCCCGGAGCAGAACCTGGGCGCTTACCCAGTGCTGGATACGGCAAGCAGAGACCAGGGCAGGGAGGCAGCAGCTTGAAACCCTTGGCGTCCCCAAGCAGAGAGGATGCACATAGTGAATGACACGGATTTGTTTTGTTCTAGCTTTTCAGGAATTTAATGATAAAGTGCGGATAATAAGTACACCGCAAAAACAAAACAAAAAAACACATGCATAATTTCGGACCCAGTTGTCCCATTAAGATAGGCGTAATGGGAATCTGAAACAAGGAAATAAGTATATGTTAGGTGACTCTGGATAGTTAGGGTTAGTTAGACGCAGACTGCTGATTAGGAAAACCTTAAGGATAATGTTCTGGTAGGATGAAGAAGGGAGGGGAATCTAGGGTCTTGTTACACGGCTGAGCTTACTTAGCAAGTTATGTTCATCACTGTTCCGTTTATTTGATGAGATGGGTGGAGATTATGCATGGCTAAAGGTGCCTCATTCTTGGCACCTTCTCTTTGGGAGAATTAAGTTGTGGGGACTAATAATTTTTTAATCCTTTCATACATGAGTTGAAGCGAAATAAATACGTTCATTTACACCTAGAGGGGATTATATGCTCTCTCAGTCCTTCGTTGTACTTGAGGACAAACGTGGGCATATAGGACAAAAATAAGGATGTTAGTTGTGAATAAAGCTACAGATTTGTAATAAACTTGTTTATATTTTAATAAACATATTAGTGAATTTGCATTATTATACATTTTTAGTACTTTGTTATATAGTGGCCAAAGCGTGGGTCTCTATTTCCAACAATCAAAATAAAGACAAGGAGACCCCCAAAGGCTGTGAAATCAACATAAATGGGTTTGTCATTGCTGCCTTTTGAGTCCTAATGTCCAAGACTAACATCAAGATATTACTTATGCGAATTTTCCGTAACTTAATTACCAGAGCTTATCTGATATTTGTAAAGCACATAAAGAGACCTTGAATTAATCTCTCAATTCTCTTGCTTATGGAAATGTGTCACAGTGACAAACATCTATTTTGAAAAGAGGTAAAGTGTAACCAGCCAGTGGGCTTGATGATAAAAATTTTGCTCCGTTATTTGGATCTTGATTCAAACAAATCAACGGTTAAAACAAAATTTTTAAGACAATTTGAGAAATTTGAACACTAACCAGATGTTTGATGTTATCGACAAATTATTTTAGCCACCTAGAGATGCCACAGTCTACTAGACAGTATTTAAAGAAAAAAAGTGAAAGTGTGTAAGAATTTCTTTTACTGCAGGTTACCCTGTTTTTCAAAAAACTCCAGTCTTTTGAATGCACGTTCTTAAGTGCTTAGACATTTCATTATCAGCCGGGCGCGGTGGCTCACGCCTGTAATTCCAGCACTTTGGGAAGCCGAGGCAGGGGATTACTTGAGGCCAGGAGTTCGAGACCAGCCTAACCAATATGGTGAAACCCTGACACTACTAAAATTACAAAAATTAGCCGGGCCGGCTGGGGTCGTTGGCTCACGCCTGTAATCCCAGCACTTTGGAAGGCCGAGGCGGGTGGATTACTTGAAGTAAAGAGTTCTAGACCAGCCTAGCCAACATGGTGAAACCCCAACTCTACTAAAAAAATAAAAAAATTAGCTAGGCGTGGTGGCGCGTGCCTGTAATCCCAGCTACTTGGGCAGCTGAGGCAGGAGAATCCTTGAACCAGGGAGGCGGAGGTTGCAGTGAGCCAAGATCGCGCCACTGCACTCTAGCCTGGGCGACAGAGCAAGACTCTGTCTCAAAGGAAAAAAATCATCCCGGCGTTGTGTCCATGCCTGTAATCCCAGCTACTCGGGAGGCTGAGGCAGGAGAATTGCCTGAACCCAGGAGGCAGAGGTTGCAATGAGCGAGATTGCGCCACTGTACTCCATCCAGCCTGGGCGACAGAGTGAGAACCTGTCTCAAAAAAAAAAAGAAAAGAAAGAAAGAAAGAGAGAGGAATTCTATTATCTGAAAGACAGAGAGAAAAAGGAGGGATGGAGGGGGGAGGGGGAGGGGGAGGGGAGTTTCATTATCTACCAGACATGGTACTTAGAAGAAAAATGTGAACGGATGGGGAAAACTTTATTCAGGTCCCTCAAAAGATGATCTTAGTGCCCAATCATCAGTGTCTCTATGCAGCAACAAAGGCAGGATGAGGAAATGTAATTGTTTATTGTTTATTGTATGGGCAAGAGAGCTCCAATTAAAGAAAAAAAATGTGAAACTCCAGAGAAAAGAGATTTCTCCCTTCATAATCTATATAAATAATTTCAAGGAAGGATGTTGATTGGCTTGGCTTTGGTCACCTGGCATACCCCCAAAGCTAGGTAAATAGAATACCATGTGTGTGGTGTTTGGCAGCCCAACAGAAAACCATGGAATGTGGGAAAAGCAATTGAAAGGAAAGCTTGCTGTTACCAGAAGAGGGCAGGTTATAAGGCAGAAAAAACAACGGATGTCTACTACAGCAGGATTTAGAATGTGTGATATAATTAGAAAAATAATTTAAAAGTTTGCATTGACCTTTCCATTGCAACTTTGTCATTTTTTATATTTTTATAATTACCAATGCGTTTATTTTTCCAGTCCTTATTCTTTCTGACCTCATTTCCTTGTATTCTTCCCAAGCCTAAGCATCACTATACTATATGCTTTATCTTTTTATATTTAGAAATGCAACCTAAACATAATAATTATTAATAATGATTGACAATGTTAGCCTATATTTACATTCTATGTTACACTTTTCAAAATTACACTGAAGCAAAGAATGTTATCACCTATGCAGAGCTGAAGAAATTAAGGCTCAAAGAGATTAAGTAACCTCTGTAGACAAGTAGGAGGAAAGTCAGGCCAGGAACCTGCTCTTTCTGGCTCCCTGACCAATGCTGTTTCCTTTTCTGTTATGTCAACGTCATGATAGGAAAGAGGATAAGGGAAGAGCATTCTCACATTTCCAGGGTTTTTAGGTTATCAAATAAGAATTTAAAATTAGGTAAAAATTAATGTGATACTGGAAGAGAATGACAATATCCCTCTTCAAAGTTACAATGACTACACATGATGCTTTGTGTTAGGTTTATAGATCCTGCCTAGGTCCTTGGTACAAATCCAAGCAAAACAAGATAAGGTATCTTTCGTGGCGAGCTCAGGTAAAGACAGGATTCCTCTTGTATGAGGTAAAACCCTTCCTTCCCACCCAGCCCCATGCACCCAATTCTTTTTTTTTTTAACAGAATTGCCAAAACTCCTTTGTTTTGAAAAAAGATTTACTTTTCTAATAATAATCATACATATTTATGGAGTACATAATGATGTTTTGATACGTACAGTGTATATTCATCAAATGAGGGTGATTTGCATGTATGTCACCTCAAACATCTATCTTTTTTTTTAAGTCACCCACCCTGGAGTGCAGTGGCGCAAACACGGCTCACTGCAGCCTCCAACTCCAGGGCTCAAGCAATCCTCCCTCCTCAGCCTCCCGAGTAGCTGGGACCGCAGGCATGGGCCACCATGCCCAACCAATTTTTTTTTAATTTTAGTAAAGATGTGGTCTTACCTTGTTGCCCAGGCTGGTCTTGAACTTCTGGGCTCAAGCGATCCTCCTGCCTTGGCCTCCCAAAGGGCTGGGATTATGGGTGTGAGCCATAGTGCCCAGTCATCATTTCTTTGTGTTAAGAACATTCAATAGCCTCTCCTCTAGCTATTTAAAAATATATAATAAATTATTTTTAACTACAGTCAGCCTATAGTGCTATATGGAACACTAGAATTTATTTCTCCTAACTAGCTGTAATTTTATATATTTTAACCAATCTGCATCTATCCCCCATCCCAACTACCTTTCCCAGCCTCTAGTAACCACTATTCTGCTCTCTACTTCTACAAGATTAACTTTTTTAGCTTCCACATATGAGTGAGAACATGTGGTATTTGTCTTTCTGTTCCTGGCTTATTTCACTTAACATAATGTCCTCTAGGCTCATCCATGTTGCTATGAATGACAGAATTTCATTCTTTTTAATGATTGAATAGTATTCCATTGTGTGTGACTGTCTGTGTATACCACATTTTCTTTATTCATTCATCTGTTGATGGACAGGTAGGTAGATTCCATATCTTAGCTGTTGTGAGTAATGTTGCAGTAAACTTAGGGAACAGATGTATCTTTGGTGTACTGATTTCCTTTCTTTGAATATATATCCAGTAGTGGGATTGCCAGATCATATGATAGTTCTATTTGTAGTTCTCTGAAGAACTTCAATACTGTTCTCCATAATGACTGTACTTGTTTACATTCCTACCAGCAGTGTATAAGGGTTCCCCTGTTTTTACCCATGCATCCAATGCAAACTATCTTTATATCATGATACTAGTTTTAAAAGAGAGACAAAAGGACACATCCATAATTCATAATATTTAAACCAGAATTTTATTTATAACAATATACAAGTACAATAAAAAAGGAAGTATTTCCAAAAATGAGTAGCAAAGACCAACCTCACCCCTACCCAAAATTTTCCCATGAAGAAAAGAGAGAACTTCAAATCTCAAAAATCTTATTATTCCACTAACCAAATGCGAACTGTATCCCACTATAAAGAATAGAGATAAATAATCTTTTATATGTAGATAACATGTTTTTGTCATGGGAACTCAGAATTTCCTTAATAAGTTGTTGACCCTGACAGGATCAACTGATTACTCTTAGAAAGAAAGGGTAATTTTTTTTTTTTTTTTTGAGATGGAGTCTCACTGTGTCACCCAGGCTGGAGTGCAGTGGCGCGATCTTGGCTCACTGCAATCTCTGCTGCCCAGGTTCAAGCAGTTCTCCTGCCTCAGCCTCCTGAATAGCTGGGCACCTGCCACCGTGCCCAGCTAATTTTTGTAGTTTTTAGTAGAGTCGGGGTTTCACCATCTTGGCCAGGCTGATCTTAAACACCTGACCTCGTGATCCACCCCCTTCAGCTTCCCAAAGTGCTGGGACTACAGGCGTGAGCCACCGCGCCCGACCAAGTAATTCTTTTAAAACCAAAACTATTATTATTGGTAGTTTCCCCCAGAATTTAATTGCCTTATATTAAATAGTTTATTACCTCATTCCACTACGTTGGTATATATTGCAACAGATTTTTTTGGAGGGTGTACCTGGAAGTTATATTGTTCAAAATTAGAAGTTCACAGCTCTTTGAGTAAGATTCTTTTTTGGGCTGTGGTGGAATGTTATAACACCAGCTTTAAAAAAAAATTCCAGCTGAAATTATTATGGTCCTGGCACAGAACTTAACAGCCTCCATCTCTAGTTTATGTCTGTATTTGAGCAAATGTTAATTACTTTTTCTTCCCACCCAAATTGTGTTTATTGTAACAACCAAATTAAAGCAAGATTTTAAAACATTTCCCCCATAATTCTATGCACTAAAATGGCTTTTTCATTTATCAGAACTCTCTCCTAGTTCATATCATTCATTTGTTGTAATAGACATCTTTTATTGAAATTCAGCGTAGATATGGAAAAATACACAAGATCCAAGGGTATAGTTTGAAAGTCGGATGAGGGAATCACAAAGCGCATGCATCTGTGATCACTACCCAGGTCTAGAAATGAAATATTACCCTAACCCCAAAGCCCTGTCCATTGTACATTGCGTGGGAATGGCTTCTTTTGGTCAATATTAGGTTTTGACGTCAATTGATGTATGTGCAAAAATTCCTTATTTTTCTTTGTTGTATGCTATAATATTGTATAAATACACTACAAATTATTTATTCATTTTACTGTTGTTGGACATTTCAGTAGTTTCTAGTTTGAAACTATTCTGAAGAATGTTACTATGTTATTATCAACATTCTTACTTGTCTTTTGCAGACACGTTTTTTACACACACACATTTTTGGTGGGTATATACCTAGGAGTGGAATTGTTGGGTCATAGGGGTAGGCATATATTCAAATTTGGTAGACACTACCAAACTGTTTTCCAAATTAATTGTACCAATATTCGCTCCAATCAGCTGCATACAACAGTTGCTGTTTCGGCCGGGCGCGGTGGCTCACACCTGTAATCCCAGCACTTTGGGAGGCCAAGACGGGCAGATCAGGAGGTCAGGAGATCGAGACCATCTTGGCTAACATGGTGGAACCCCGTCTCTACTAAAAATACAAAAAATTAGCAGGGCGCGGTAGCGGGCGCCTGTAGTCCCAGCTGCTTGGGAGGCTGAGGCAGGAGAATGGCGTGAACCCGGGAGGCGGAGCTTGCAGTGAGCCGAGATAGCGCCACTGCAGTACGACCTGGGCGAAAGAGCGAGACTCCGTCTCAAAAAAAAAAAAGAGTTGCTGTTTCACCACATCCTCAACCATACTTGGTATTTTCGAGTGTTTTAAATTGTAGCTGTTCTAGGCTAATGTTATTTTGATATTGGCACAGAACTTGAGGTACTCTAACTCCAGTTTATATACATATTTTCACAAAAGATAAATTATGTGTATTATTGGATGTGTACTATATAATTTGTGGGTTTAATTTCTAATTCCTTGATTACTAATTCAACTGGCCTCCTTTTCATGTATTTATTAACCATTTGGGTATCTTGTTTTGTGCCACTTTATGTTTTTGCTAATTATTCTATTGAGTTGTCTTTCTCTTTCTTATTGATTTGTAGGGATTCTTTACATGTTTTGGATATAGTCCCCTTTTCTGGTGCTATGTGTTGCAAATGTCTTCTTTGTGGTTTGTCTTTTCCCTCTTTAATAGTGTTTCTCCTTTTGAAATTTTTATTATGAAAAAATTCAAACATAAGCAAAAGTGTTGATGGGAATGTAAGTTAGTTAAATCTCCATAGAACATATTATGGAGATTTCTCAAAGAATTAAAAATAGAACTACCATGCAACCCAGAAATCCCACTACTGGGTATCCACCCGAAGGAAAATAAATACTTTTATCAAAAAGTCTTCTGCACTAGTATGTTTATCACAGCACTAATCATGATAGTAAAGGCATGAAATCAACCTAAGTGTCCATTAACGATGGATTGGATAAAGAAAATATGGTGTGTGTACACTATGGAATACTACACAACCATAAAAAAAGAACAAAATCATGTCCTCTGCAGCAGCGTGGATGCAACTAGAGGCCATTATCCTAGTGAATTAATGCAGAAACAGAAAATCAAATACCACACGTACTCACCTATAAGTGGGAGCTAAACAATGGATGTCATATTCTAACCTATTGAGATGAAATCCTAGATAATGAATTTCAGCCATTTTTTCCTAACACATGCTAAAGGATATAGAGTTCCCTCTAAACACCACTTTAGCTGCATCTCATTACTTTTTTTTTTTTTTTTTTGACAGAGAGTCTCTCTCTGTCCTCCAGGGTGGAGTGCAGTGGCACGATCTCAGCTCACTGCAACCTCCACCTCCCAGGTTCAAGCAATTCTCATGCCTCAGCCTCCCAAGTAGCTGGGATTATAGGTGCGTGCCACCATGCCTGGCTAATTTTTTGTATTTTTAGTAGAGACAAGGTCTCACCATGTTGGCCAGGCTGGTCTCAAACTCCTGGCCTCAAAGTGATCTGCCCACCTCAGCCTCCCAAGGTGCTGGGATTACAGGCATGAGCTACTGCACCTGGCCACATCTCATGACTTTTGATGTGGCTTATTATTATTATTATTATTTCAGTTCAAAATATTTTCTAATTTTGGTTGCAATTTCTATTTTAGCCCATAGGTTACTTATATGTGTTGCTTAATTTCCAAACATTAGGAGATTTTCTAGTTATCTTTCTTAGTATACTGTTTGTTATTACTATATATTGTTATTTAAAAGTAAATAACTGGGACTCGATTTTCTTCCTTGCATGGATCATGGAGTCTGTCCTAGCTGTGCTTTAGAGAGATGAGAAGAAAGACTCAGTGGTTTGAACAAATTGGAAAAGGAGGGCTGGCACCAGAACCTGTCTGACCCACTACTCTGAGGAGCTACTATAGAAGTAGCAATGGTCTTTCAGTGGCAAAAAAGAATAATCAGAATCAATGCCTTGAAATTGAGTAGCAACCCCTGGTTCCTGGACTTACCATGATATGGGGACCTAAAAAAGGAAAGACATTCTTATAATAAGCAGGATAGATATTTGGAGTCATATTACTACTAAAAATATGTGACCTTAAGTTATTCTCCAAGCTAGTGAAACAGGAAATAATATTTTTCATTTGACAGCATACTTATCATTTCACACTGTGTTTGATATTTAGGAGACATATATATAATTTAGTCTCTCTAATGTGAAAATAATACCCATTGCTAATATTCACTCACCACTTACTGTATGTTGGGCACTCTTCTATGACTTTTGTCTCTATTATTTTAGTTAGTGCTCGTATTTGTTATTATCCCCATTTTCAGATGAAGAAACTAAAGTGCCGTGATTTTAAGTAGCTTCTCCAAGGTCATTCAGCTGCTGGTGAAGGCTGGATTCAAACTGGGGATGTCTGACATTAGAGTCAATGTTCTTACCCCTTATGTACAACAATAACAAATACTTATTTGGAGTTTGTAGCAATGACATTTTAAGTGCTCAGTGTATGTTAACTTATTTAATCATTGCAATAATCCTATGAGATATATAGTTTTAGTATCATCCCATTTTATAAGTGAGAAAACAGAGGCATAGGAAGATTTAGTAACTTAGGATTATACTGCTAATAAGTGGCAGAGCTGAGATTCAGACACGGGCAGTCTGGCTGCAGTCTCTGTCTTCACCATTACATAATACTGCCTCTCAAATTATATTGACTTATCAAAGACACAGCAAGTGTCAAACATCGGTTCATGTGTATGTTGTCATACTATCAGTCACAAATTAACATTCACCTAGGTTTGATATCTATGTCCAAAATAACAAAACATTAATCTTTGAATGGATGTTTTGCTAATAAATAATATCTTCATAAAGTTTTTTTGAATTTCTAAAATGTAAAAACATAATTTATAGGCATAATAGAAATAACCTACAAACAATAATGTTGATAAATATCATTAAACAAAAATACATGTATTCTCAGTTTGTATTCTGTGGCAAAAATGAATCACTGTTGTAGATAAGATCAGCTCAGGGAAATAAAAATTCAATTTCCATTAATTTATGCACACAGATTATTTCTTCCATGGCTGCAATCTGAATTATTAAAGTTAAAACTTAAACTTTAATGTTAAACCACTCAAGGACTTCATAAATATGCTGCGGAGACAAGGCTTATTCAATGTTAGTTCCACGGGAAGGAAAAAAGGGTCCATTTTTATCCAAGTCCAGAGACAGGATGGCCATACTCAAGTAAGCTTACTGGCAGCAAAGCCAAAGAATCCTCTCCCCAAACATCACATTTTAAAAACTGTTCAGCAAATTATACAGTCCTTCAATTGTAATGGAAAGTGGCTCACACCTGTAATCCTAGCACTTTGGGAGGCCGAATTGGGTGGATCACATGAGTCCAGGAATTTGAGACCAGCCTGGGCAACATGGCAAGACCCAGTCTCTACTAAAAATACAAAAAAAAAAAAAAATAGCTGGGCATAGTGGCGCATGCCTGTAGTCTCAGCTACTCGGAAGGCTAACGTGGGAGGATTGCTTGAGCCTGGGAAGCAAAGGTTGCAGTGAGCCAAGGTTGTGCCACTGCACTCCAGCCTGGGCAACAGAGTGAGACCCTGTCTCAAAAAATTTCTTTTTTAGTTTTTGAAAAAATTTTAAAATGTTAGTGTGCCAGGTATAAGACTTTAAATCCTTTATCCAATCATTTTTTTACTGCGGTAATGATAATTTCCTACTAACCTTTCACCTCTTGTCTTTGGTGTATGTTTACTATATCCATTTGTTATCCACACAGGATATGCTTTTCCAAAGCAAGGATTGCTACTGACTCAAACTGAATTTATGGAAAGGTCATTCCAGGAAGTAACTTGACATCAGAGAACTCACTGAATACAAGAATGACATTTTCATTCAAAGAGCTGGATGACTTTTTGGATGTCCAGTTTATACGAGCATCCACAGAATTTTTCAGGCATAAAGCACCCTTGTCTTATTTTTAATAGCATCTGAACATTTGTGCTAATGGAAGCATTGATCACTTATTCTGGAATGAGTTGTGGAAAGGACAATCTGAATAGAAAAGAATTCTGTGACATCATTGCAGCTTTAGCGAAGAAAATAATCCAGCCTATAAAGCAGGAATTCAGTATAATCACTACATAAGGCAAGTAAACAAAAAATATTTCAAAGGTTTTGAAACTTTAAGCCCAAAAATAAAATGATCACCCTCAAAGAATTCTTCTTAGTGTTTCACAAAATAAACAGCCCATGAACATTCAGCAAGATCAAAGCAAATTGCTAAATTTGGGGACATGATAATCAGCAAAATATTTTTAAAAGTAACTCCGTGACCGGGAACTCATGCCTGTAATCCCAGCAGTTTGGGAGGTCGAGGTGGGCAGATCACTTGAGGCCAGGAGTTTGAGATCAGCCTGGCCAACATGGTGAAACCCCTTCTCTACTAATAATACAAATATTAGCTGGGCATGGTGGTGCGTGCCTGTAATCGCAGCTACTCACTCAGGAGGCTGAGGTAGGAGAACCGCTTGAACCGGGGAGGCAGAGGTTGCAGTGAGCCAAGATTGTGCCACTGCACTCCAGCCTGGGTTACAGAGTGAGATTCTGTCTCAAAAAATAAATAAATAGATAGATAAAAGTAACTCCCTGGAAATTGGCACCATGGCAATAACCAACAGCCAGAAGTGCTTCAAGAAAAAAAAAAGAACTTCAAATTATTGTTATGGACTGAATGTTTCTGTCCCCTCCAAAATTCATACATCAAAGCCCCAACTCCTAATGTGATGGTATTTGTGAGAGGGAGATTTTGGGTGACAATTAGGGTTAGATGGGTGTTGCGGGAAGTCAGGGACCCCAAACAGAGGGACTGGCTGAAGCCATGGCAGAAGAACGTGGATTGTGAAGATTTCATGGACATGTATTAGTTCCCCAAATTGATACTTTTATTATTTCTTATGCCTGTCTTTACTGCAATCTCTAAGCATAAATTGTAAAGATTTCATGGACACTTATCACTTCCCCAGTCAATACCCTTGTGATTTCCTATGCCTGTCTTTACTTTAATCTCTTAATCCTGTCAGCTGAGGAAGATGTATGTCTCCTCAGGACCATGTGATAATTGCATTAACTGCATAAATTGTACAGCATGTGTGTTTGAGCAATATGAAATCTGGGCACCTTGAAAAAAGAACAGGATAACAGCGATTGTTCAGGGAATAAGAGAGATAACCTTAAACTCTGACCGCTGGTGAGCCGGGCGGAACAGAGCCATATTTCTCTTCTTTCAAAAGCAAATGGGAGAAATATCGCTGAATTCTTTTTCTCAGCAAGGAACATCCCTGGGAAAGAGAATATACGCCTGGGGGTGGGTCTCTGAACTGGCCCCCCTGGGCATGCCCATCTCTTATTGTCGAGACTGCAGGGGTGAAATAGACCCGTCTCCCATAGCGCTCCCAGGCTTATTAGGAAGAGGAAATTCCCGCCTAATAAGTTTTGGTCAGACCGGTTGATCTCAAAACCCTGTCTCCTGATAAGATGTTATCAATGACAATGGTGCCCGAAACTTCATTAGCAATTTTAATTTCGCCTCGGTCCTGTGGTCCTGTGATCTCGCCCTGCCTCCATTTGCCTTGTGATATTCTATTACCTTGTAAAGTACTTGATGTCTGTGACCCACACCTATTCACACACTCCCTCCCTTTGAAAATCCCTAATAAAAACTTGCTGGTTTTTGCAGCTTGTGGGGCAGCACGGAACCTACCGACATGTGATGTCTCCCCTGGATGCCCAGCTTTTAAATTTCTCTCTTTTGTACTCTATGCCTTTATTTCTCAAGCTGGCTGATGCTTAAGGAAAATAGAAAAGAACCTACGTGAATATCGGGACAGATTCCCCGATAGATGGGGCCATGAGGGAGGGGCCCTATTTTGATGAGATTAGTGCCCTTATAAAATGAGGCACCGGAGAGCTGGCTCTCTCCACCATGTGAGGACACAGTAAAAAGGAGGCTGTCTACAAACCAGGAAGAGAGCCCTCACCAGGAATCCAATTGGCTGGCACCCTTATCTTAGACTTCCAGCCTCCAGAACTGTGAGAAAATATGTTTCCGTGTTTAAACCACCCAGTCTATGGTACTTGATGTGGCAGCCCAAACTGACTAATACAATTGTTAAAAACTACCTTCCAGATTTCAGTAGACACAAAATGAACCAGCAACATCTCAGAGATTGTGACCCTTTGTGTGTACAAAAGATGAGCCCGCTTTTTTTCTAAATCAGTGTGGAAACTAAAAGTAAAAGTAAGTTATATCCTAAAATGCCAAAGTTTGTCATAATCCAGTAATCACTGCCCTCTAAAATACGCCATTAAAAGTAGCTCCTTAGTAACTCAGTAAAGTTCAAGTAATTAATCACAACAACAAAATGCCAAAATCCTGTGTGCCTATAGCTCTAAGGTATATTTCAGCTCTGAAATGCTATAATTTTATGTATTTGATATTTAATTTTAGTAATTATAAGAATGGATTTTCTTTGCCCAATGTGTATGACATTTGAACATTTTCATGGAGATTAGGTGTACAAACTAAGAATAGTACTTTTCCCTTATTTTGTGTATAGGATCATTTTAAGCAACAGGATAGCTTTACCATTATTCTGAAATACTGGAATATTTCTTATGCTGGAACTTCCTTCTTAAGACACTCATTATAAAGACATCATGCTGGGTATGGTGGCTCATGCCTGTAATCCCAGCACTTTGGGAGGCCATGGCAGGCGGATCACCTGAGGTCAGGAGAACAAGACCAGCCTGGCCAACATGGTGAAATTCCATCCCTACTAAAAATACAAAAATTAGCTGGCATGGTGGTGCATGCCTTTAGTCCCAGCTACTCAGGAGGCTGAGGTGAGAGAATTGCTTGAACCCGGGAGGCAGAGGTTGCAGTGAGCCGAGATCATGCCATTGTCCAGACTGGGTGACACAGTAAGACTCCTATCTCAATTTAAAAATTAAAAAAAAAAAAAAAAGGGCCGGGCAAGGTGGCTAATGCCTGTAATCCCAGCACTTTGAGAGGCCGAGGCAGGCAGATCACGAGGTCAGGAGATCAAGACCATCCTGGCCAACAAGATGAAACTCCGTCTCTACTAAAAATACAAAAAATTAGCTGGGCGTGGTGGTGCGTGCCTGTAATGCCAGCTACTCAGGAGGCTGAGGCAGGAGAATCGCTTGAACCAGGGAGTCAGAGGTTGCAGTGAGCTGAGATCACGCCACAGCACTCCAGCCTGACAGAGCGATACTCCGTCTCAAAAAAAAAAAAAAGACATCATATCAATGTCTCTTGAGCACATGAAAGAATCATTGTCATCAGGCTGTCCCCTTGATTGGTCTTATGCACCATCCTTAGTTATATAGTTACATGGCAGCACTGAGGCTACAGAGAATGGAGTGTTTCCCACTGCCACAGCAGAACTGCCAAGCAAGGAGTCCCTCTTAGCAGCAGAACAGGGCCATGACCAGTGACATACAAAGAATACATCTGCAGGTATGCCTGACTTCATTCAGATAGTATGTTTCTTATATTCCAGATTACCTGAAGTTAAAGACCAATTTTTTTTTTTTTTTTTTGAGACGAAGTCTCCCTCTGTCGCCCAGGCTAGAGTGCAGTGGCACGATCTTGGCTCACTGCAACGTCTGCCTCCTGGATTCAAGCAATTCTCTTGCCTCAGCCTCCCAAGTAGCTGGGATTACAGTTGCATGCCACCACACCCAGCTAATTTTTGTGTTTTTAGTAGAGACTAGTTTTACCATGTTGGCCAGGCTGGTCTTGAACTCCTGATCTCAGGTGATCCGCCCACCTTGGCCTCCCAAAGTGCTGGAATTACAAGTGTGAGCCACTGCGCCCGGCCAGATAAATCAAATCTTAACATTAACTTATTTCTAATAAGTAAATGCAATTTACCTCGGATATTGTGGGTTTTCAATACAATTTAAAAGAACATTAGAGAAACTTATTTTTCTTCTCCATTTTTGTTTTTAATGTGTCTTACATATATCAAAGTCCTGTTAAGTATGATTGACTGAGTTGTTACTTTGGGAGACTGAGGCAGGCAGATCACCTGAGGTCAGGAGTTTGAGGCCAGGCTGGCCAACATGGCGAAACCCTGTCTATACTAAAAATACAAAAATTAGCTGGGTGTGGTGGCACATGCCTGTAGTCCCTCCTACTCCGGAGACTAAAGCAGAAAAGTTGCTTGAGCCTGGGAGGTGGAGGTTGCAGTGAGCTGAGATCCTGTCACTGCACTTCAGCCTGGGTGACAGAGTGAGACTCTGTCTTAAATAAATAAATACATACATATATACATACATATATACATGAAAGTATGATTGACTGAGTTGTTAAAAAAAAATGAATCTTGGGATAGAGCCCAGCAAAATTAAGACAATGAACACCAAACACCTTGTACCTCTGACTCAAGCCTTAGAAGCCTCCCCAAAGTTCATTTCTCCCTCCAGGCAAAGCCAGGATCCATTCCAGTATCTGTCTGTTGAGAATTTCTCCCATCCAGCTTTCACTCTTACAAGCTAACTCTTGCCAATCCTTCAATAAAATCAGTGATCTCTAAATGCAGAACACCATGCTAAGTACCTGGAGGTTACAGGTATGAGGAGAGGGAAGAGTTTCCAAACAAATAGGGATCGTGGTTTCAACTGTAGGGGAATCTATAATTTAGTCTAGAAGATAGAGTATATAAGTGTAAAAATTATTCAAGCACATTTACAAAATAACAAAAGCTTAAGTCATATTATATAACTCAAATGTATAAAGCGGGTATGAATTAATATGCAAAGGGCTTCCACCCCCAATGAATGAGTGAATAAATCAGCCATGAATTAGAATTTTAAAGGTTGCAAGGATTGTGGGCTAGCATAAAGGAAAGGAAAGAGTGTTGCAAGTAAAAATATATGCTGATAAAATATTTCAGAATGTATGGAAAAATTCATACCTGCTTGAAGATATGTGGTTGCTTATCTATTCAGTAAACTCCTATTGACTATATACTATTTTCCCTGTATTCATTCATTCATTCATTCAACAAATACTTATTTACTGCCTGTTTTGTGTCAGAAGCTGGAAATATAGCAGTGAATAGGCAAGACAGGGCTATGCTATGCCCTGAACACACTTGAAATTTAATGAGGAGGACAAAAATTTAAATAAACAATTAAAATAAAGTAAGATGGCATATGATATAAGAAATACAGCCACTACTGGAAATTATTGAAAGGAATACTAAATGCTAAACAACTGGTAATTATTTAAGCATGGAAATAATATGATCATATTTGTAAATTTTAAAAAAACATTTATCTTATTGCAAAAAAAAATGAATCACAAAGAAGTAATAGAAGAGAGCTATTTAGACAGCTGGTCAGCAAAAGAAACAATTATCAGATTAAACAGACAACTCACAGAATGAGAGAAAATATTTGCAAACTGTGCATCCAACAAAGGACTAATATCCAGAATCTACAAGGAACTCAAACAAATCGGCAAGAAAAAAACAAATAATCCCATCAAAAATTGGGCAAATGACATGCATAGACACTTCTCAAAAGAAGATGTATAAATGGTCAACAAACATATGAAAAAGTTATTAACATCGCTAATCACAGAAATGCATATTAAAACCACAATGAGATACCACCTTACCCCAGCCAGAATGATCATTATTAAAAAGCTAAAAAACTGGTCAGGCACAGTGGCTCACGCCTGTAATCCCAGCACTTTGGGAGGCCAAGGCGGGCGGATCACCTGAGGTCAGGAGTTTGAGATCAGCCTGGCCAAAATGGTGAAACCCCGTCTCTGCTAAAAATACAAAAATTAGCTAGGCATGGTGGCGCACACCTGTAATCTCAGCTACTCGGGAGGCTGAGGCAGGAGAATCGCTTGAACCCAGAAGATGGAGGTTGCAGTGCACTGAGATCTCACCATTGCACTCCAGTCTGGGCTACAGAGTGACATTCCATCTCAACAACAAAAACAAAGTTTTCTTTCTTTTTTTTTTTTTTGAGACAGAGTCTTGCTCTGTTGCCCAGGCTGGAGTGCAGTGGCACAATCTCGGCTCACTGCAAGCTCCACCTCCCGGGTTCACGCCATTCTCCTGCCTCAGCCTCCCAAGTAGCTGGGACTACAGGTGCCCACCACCACGCCCAGCTAATTTTTTGTATTTTTAGTAGAGACGGGGTTTCACCGTGTTAGCCAGGATGGTCTCGATCTCCTGACCTCGTGATCTGCCCGCCTCGGCCTCCCAAAGTGCTAGGATTACAGGAGTGTGCCACCGCACCCAGCAGAAAAAAAAAAAGTTAAAAAACAATAAATGTTGACATGGGTGTGATGAAAAGGGAATGCTTATACACTGCTAGTGGGAATGTAAATTAGTACAACCTCCATGGAAAACAGTATGGAGATTTCTTAAAGAACTAAAAGTAGACCTACCATTCAATCCAGCAATTCCAATCCTGGGTATCTACCCAAAGGAAAAGAAGTCACATCGAAAAGACACTGCACACATATGTTTATCGCAGCACAATTCACAATTGCAAAGATATGGAACCAACCTAAGTGCCCATCAACCAATGAATGAATAAAGAAAATGTGGTCTGTATACACCATGGAATACTACTCAGCCATAAAAAGGAACACAATTACGTCTTTTGCAATGAATTGGGTGGAGCGGGAGGCCATTATTCTAAGTGAAGTAACTCAGGAGTGGAAAACCAAATACTGCATGTTCCCACTTATAAATAGGAGCTAAGCTATGGGTACCCAAAGGCATACTGGGTGGTATAATGGACTTTGAAGACTCAGAAAGGGAATGAGTGGGAGTGGAAAGAGGGATTTAAGAAAAAACTACATATTGGGTTTAATGTACACTACTCGGGTGACAGGTGCACTAAAATCTCAGACTTCACCCCTATACAATTCATCTGTGTCACCAAAAACCACTTATACCCCAAAAGCTATTGAAGTTAATATACATATATATTTACCTAATAATGTTACATATGTGTGTATAAAAAGAAAGCTTATATATGTGCATGTGTGTGTGTGTGTATATACATATATGTCTCTATATGTGTGTGTGTGTGTGTGTGTGTATATATATATATATAAATATAAAGAAAGCTGGTGGCTACCACTCCAGTAAGAGGTAGAAAGTGATGAATGAGAGAATGGAGAAACATGGCAAACTTAAGATATACTTGGGAGGTAGAATAAGAACCTCCAAGGTATTTTCTGGCTTTAGAAGCTTGAAAAGACGTAAGAAATATACTTCTATATTCTGGATTGAGTGACTGGGTTAGTGATGATGCCATTTACTGAGATTAGAAGCACTGGAAGGAGAACAGGTTTGGAAATTAAGTTTGAAGATGCAGAGTCCAGTTTTCAAGTTCAATTTTCTTTATAATACTGTGTTAGATGCTAAATAAGGTGTAGTGCCTGACCTTGGGGTTAACAATACAGAATAATATCCATTATTATAGTTTTGTAAAACAAAAGGCTAAATAGAGATATGTAGGATGTTGAGTTAGGCTGGTTAGGGGAGTTTACACTGCGGTAGTGAATAAACCCCAAAGTTCAGTGACTTAACCAACAAAAGTTTATTTCTTGCTTACATGAAGCCTAATGCAGGATCAGAGGACTTCCCAGAGCAGCTCCCTACATGTGGTCTGTTTAGGCCATTTCCATCTTGTGGTTTTACCATCCCATCACAAGACCTTTACACTTGCCAAGAGAAGAGAGAGTTGGAGGGTCATGCACCAACTCTTAGGTGTTTTGGATCAGAAGTGGCGCATCTCACTTCCACTCACAGCCCTTTGACCAGAAGAAGTCACATGGCCTTACCGCACTGGAAAGGAGCTGGCAAATGTGCAGCATCAAAAGACTCTATTCAATGAGGAGCAAGAATCTCTGCCACAAATATGAAATGGGAGTAGTTAATTATTTGAGGAGTCAAGACATCTTTCAGAGAGAGAGGCCACATTTGTGCTGGGAGTAAAGGAAGCCTTAGGATTGGTCATGTAATGAAGGCAGAGGAAGGACTGCAAGTTAAAGGAACATCACATACAAAAACACTGAAATATGTAAGAGCTGGATATGCTGGAGATGTCTGGGGAATGGTGAGAAGAAACTGACAGAGTAGAGGTTTTCAGGGAAGTAGAAGAAAATAGGTGATTATACAGATTGGGGAGAGCGCAGATATGCTAAAGAGGTTGTATTCTGATCTGTAGATGAGGGTGAGCCATTGGTGGTTTTTAGGCAAATAAATAACTTTATCAGGGGCAGTAAAACCATCTAGGAGATGGTCATATAGTCCAGAGAGGTGAGAGGCTCAACCTTTAGAAGAGGCCATGGAGGTTATAACAGATGTGTTATACATGTAGATATAGTAGATATATAAGTAGATATAATAAATATATCTACTTAGATGACAGAATGGGCGAATGAGTAAAACTAAAACCAGTAGCAAAAGAGGGTGAGGGAGAAGGAGCTGTGGAGAATAAATTTGAGGTTTCTAGCTTGGTCAGTTCAATGGATGGTGAAGCCATTAACAAAGGTAGGGAAAAAAGTCACGGGAACAGACTGAAGAGTAAAAATAACTCTTTCTGCAGCTAGAAATTCAAGCCTTTTGGATCATCCTTTGTTGAAGTTTGTTTACCAAGAACGAATCTATAACTATGTTGTAATAATATTTTTCTTAAAAAAAAATCCTTGCCTACAGAAACACTGGAAGAGTAGACTTTGTTATTAGCTAAAAGCACCTCCCTTCTTTGAGTCTTAGCCCAGTTTCTCTTGCCTACTGGATCCGATGTGCTCGGAGCATGGAAGCATCTGGAGCTGCCACATTTCCTCATTCAAGCCAAAACAAGTTAACTCATCTGTGGCTTATCTAATATCCGCCCTGTAGATCTCATGGGAGGATATAGCCCTTATTACTAAAATAATGTGTAGAAAACAAAAATAGCATAAATAGAAGTTTCTGAACATAATCTTTAGAGTTGACTTTCAAAATAACTTACTTACATAAAGTTAACATAAATTAATGTTTTGTGTTTAAGTGTTGCTTGGTTTTGACAAAGTATCTTTGCTGTATTTTTTGATATTCTTATGTGCATTAATTTAACTTTGAGGAAATCTTTTTCCTTTCTTTTTTTTTGTAAAAAAAAAAACAAAAAACTCCTAGATTCTCTTTTTTCCCCTACTGACTAACTCGTAGTAAGCCACTTGACCTTTTGACAATTAAGCCGTTGATTGTGAAACATGGATAATAATGTTTAACTCTCTTACCAGAGTAGTTTTGGGACTTACTCAATCAAAAGCTCTAAAATACTATAGTGCCCCTAGGTGCAATGTATTCATAGATACTAATTATGAATAATTACTGTCATTTCTTTGAATATAATAATTTATTGAGTCTTTATATTGAGTGGTCCTCTATTATATGCTACGGGCTAAAGATAAAAAGAGAAATAATATATAGTTCCTATCTTTAAGAAATTCTCCATTTTAGTAGAAAAGAGAAGCAGTAAGATCAAAAGGTGAAAATACAGAAGCACGATTCCACAATGAATTGTCAAGTGAATCACTAGAGAAAAAAAAAGTGAAAGAGAGAAAGAAAAAAATAAACAGAAAGCTTACCTGAGCTAGCTGTTCTAAAAAACTTCAAGACTCTTGGTTGACTCTTTTCACAACTGGTTAAGTTTTAGTAATTTCCTCAGCATTCCCTTGATGGCAAGTTGTTTGAGGCAAGGCATGTTTTTCAACTTAATATCTTATTTATCACAAGGAAGTAGTTAAGAGAGTTGGTCTTGGATCCAGACTACCTGTATTTAATTACTGGTGTGTGACCTTGAGCAAGCTTCTTAGTCACTATTAATGCCTCCATTCTTTCATTTGTAAAATGGGAATACAGGTAATAACAGCAACACCTCATAGAGTGATTGAGGACTAACCAAGTTGTACATGCAAAGTACTTAAAAGTGATTGGCATTTATTTAGCATTCAGTGTTAGCTATTATTATATATTATTATCTGCCACACCTCTTAGCACAGTGGTTTTTTTGTTTGTTTTGTTTTTGTTTTTGTTTTTCTTGAGACACCGTCTGGCTCACTGCAGCCTTGACTTCCTGGACTGAAGCAATGTTTCCCCACCTAAGCCCCCCAAGTAGCTAGGACCACAGGGTGCATCACCACACTTAGTTCATTTTTAAAATTTTGTGTAGAGACAGGTCTCACTGTGTTGCCCAGGCTGGTCTTGATCTCCTGGGCTCAAGCCATCCTCCTGCTTCAGCCTCCCAAAGTGCTGGGATTAGATGTTCCACCTCATCTGCTTCTGTGAGCCACGGTGAGCCACCATGCCCAGCCCTCAGCACAATGTTCTTCACATCGTAGATACATTCTCTTTGAATTACATTAGAAGGCACTTAGGCATAACCCAGAATTAGATATCAGATCTACTCAAATGTCACTGTTACTGACAAAGACAGACATAAAGTCTGGAAAGATTTCATCTCAGGGAGAAATGAGGAAAGAGATAAAAATTACGTGTGGACTATGGAAACAATTCTGCAGAACAAGAAGAAAGGAACAGTATTTTTTTTTTTTTTTTGAGATGGAGTCTTGCTTTATCACCAGGCTGGTGTGCAGTGTCGTGATCTCGGCTCACTGCAACCTCCACCTCTCAGGTTCAAGAGATCCTCCTGCCTCAACCTCTCAAGTTGCTGGGACTATAGGTGCATGCCACTACGCCCAGCTAATTTTTGTATTTTTAGTAGAGACAGGGTTTCACCATGTTGGCCAGGATGGTCTCAATCTCCTGACCTTGTGACCCGCCTGCCTCGGCCTTCGAAAGTGCTGAGATTACAGGCGTGAGCCACCATGCCCGGCCAGGAACAGTATTTTTAAAAGCCATTTGAGCAGGGACATTGCCAGGCTTATTGCCTCCCACACCAAGCTAATGTCCAGCACATAGTAGATTCTGGACATTAGCTAAACATTTGTGGACTGACAATCCAAAAGAAGAGAGTGAGATGAAACATACTTCAGAAAATCATCTAGAGCATTATTCAGAAGAAAATTTCTTTCTTTTTTTTGCCTTCTCCATAAAATTCCAGAAGACATATTCTCTATGAAATAGTATCAGCAAACAATAATGAAAAAAGGATGAGACATTGGTAGTCCAAGCACCTAGTGACAAAACACTTAAATTACCACCTGTGATTACTTTGAAGGAAGTGTCCATTGAAGGCAAGGCTCTAGGAGACATCATGTCTGCTGCAATATATCTTAAGTGAGGGCAAAAGCAGTCAAAAACTGTCAGGTGGGCTGGCTTTTTCTAAGTGCTAATTTTATCGTCCAAACCCTGGTGAATATGTGTGGCAATGGATTCTAAGGGTGTTAGATCAGGAGGCGGGCACATAATTTTAGACTAGGCTGAATTTCTCAATTGGCATGTGTCTATGAGAAATTCTGGAATCAGTGAGCTAACTCAAGCAGCTGAGAATAGTTATAATTGTTGGCTAGGATTTAACAGTGTCTTAAGCTGAGTTAAGTGGAGATAAGAGAAATTCCTTGGTATTATATGAAACAGTGATTCTCAACCCTGTGGACCTAACGCCCCCTTTTTGATAATTTTTTACAACACAACTTTTATTATTCTCAAATGAAATTCATAGTTAATATGACCTACCTATACCTTTGTTTAAATCAACATTAATATTCTAATTATAACATAGAGAAGAAATAAAAGGAAAGTATTAGTATTTCTACATATGAATTCTTAGGCACAACTCTACTAGAAGACACAGCAAAGTAGCCATGTGTTTGCATATATATGTGGAATCACTATGACTACAACAACTCCATATGCAGACTTATACAGATCTGTTGTTTTGAAGATAAAATTTTGCAGGCAGTATTGCAGTCAGTGATGCGATTTTTCCAAAATGATGAAACAACTCTTGATAAAGTTTTAAACAAAACATAGTAATAGCTGTATGCACATAATTCTTGCATTACAGAAAATTTAGTGTATATTAAAACCTTCCAAAAATGCTTTTCTGTTATATAGTAAATGGTGTTAAGTTCTAGGTTCAGATCATTATACAGATTTTTCACACAGAGTCATATCTGGGAGAACATTGAATCTTACGCAGGATGCAGGATAATTCTTTGTTGAGTCTGTCCCTTGAATTGGTATATGGAGTCTGATTTAAGACACCCCAATGGTCATGACCCCTCACCATAATACTGTTTCAAATCTAGAGCTCCTATCTTTTCCCAAAAAGAGCCTGTGTTACTTACTGAGAAAACTGTGCACTGGGGGAGGAGAAATAACTTTCAGGGATTAGTGGACACTGGCAGCTCTGGGCTGCTACGAATCTCTGAGATCCCAAAACATTATTATTACTAGTGGAATTTAACTTATAGGGGTCAGGTCATAAATAGAGTTGATCTTAAGTCCATCTCACAAGGGGTCTTGACACTTAAAAACCCACCTATGTTTACTCCCCTGATTCCAGAGTATAGAATTGGGATAGTATACTCAGCAGCTGGTAGAATTCTAGCATTAACACCCTAATTCAAGTAGTAACTGTTATTATGGTAGAAAGCGTCAAGTAGAAGGTCCCTCACAATCAAAACAGCAAATCAAAAGCAATGCTGCATTCCTGGAAGAATCATAGAAACTGGTGCTTGAAAGAGTTTAAAATACTTGAAATAAATGAAAGTAGTAATCCCCATCTTATCTACATTGAACTTGACATTGACTTTTGCTAAAGACAAATAGGTCTTGGCATTACAAGCTCTAGGAGACATCAGGAAGAGTTGACAATTGTAGCTATGATCTCTTCACTGGATCAAATCAACAAAATATCACATATTTTATATAGTTATTGATCTTATAAATGCACTTTTTCTCTACCTATAAGCTGAGAATACTAGAAATAGCCTACTTTCACTAACGAGGACAGCAGTACACTTTCACTATCTTGGTGGGCAGGTGTCATGTGTGCCAAAGAGTGGTAGATACATCTCATAAAAGTGCACAGTCCTGTCACCTCAGTAAAGTTTCTGGGATCCTAATTATTTGAGTCACATCAGGATATTCCCTCCAAAAGGAAAGATATCTTGATGCACCTTGCAAATCTACTTTGAGAAATACACAACACTTGGTGGGATTGTTTTCATTTGGAGTTAATGTGTGCCATCATTGGGTGTACTGCTCTGGCCTCTTTACCAAGTAACTGATAATGCCATTCATGTTGAGTAAGGCTTAGAGTAAGAGAAGCTGTCAGCTGGTCCCGGCTGCAATGAAAGTACCTGGTCCTTGAGTCCCAGAGGATACAATGGTGATTAAGGTATTCATGGTGAATTTAGAATGCTGTGTAGAAATCTGGGGCAGCTCTAAACAAGACAATCACATCAAAGCCCCTTTGGATTTTATCACAAAGACATTCTCTCCTCAATCTTCACCTGATAAAGACTATTCACATGGCCATAGGACACTAAATGATTAATCAGCCTGATTACTCATCACAAACAGGGTGCTTCTTCTCTAATCCACTATAGGGTAAAGTTGGGCATGACCTGTGCTTCATCATCCAGTGAAAGCAAAAACTGAGTTTCATCTGAAGTAGACCCTTAAAGCACAGTGGCTCACTCTTCCAATGCATCAGTTCATGCTGTACACTGGCTCCCTTCCCTTAATCCATGTATATGACTTCATGATTCAGTATCATTGGTTAATTGAGGAGGAAAAATTCAAGCCTGATTTACAGATGATTTTGGAATATATACTGGTGCTGGCAAGAAGTAGGCTGCTATGGAATTAGACCTCTGCCCGGAAGTGGCCCTGAAAGACAGTTCCCTTCCTGGTAAGAGGAACTTCAAGCAGCAATGTGGTTACCTGCCTGGAATGATGGAAGACCAAAGGCAAAAATAAACAATGATTTATGAGGCAGGCACGGTAGCTCACACCTGTAATCCCATCACTCTGGGAGGCTGAGGCAGGTGGATAGCTTGAGCCCAGGAATTTAAGACCAGCCTGGGCAACATGGTGAAACTGCTTCTCTACAAATAATACAAAAATTAGCTAGGCATGTTGGTGCACACCCATAGTCCCAGCTACTTGGGAGGCTAAGGTAGGAGGATCACTTGAGCCTGGGAAGTGGAGGTTGCAGGGAGCTGAGATCATGCCACTGCACTCTGGCCTAGGTGACAGAGCAAGACTCTGTGTCACAAAACAAATAGGCTGGGAGTGGTGGCTCACACCTGTAATCCCAGCACTTTGGGAGGCCAAGGTGGGTGGATCACCTGAGGTCAGGAGTTTGAGACCCACCTGACCAACATAGTGAAACCCTGTCTCTACTAAAAATACAAAATTAGCTGGATATGGTGGCACATGCCTGTAATCTTAGCTACTAGGGAGGCTGAGGCAGGAGAATCACTTGAGCCTAGGAGGCGGAGGTTGCAGTGAGCCGAGATCATGCCATTGCACTCCAGCTTGGGCAACAAGAGCGAAACTCCATCTCAAAACAAACAAACACACAATCCCCCCAAAAAACAACAACAACAACAGAACAACACCTAATGATTTATGGGCACTATCCAATGGTCAGGGACTTGGGAATAATGCTCATTGGAAGAATTAGTAACAAGGAGATTTGGGTAAACTATATATATGAGCTTCTCAGACTAAATTCAGAATGTGAGGTCATTATGTCCCATTTGAATGAGCTCCTAACTCTCTACCCTACCTTATAGAGAAATAATTAGGTGAAAAAGTGGACTTGCATAATGAATGTCAGTCAACTTTTTTCTCCAGCCTTCTAATGTTTAATGGGCACAAGTACAAATAAGCTATGATGGTAATAATGGAGATTATGTATGAGCTCAGCAAAATGGACTTCCCCTTATCAAAGTCGATTTCAGGATTGCTACTGCAAAGTACTTGTACAAAATAGGTTACAAATTAGTCTGGAAATACAGTGGCTTAAACAAAGCAAAAGTAATAGGAATGAAGTGTGATTCTCTCTCATATAAAAATGCCAGTAGGATAAGGAACTTAAATCAACAAGCAAAAAATAAATAACCCAATTAAAAAGTGGACAAAAGACATGAATAGATACTTCTCAAAAGAAGACATACAAGCACCCAACAAACCTATTAAAAATGCTGAACATCACTAACCATCAGAGAAATGCACGTCAAAACCACAATGAGATACCATCTCACACCAGTCAGAATGACTATTATGAAAAAGTAAAAAAATAACAGTTGCTGGTGAGGCTGCAGAGAAAAGGGAAGGCTCATACACTGTTGGTGGGAATGTAAATTACTTCAGCCACTATGGGAAGTGTTTGGAGATTTCTGAAAGAACTTAGAACTACCATTTGACCCAACAATCCTGTTACTGGGTGTATACTCAAAGGAAAATAAATCATTCTACCAAAAAAGACACATGCACTTATGTATTCATTGCAGCACTAGTCACAGTAGCAAAGACATGGAATCAACCTAGGTGCCCATCAACAGTGGACTGGATAAATAAAATGTGGTACATACATACCATGGAATACCATGCAGCCGTAAAGAAGAATAAAATCGTGGATGCAGCTGGAGGCCATTATCCTAAGTGAATTAATACAGGAACAGAAAACCAAATACTGCGTGTATTTACAAGTGGGAGCTAAACATTGGCTATACGTGGACATAGGAATGGGAAGAATAGACAATGGGGACCGCTAGAGGTGGGGCAGGGGCTGAAAAACTACCTATGGAACTATGTTCATTACCTGGTTGATGGGATCATTCATACCCCAAACCTCACCAACAGGCAATCAAACAATGTAACAAACCTGCACATGTATCCCCTAAATCTAAAATAAAAGTTGAAATTATTCTAAAAATTAAAATTAAATTAAAATCCCAGTAGGTAATCCAGGCTTTAGAGTTTTGGGGATCCTGATTCTTTCCGGCTTGCTTTTCTGTCATTTTCAAAATGCAATTTTCGTTTTGTGGTTGATGGCAGCTACTGTAGCTCCCACAATCAAGTCCACAGTTTAGCTGGCTAAAATCAAGAAAATAGGACGGGAGCCCACTACTTCCCCTTAAGGGCATGAACTGGAGATTACACATCCTGTTTCCTAGAATTTAATTTGTGAGGTCAAACTGCAAGTGAGGCTGGGAAACGTAGTTTTTATTTTGGGCAACCAAGTGGGCAGCTAAAAAACTCTACTATTGTATAACAGAGAAAGAATATTGTGAGAACAACCCATGCATCAATACTCAGTGACACACAAATCAGCACTAAGACCTTGAAATGTGGCACAGTCAGGGGCTAACAACATTTCCCATTATGGTGAAGGCAAAGGTAAGCATTTATTCTGAATATGGATTTCTCTTTACTACTTACCATGTTTCTGCCAGCAATACTACCTATGGGTTTACTGAATATCTTAATCCCCAACATAGTATTCCACACAACATTGCTTCTGTCCAAATAATTCATTTTACAGCAAAAGAAGCAAGAGTGACCTGATACTACTGAGATATACTTATCTCACCATGTATTCATTTTCCTAAAGCAGCTGAACTTACAGAATATAGAATGGACTGGTTAAGATTTGATTATCTCTGGCTGGTACAGTGGCTCACACCTGTAATCCCAACACTTTGGGAGGCCAAGGCTGGCAAATCACCTGAGGTCAGGAGTTTGAGACCAGCCTGGGCAACATGGTGAAACCCCGTCTCTACTAACAATACAAAAATTAGCCAGGCCTGTGGTGTGCGCCTGTAATCCCAGCTACTCGGGAGGCTGAGGCAGGAGAATCGCTTGAACCCAGGAGGCAGAGTTTGCAGTGAGCCGAGATCACACCGTTGCACTCCAGCCTGGGCAACAGAGCAAGACTGTCTCAAAAAAAAGAATCCATAGGGAGCCACAAAACAGGGGAACAGGGATCCACCGCAGGAAAATCATGCAGGAATGCCTTATTTTAACAGCTATACCTGAGGCCCACAGTGCAGTCAGTTGAGATGGGAGTAAAAGGATGGTGGATGCCATAATCTGAATGTTTGTATCCTTCAGAATTCATATGTTCAGCCTGGGCAACATGGTGAAACCCCGTCTCTGCCAAAAATGGAAAAATATTAGCTGGGCATGGTGGCATGTGCCTGTGGTCCCAGCTACAACAACAATATAAAACTTCTTTATCTTTGGAATTTATAAATTTTATTAGAATGTGTTCAAGTATACATATCTTTTTCAGTGCCTGACTGCATATCTATTTATAAACTTCTTTTTGTTGTTTATTTTTACTTCTCTTCCTTTTTTTGCCTTCTGCAACTCATGTTTTTAAATTACTTTCATCTATATTTTATGTGTTAACCTTTTTTCTTTTTTTCTTTTTTTTTTTTTGGGTTGGAGTCTCGCTCTGTCATCCAGGCTGGAGTGCAGTAATGCAATCTTGGCTCACTGCAACCTCCACCTCCCAGGTTCAAGTGATTCTCCTGCCTCAGCCTTCTGAGTAGCTGGGATTACAGGCGTGTGTCACCACACCCGGCTAATTTTTTTTTTTTTTTTTTTTTTTTTGGAGAGATGGGGTTTTGCCACTTTAGCCAGGCTGATTTCAAACTCCTGACCTCAGATGATCCCCCGCCTCGGCCCCCCAAATTGTTGGGATTATAGGCATGAGCCAGCACGCACGGCCTAATCTTTTCCTAATAATTTTCATCAGCCTGTTTGTTCTCCATTATGGGAAAACTGACCAAGACCTAATTTACACATTTAATTTTTCATAATTTGGTACTCATTCAGTTGCAGTCTATTTTAACTGGGTTTGTTTGTTATTTCTTGGGCCGGGCGTGGTGGCTCACGCCTGTAATCCTAACACTTTGGGAGGCCAAGGTGCGTGGATCACCTGAGGTCAGGAGTTCGAGACCAGCCTGACCTACATGGTGAAACCCCGTCTCTACTAAATATAAAAAAATTAGCCAGGAGTGGTGGTGCGTGTCTGTAATCCCAGCTACTTGGGAGACTGAGGCAGGAGAATTGCATGAACCCGGCAGGCGGAGGTTGCAGTGAGTCGTGATTGTGCCATTGCACTCCAGCCTGGGCAACAAGAGTGAAACTCCATCTCTAAATAAATAAATAAATAAATAAGAAATGTATTTCTTTCAAATTCTCAGATTGTTTCCTTTGAGCAGGAGTGGAGCCTGTGGTAGATTCTATCTCCCTGGAGTGAGTCTTCAAGCAGACTTCCTCCTTGTTGAGTGGTTTTGAGAGCAAGGCCAGGCATGTTTTCCTTGGGGCAGACCTGTGAAGAAGCTTCTTCCAAGGTGGGAGACTAACATTGTGGACCAGCCAGTTCTCATAGCAAGCAAAATGATATGAGTCAAAGCTATCCTCCTACCTCTCCCTACAGAAAATGGGGAAAGGTATACTGCTGACAGATAGGCCTTTCTTTCTTATGTTAGCTCAGTGAAGAGTCCTTGAGTCTTGAGATATCGAGGTGAGAGAGATCTTTATTTTCTAGAATAAGTCAAAACTTACCCATTTTATATTTGCCTAGGCTGTGTCTGTAGGGGGTTGGATAGGGAGGTGATCAAATGCCCATGCTTATGTTACCATCTTGGCTTCATCCGAGGAAGAATCTGCCCCATTACATGGTGTTAAGTAGAAAAGTGAAAAAGGAGGATGTGCAATTAGAAAAACAGTAACTATAATTTATTTTTACTTTTTTTATTGAAGTATTTTATATGCTATAAGGTACACAAAAGCTTAAATATATGGCCTGATTAATTTTTTACAAAGCGAGCACTCCTGTGTAACCACCATCCAGGTGAAAAGACTAAGAGTCCTGGCTGTCTTCTCTGTGGCTCTGGAAATCCAGCCATCAGACCAAAAGAATCTTGGGCTGGACTCCTGAATGATGACACTCCATGCAGGGGAAGAGGGTGGTACACATGGAGGAGCAGAGAGGAGCCAGACAGCGAGTGAAGACTTCTTGGAACTTCTAGCTCAGCATCTTGCTAAATGCAGCCGAGTGAGTGACCAAACCTTTGCTACACAGAGCACAAAAACTGCTCAGCTGAGTCCCACTTGAATACCTGACCTACAGAATTATAAGAGTTGTATTCTTTTTCTTTGTATCCATCATTTTATTCTGATACCATCTGAAACTCAGAGAAAAGTTGCAAATCCAGTACAAAGAAATTTTCTTTATATCATTTGAGAGTCAAGTTGCTAACTTGCCCCATAACTTGGAATAGATTATGAATTTATAACCACAGTACAACCATCAAAATCAGAAAATTAACACTTAAAATCTCCTTTACAGACAATGGAAGCAGCATAGAATCACCTGCTAAATTTACTTGTAACATCTCCTTAGACTCCTTCAGTACCAAACAATTCCTCAGTCTTTCTTGACCTCCAAGACCTTGATATTTTTGAGAATTACTGGCAAGTTATTTTGTAGAATGTTCTTCAATTTGGATTTGTCTGAGGGATCCTCATGAGTTCAGGTACTGAATCCTTGTCAGGAAGTAATGCTTTGTTCTTCCCGTCTCATCCTATCAGAGGGCAGAGAACTTAGATTTGTTCCATTTAACTCTGATTACTTGATTAACGTGATGTCTGCCAGGTTTCTCCACTTTACAGTTACTCTTTTTCCCTTTATAATTAATAAGTATTTTGTAAAGTGGTACTTTGAAACTATATAAAGTTTCACCAAAATTCAGTTTATTAATTTATGTTCCAAGCAGTGTTTATTTTCTTGTTAAAATAGTCCCCATTTGGGGCCAATGGAAACTTCCTTCAGATTGGCTTCTGTGTCCCTTTGACATACCTCCATCATTTTTTAAGTATTTTCTTTCTCAGTGGCACAAGAAAATGTTCCAGGGTGATCTTGTACCCTCCCTGTACCACCCTGGAATCAGCCATTTTTATAAGTAGTCCTGATGATTTTTTAGTGGAGAATAGTATTTAAGAGCCAACTTCTGGACACTTGGTGTACTCATTAGCACTGGGGAATTGCCATTCCAGGCCAGAATTAAGACATGCATGTATGTTATGTCTACATTTATTTTTATACATACTGAAATCCAGGGATTCATACTTATATCTCTAACTTCAATCCAACATAGAATGTTCATTCCACTTTTCTTCCTTCATGTATCTGTAACTCTCTTCTCTGACAATGAGGAACCTGGCACCCATCCATCATCATTAATATATTTTGTTGTTTGATTGATCTTCTGTTATGTAACCATCCTTTCACTGCCTCTGATGCATGTTTAGCTTGTTTAAGGAATAGCAATAAGGCCTGTATAGCAGGAGTGAGGGGAGCAAGAAGGAAGGTAGTATAAGATGAAATCAGCATTATATTTTCAACCTGAGGAAGCTGATTGAAAAAAAAGATAAAAGCATTATATCACTAGTATCCTAACAGTAAATCTTTGTTCTGATTCCAGAACAAAACAAAAATAGGTATCATATAAATGTCAGTTAAATTTAACTTAAATGAAGGGTGATTTTATACGTGGACTTTGTCTTCATACATATGCATTTTTTTCTGGTATTTTGTCTTTTGAACTACTTTTGTCTTATTCATCTTTGTATGCTTCATAATACACAGCAGGTACCCCATATATTTTTAATTATTTAATTCAAATTTAAAACTTTAATTTAAAAACATAATAAATTTAAATTTGTTTGTAAAAGCACAGCTGAATATTTTTATTTTCTAAATAGATATTGACTGAATTTTTCATAAAGGAAATAATGATTTGCAATATTTCAGAAGAAATGGGATTATTTTTATATATCTTAAGATTTTCTTTTTAAAGCAGTCTATTGTTTTAAACATGTAGCTTAGACTCTTAAAAATAACATTTCCTTCCCCTAAGTACCAATGTATTTATTTTTTCCTATTTGGCAAACATTGATCTGAAGCTTCCAAAGTTTACAATAGAACTGAAATCAACCCACACCATTCCCAAGAATTAAAATTAACATGGACTTTACTGTATTCATCGTTTTGGGTCTCTTTTCAGAACTATGTAATATCTTTTTCTAGAGTGTAACAATAGGGTCCAGTCAGGAAATGGAAACCCCTCTAAGACTTACAAACCAAGAGACTTAAATATGAGAAACGGATTCTGTAGATGATGGAGGAACTGAGAAGCTGCACTATCCCAGCGGGTAGTATAGCCACCGAGATAGTAGCAGGGACAATGCAGTGGGGAGCTCTTCCCAGAGTCTGGAGGCCAGGGTGCAACAGGGAACTAGCACCACAACTGGGACTGCCAGTGGGTGCTAGGACCCCGGAGGGAAGGAATGTCCAGTAGGAGCTGCAGCCACGGAGGAGGCACAGTGACTGCTGGAGATATCACCTGAAGCACCCTTTCTCCTACCTTCCAGTCTTTTGCCATTGCCTCCCATTTGGATGAACCTAAGCAGTTAGTAAGGAATCCCGGGAAACACAATTCTTGTGATGCAGAATAGAGCAGGGCAACAGAGAGAAAGGGAGATGAGAACAAATGGCAAATGTGGCACATTGAGTTATTGTGTTCCTTAGCTTTCCATACCCCTAGTATGATTAAGCAATGACTGGGACTGACCCCCAGTATGATTAAGCAATGACTGGGACTGACCCCCAGTATGATTAAGCAATGACTGGGACTGACCCCCAGTATGATTAAGCAATGACTGGGACTGATACTGGATACTAAGGACAAAAGGGAGAAAAAGCCGAAGGAGGCAACTAAAGAGAGGAATGTATGCAAGAAAAGAGAAAGAAGAAAAAGAAATTTCAAAAGAAATCAAAATAGAATTTTGTCCGGAGGCTTACCCTGCTGGTTAAAAACAAAATGAAAAATATACAATGTATACAGATAACTCTAGGGTGCTGTAGGAGACAGCAGATGACATAAAAACAAACCACTCATGGCATTTTTGCCATCCAATTAAAGTAACTTGTCTATCCAAATTTTCATGTCTGACATAGGGCATCCTCAGGGTCTTTGAATCCTCTACATCAAAATTATAAGGGTGGGGGTGGTGAGGAAGAAAATGCTAACATCTGTTTCTATTTCAAACACCAGTCATGTGACATGGGTTAAATGGCCTTATACCTATAGACAAATTATGAAGTAGGGAGCCCTGGAACAGATGGATAAATCTCAATATTTTTATGTTGGAATGAGGGAAGGTAAAGGACACTTTTGCAGCTTGCCACTTGAACCAGATTTTTCAAAATGGAGATCATTCATTTTCTACCAGAGAAATACCACATGTGGTAACAGTCCTAGGATTTAAAACTCAGAGTCAGTTCCTGGATAAATAAAGCAGCAATGTCTTCTCTCATTATAAGAATTTTATTTAGTTTCATTCATTTTTTAAAAAAAATTGCGGCAATCTCTTACATACTCTTTTGTAACCGCCAATTTCTACTTCCTAACAGATTAAAAGATCAATAACTTTTTTTTTGAGACAGAGTCTCTTTCTGTCACCCAGACTGGAGTTCAGTGGCGTGATCTCAGCTCACTGCAACCTCCGCCTCCCGAGTAGCTGACATTACAGGCGTGTGCCTACCTCCCGGCTAATTTTTATATTTTTTATATTTTTTATATTTTTACTAGAGATGGGGTTTCATCATGTTGGTCAGTCTGGTCTCAAACTCCTGACCTCAAATGACCCACCCGCCTTGGCCTCCCAAAGTGCTGGAATTATAGGCGTGAGCCACCATGCCCCACCAATAACTTTTTTATGTGATAAAATACTTTCCTACCTCATGGGGCAGGAGAAGGTAGACATTATAGCCCAGGTAAAGATTATATTTAAATTAATCTATTAATATATTGTGACTCAAATATTCGGTGGATATATGTTGCCAAGGAGACTTTTCCCTTAGTTTTAGAATGGTCTCTTAGATTTAGAATCTGCCTTTAAAAGTAAAGGAACTCTATCTTTTACTAGCTTTTTAATATATGGGATTCTAAGTGCCTATCCACTTGTCTGGATGTCTGCTCACCAGTTCTGTATCAGACTGACAGCAACTTGGGAGCATTGTGCTAATGTAGCCCAGTTCCTGGTACAATGCCTAGAATAAATTAAGGGTTCAATAAATATTTACTGGCTGGGCGTGGTGGCTCACGCCTATAATCCCAGCACTTTGGGAGGCTGAGGCGGGTGGATTGCTTGAGGTCAGGAGTTCGAGACCAGCCTGGCCAACATGGTGAAACCCCACCTCTACTAAAATACAAAATTAGCTGGACGAGGTGGCGGGCATCTGTAATTCCAGCTGCTAGGGAGGCTGAGGTAGGAGAATTGCTTGAACCCAGGAGGCAGAGGTTGCAGTGAGCTGAGATCATGCCACTGCACTTCAGCCGGGGTGACAGAGTGAGACTCTGTCTCAAAAATAAAAAATATAAATAAATAAATAAATATTTACTGAAGGAATGAATAAAGCATTTCACTGATGTCACTGGTAGAAAGTGAATTAACCAACAATTGAGTTCTTATAATGTGCCTGGTATTACACTAGATATTGGGGATGGAAGTAGAAATGAGGAGCAAAAGAAATATAATTAGAGTACAACTGAATTGGACAGAGAAAATATGTGCAGATATAAAGTAAATAAAAAGAATTAGATAAATCATTCAGTTGACTCTAGTAAGTAAAATTTTCTATTACGTTCAACAAGCATTTATAAAATTCCAAGTTCTAATAATGTCTTTTCTTAGTTTTTTACTTAGCCTACATGTTATTCTATTTGTATATATTCATTTAAAAATGTGTGTCCCACCTTCCAAAAACCTGGATTAACTGGTGTGATTTGTTCATTGAGTATAAGTCATGGCACATAAAACTCATTTCTTTTTTTCATAGCATTGCTAAGTTGATTGATTATAGGAAAGCTATAGACATAAGAATTTTTTCTCTAAGGACTTTGGCGCAGAAAATATTCTAGTGAATAAGATGGTTGAAAAATAGGAATGACAATAAATTTTAGGTGGACTTAAATCTAGCTGTAGAATGTGCCCAAACATGTGATTAATGGCTGAGGAGCAAGCTTGGAAAAGTCTCTCATCAACTTCCACAGGAATCTATTCAAGGCACTTTAATATTCAACAATCTTTATAAATGTCCCTAAGAATTTGGAGGAATGTTTGCCACTTTTAAGATGACACAAAGTTTATGAGGATGACAAAAACCTAGTTTTAAAGTGATTTCAATAGACTGAGATATTAAGCTACATTTTTTAAAAAGAAAGTTAGTAGTTCTAAATATAAAATCCCATATATATGTCTAAAAATAACTCACCATCATAGCCAGGGGAAGGCCTGGCTTGATAGAGATTAGGTTAAAAAAAAAAAAGCTACTAATATTCAGCCAGTAGAAGTTTGTTTGTTTGTTTGTTTTAAATGAAAAGGAATGCAGCAGCCACACTAATATTTTTTAAAGAATGCATTAGAAAAGAGGGAAAATAATTTGTTCTCTGTTGTTTTAGAAGCTAACACTAGGACTAACAAATTTATGAGAAAATAAGTGGGTTTTATTGTTGTTATTGTTGAATGTAATAAGACATTACTATAATTATAGCCATCCCAAAGTGGAATGGACTGGCTTGAGTGTAACTACTTGTCCTTCCTGAAAATATTTAAGCAGAAGCTATATGACCATTTATTGGGGAGACTAAAAATTTCAACTGTACCTTGTAGAAATTGGGTTAGCTAACATATTTAACTATTAAGCATCATTAAAGCTTGGAGCAGTGGCTTATGCCTGTAATCCCAGCTACTCAGGAGGCTGAGGTGGGAGAATAGCTTGAGGCCAGGAGTTTGAGGCTGCAGTGAACTGTATGATTGTACCTTTGTACTCCAGCTTGGGTAACAAAGTGAGACCCTGTCTGTTAAGGAAAAAAAAAAGCATCATTAAATAAAGCTTTATCTCACATGTGGTAATGTATTGCTTGGTCAAGCAAACTGATTTAAAGAGAAAGTTTCCAATGCTATAAAACCTTGCGGGACTGAGATCTGTGAGGAGGAGAAAAGCCATTGATTTTTAGGATTGCTTTTTCCCTTGATGTGCTTGTCACTTCTGAAAGTGGAAGCAGCAGCCAAAGGGTGCAATGCTTAGCAGAGTTTTCATTATTTCATGGTAAAAGAAAGACAAAAATTGGAATCCCAGGCCCAAGAAGGAGGAGGAGAAATCCCAGTAAGCACTAGGCTTTTGAATGAGACCTGACAGGCTCTATTCTGGAAGTAAAAGTAGATCAGAAAGAGACCAGACCTCAAAAAGGCTGAAGCCAAACAGTGAATAACCTTAAATCCTGAATAAATTAAACTGATCTTCCCTAGCTTACCTGTTTGTCAGGAGCAGAAGGAGATCACCTGTGGAAAAAGATAATGTCATCCAGAGCCTCAAAATTAATTTTTTGCATAATTTTTAATACACAATATCTGACACAGAATAATAAATAGCCAAACATACAAACCAAGAGAGGTGAGCTGGCATTTGAGGCTGCAATTTTCCATATTCAACTGGTTTTTTTGTTTGTTTGTTTGTTTTGGAGACGGAGTTTTGCTCTTGTTGCCCAGGCTGGAGTGCAATGGCGCGACCTTGGCTCACCGCAACCTCCGCCTCCCAGTTTCAAGCGATTCCCCTGCCTCAGCCTCCCGAGTAGCCGGGATCACAGGCATGTGCCACCACGCCCAGCTAATGTTTTTGTATTTTTAGTAGAGACGAGGTTTCTCCATGTTGGTCAGGATGGTCTCGAACTCCCAATCTCAGGTGATCCGCCCGCCTCGGCCTCCCAAAGTGCTGGGATTACAGGCGTGAGCCACTGCGCCCGGCCTCAACAGTTGATTTTAAAACCAAAATAGGAACTAAAAGTCTGCCCAAAATAAGAGATAAAAACAATAGAAAGAAAATCTCAGATGGAGAAATTTGGCAAAGAACTAAAAATAAATATAAAGAATCAAACGGAAATTCTAGAACTGAAAAAACCTGAAATTAAGAATTCAAAGGATGGATTTAACAACAGAATACATAAATGCAGACAGAATTAATGAGTTGAAATATAGGTCAGATGAAAGAGACAGATTGAAGATGGAGAGAATAAAAGAGGGGAAATACCAAAACAAGCATAAAAAACAAATAAGACTCACTAAAAATGTCTAACCTACATATAAGTGGAGATGCAGATGGAGAAGAGAGAGAAAATGGGCAGATGCAATATTTAAAGAGATAATGGGTGAGGATTTTCCAAAACTGATAAAAAAAATTGAGCCCTGTACAGGTTCAAGAAATATTGAGACTCTTAAACAAGATAAATACAAGACAATCACACCTAAGCACATCAGTGTATAACTGCTGAATCTCAAACACAAAGGGAAAAAAAATTTTTACAAAAGAAGTCAAATAAACTCAGATACCTGCAGTAGAGCAACAATGTGACTGACTACTCACTCACAAGAGAAACAATGAAAGCCATGAAACAGTGAATCGTATCTTCAAAATGATGGTGGGAAAACCTGCCAACCTAGACTTCTACATCCAGTAAAAATATACTTTAAAATAAATATTAAAGGCAGGCACAGTTGCTCACCTCTGTATTCTCAGCACTTTGGGAGGCCAAAGTGTGAGGATCATTTGAGTCCAGGAGTTTAAGATCAGCTTGGGCAACACAGCAAGACCTCATCTCTATAAAAACTAACCAACCAACCAACAACCAACCAAACAAACAAAACACTAAATAAACACTTTTTTTCAAATACAAAAAAACAAGAAACCAGCAGACAACACTAAAGGATGTTCTTGGTATAGAAGAAAAATTACCTAAGATAGAAACTTAAAAATGAGAGAACAAATGTAAGAATGGAAAGGGTAAATATTTCAAAAAATATAAATCAATATTGACTATATGAAATAATCATAATGCCTTGACGGGTTTAAAAATATAACTAAATTGACCAGGTGTGGTGGCTCATGACTGTAATCCCAACACTTTGGGAGGCCGAGACGGGTGGATCACGAGGTCAGGAGTTCAAGACCAGTCTGGCTAAGATGCTGAAACCCCATCTCTACTAAAAACACAAAAATTAGCCAGGCATGGTGGCATGCGCCTGTAATCCCAGCTACTCGGGAGGCTGAGGCAGGAGAATCGCTTGAACCTGGGTGGCAGAGGTTACAGTGAGCCGAGATCGCGCCACTGCACTCCAGCCTGGGCGACAGAGCAAGACTCCATCTCAAAAAATATAATAAAAAATAAAAATATATCTAAATTAAATTACATGATGATAGCAGCACATAGAGCAGTAAGAGGGAAAATGGAGATCAAGTGTTCTAAGTTCCTTCCACTGTTTAGGAAGAAGTAAAAGTGATAATTTGAATTAGACTTCAAAAGGTCAATAGTGACTCATCATCACTAATCATTGGAGAAATTCAAATCAAAACCACAATGAGCTACCCCTTTACATCTGTTAGAAAGACTATTATTAAAACAAAGACAAAAACCAGAAAATAGCAACTGTTGGTGAAGATGTAGAGAAACTGAAATCCTATATAAAATATACATAACATAAAATGTACTGTTTGAAACTTTTTTTTTTGAGATAGAGTCTTGCTCTGTTGCCCAGGCTGGAGTGCAGTGGCACTATCTCAGCTCACTGGACCATCCACCTTCTGGGTTCAAAGCAATTCTCCTGCCTCAGCCTCTCTGGTAGCTGGGATTACAGGTGCCCGCCACCACACCCAGTTGGTTTTTGTATTTTGGTAGAGATGGGGTTTTACTATGTTGGCCAGGCTGGTCTCCTCAAGAAATTCACTTGCCTCCGCCTCCCAAAGTGCTGGGATTACAGTCGTGAGTCACCACGCCCAGCCTGAACCATTTTTAAATGTACAACTCAGTGACATCAAGCACATTTACATTATTGTGCAACCATCACCATCACCTGTCTCTGGGATTTTTCATTTTTTCAATTTGAAACCCTGTACCAGTTAAACCGTAACTCTCCATCCCCACTCCCCGCTATCCTCTGTCAACCACCATTCTTCATTCTGTGTCGGTGAATTTGAATTGGAAATATAAAATGGTGTAGCTAATATGTAAAACAGTATGGAGGCTTCTAAAAAAATTAAACATAGAATTACCATATGATTCAACAATTCCACTTCTGGGTATATACCCTCAAGAATTAAAAACAGAAGTCTCAAAAAGTTATTTATACACCCATGTTCATTGCGGCATTATTGACATAAACCAAAAGGTGGAAGCCACCTAAATTTTCATTAACAGATAAATGGATCAGCAAAATGTCTATACATACAATGGAATATTATTCAGCCACAAGAAATAATATTCTGATCTATGCTACAACATGGATAAACCTTGAAGATATTATGTTAAATGAAATAAACCAGTCACAAAAGAGTATATGCTGTGTGCTTCCACTTAATATGAGGCACCTGGAGTAGTCAAATTCATGCAGACAGAACGAACAATGGTGGTTTTCAGGGGATAGGGGACTGGGGATAGAGAATTATGGTTTAACTGGTACAGTTTCAGATTAAGAAGATGAAAAATTCCGGAGGTAGAGAGTGATGATGGTTGCACAATAATGTGAATATGCTTGATGTTACTGAACTATTCATTTAAAAATGATCCAAAATGGCAAATTTTGTTATGTATATTTTACAACTTTTTTTTTTAGGAAAGTGAACAATGCACGTTGGAATCTATAGTGCAACTGCTAGAAGAATAGTAAAAGAATATATAACAAGCAAGCTATTCGAGGTGAAAAATCAAATAGAAAATGATTCCTTTTTACCTGTCTATGTACAATGCAATAAAAAGTTATTAATAAAAATGTATTCAGGTGAAAAATATACTGAAAATGTTCACTAAAATAATAGTAAAAATTGTGTGTTAGGGCATTAAGAGTGTATGAGATTTGTTGGCCTCAGTTGTCTAAATTCTCTATACTATGGCTATTGGCTCATAATATACTGCTTTGTCATAAAACCACCTCTATCATGTAAAAAATCTTGCTTAAAAAAGTGATTTACTGGCCGGGCGCGGTGGCTCACGCCTGTAATCCCAGCACTTTGGGAGGCCGAGACGGGCGGATCACGTGGTCAGGAGATCGAGACCATCCTGGCTAACACGGTGAAACCCCGTCTCTACTAAAAATACAAAAATTAGCCGGGCATGGTGGCGCGCGCCTGTAGTCCCAGCTACACGGGAGGCTGAGGCAGGAGAATGGCGCTTGCAGTGAGCCGAGATTGCGCCACTGCACTCCAGCCTGGGCGACAGAGCGAAACTCCGTCTCAAAAAAAAAAAAAAAAAAAAAAAAAAAAAGTGATTTACTGTTTCAAGTGGATATCAGATCTGAGCTGTTTGTGAGACAATTATTAAAAGAACCACTAATAGAAGTCACAGTTTCTATCAACTTAGAAATCTTTCAAAACAGAATATCTCTGGTTTTCCTAACCATGGTGTGGCACATGCTTCGCTATAGCAAGTTGTACTTAGGCATTTTAGATAAAAAGTAGGTAACTCATCTGGATAATTTACTCATAATATGTTCACTTTCAGCAAAAGCTTAACCAATATCTGATCAGTACTTGGATGAAAATTAAGTCCATGCATCAACACATTAGCTACAAAAGGACAAGTTCTTGTTGTGTCTAATATAAATTCTCTGTTAGTTTTCAGTTGCAGCACACAAAAAAAGTTCAGTTTGTTCTAGAACAAATTCTTCTCTGTAAAAAGGAAACTGAAAATGAGCAGGGCACTGTGGCTCATGCCTGTAATCCAGCACTTTGGGAGGCCAAGGCAGGCGAATTACTTGAGGTCAGGAGTTTGAGACCAGCCTGGGGCCAACATGATGAAATCTCGTCTCTACCGAAAATACAAAAATTAGTGCTCGCTTCGGCAGCACATATACTAAAATTGGAACGATACAGAGAAGATTAGCATGGCCCCTGTGCAAGGATGACATGCAAATTCGTGAAGCATTCCATATTTTTCAAATGGAAGAACATTCCATGCTCATGGGTAGGAAGAATCAATATCGTGAAAATGGCCATACTGCCCAAGGTAATTTACAGATTCAATGCCATCCCCATCAAGCTACCAATGACTTTCTTCACAGAATTGGAAAAAACTACTTTAAAGTTCACATGGAACCAAAAAAGAGCCCGCATCGCCAAGTCAATCCTAAGCCAAAAGAACAAAGCTGGAGGCATCACACTACCTGACTTCAAACTATACTACAATGCTACAGTAACCAAAACAGCATGGTACTGGTACCAAAACAGAGATATAGATCAATGGAACAGAACAGAGCCCTCAGAAATAACGCCACATACCTACAACTATCTGACCTTTGACAAACCTGAGAAAAACAAGCAATGGGGAAAGGATTCCCTATTTAATAAATGGTGCTGGGAAAACTGGCTAGCCATATGTAGAAAGCTGAAACTGGATCCCTTCCTTACACCTTATACAAAACTCAATTCAAGATGGATTAAAGACTTAAACGTTAGACCTAAAACCATAAAAACCCTAGAAGAAAACCTAGGCAATACCATTCAGGACATAGGCATGGGCAAGGACTTCATGTCTAAAACACCAAAAGCAATGGCAACAAAAGCCAAAATTGACAAATGGGATCTAATTCAACTAAAGAGCTTCTGCACAGCAAAAGAAACTACCATCAGAGTGAACAGGCAACCTACAGAATGGGAGAAAATTTTTGCAATCTACTCATCTGACAAAGGGCTAATATCCAGAATCTACAATGAACTCAAACAAATTTACAAGAAAAAAACAAACAACCCCATCAAAAAGTGGGCGAAGGACATGAACAGACACTTTTCAAGAGAAGACATTTATGCAGCCAAAAAACACATGAAAAAATGCACATTATCACTGGCCATCAGAGAAACGCAAATCAAAACCACAATGAGATACCATCTCACACCAGTTAGAATGGCAATCATTAAAAAGTCAGGAAACAACAGGTGCTGGAGAGGATGTGGAGAAATAGGAACACTTCTACACTGTTGGTGGGACTGTAAACTAGTTCAACCATTGTGGAAGTCAGTGTGGCGATTCCTCAGGGATCTAGAACTAGAAATACCATTTGACCCAGCCATCCCATTACTGGGTATATACCCAAAGGACTATAAATCATGCTGCTATAAAGACACATGCACATGTATGTTTATTGTGGCATTATTCACAATAGCAAAGACTTGGAACCAACCCAAATGTCCAACAATGATAGACTGGATTAAGAAAATGTGGCACATATACACCATGGAATGCTATGCAGCCATAAAAAATGATGAGTTCATGTCCTTTGTAGGGACGTGGATGAAATTGGAAATCATCATTCTCAGTAAACTATCGCAAGATCAGAAAACCAAACACCGCATATTCTCACTCATAGGTGGGAATTGAACAATGAGATCACATGGACACAGGAAGGGGAACATCACACTCTGGGGACTATTGTGGGGTGGGGGGAGGGGGGAGGGATAGCATTGGGAGATATACCTAATGCTAGATGACGAGTTAGTGGGTGCAGCACACCAGCATGGCACATGTATACATATGTAACTAACCTGCACAATGTGCACATGTACCCTAAAACTTAAAGTATAATAATAAAAAAAAAAAAAGAAAATACAAAAATTAGCCTGGCGTGGTAGTGTGTGCCTGTAATTCCAGCTACTCAGGAGGCTGAGACATGAGAATCGCTTGAACCCGGGAGGCAGAGGTTGCAGTGAAACGAGATCTCATCACTGCACTCCAGCCTGGGTGACCCAGTGAGGCTCTGTCTCAAAAAAAAAAAAAAGACTGAAAGTGACAATGAGCCATTATAGATTATTTAAAGTGTAGCATTTTATGGACTTTTTTTGTCTCTTCACTCTTTTAAAAAAAATTTTTCACCTGTAATCCCAGCACTTTGGGAGGCTGAGGCGGGTGGATCACAAGATCAGAAGTTCGAGACCAGGCTGGACAACATGGAGAAACCTCGTCTCTACTAAAAATACAAAAAATTAGCCCGGCGTGGTGGCGGGTGCCTATAATCCCAGTTACTCGGGAGGATGAGGCAGGAGAATTGCTTAAACCTGGGAGGCGGAGGTTGCAGTGAGCCGAGACCATGCCACCACACTCCAGCCTGGGTAACAGAGCAAGACTCTGTCTCAAAAAAAAAAAAAATTATTTTTAATTTGTGGGCACATAGATGTATATATTTGTGGGGTACATGAGATGTTTTGATATAGGCATGCAATGTGAAATAATCACATCATGGAGAACAGGGGTTCCATCCACTCAAGCATTTATCCTTTGTGTTACAAACAATCCGATTACACTCTTTCAGTTATTTTCAAATATATGGTTAAATTATTATTAACTATGGTCACCCTGTTGAACAATCAAATAGTATGTCTTATTCATTCTATTTTTTTTTGTATCCATTTCTCTCCTCAATCTAATTCCTTTCTCTTCTAATAATATGTTTTGATTTCACTTGAAAAGACAAAGTCTTCTTTTACTTGCCCAATCCAACAAAAGGATTGCTTGTAACACAAAGCTGTGTAAATTATTGGAGGAAAATGATAACTACCTAACAAATGATCTTGGGACAATTCGGTAATTCATGTATTTTTGAAAACTACTAGATCTCTACAGCAAATCTTTCACAAAAATCAGTTTCAGATGGGATTAAAGATTTCTATATGAAAGATAAAATCCTTTTTTTTTTTTTTTTTTGAGAGAGAGTCTTGCTCTGTGGTCCAGGCTGGAGTGCAATGGCGTGATCTCGGCTCACTGCAAACTTTGCCTGCCTCAGCCCCATGAGTAGCTGGGATTACAGGCGCATGCCACCACGCCTGGCTAATTTTTGTATTTTTAGTAGAGACAGGGTTTCACCATGTTGGTCAGGCTGGTCTCGAACTCCTGACCTCATGATCCGTCTGCCTTGGGCTCCCAAAGTGCTGGGATTACAGGCGTGAGCCACTGCACGCAGCTGAAAGGTAAAATCTTAAAACATTTAGAAGAAAATATAGAAGAAAATCTTTATGACCTTGAAAGGAGCAGGTTTTCTTAAACAAGACATAAACACCATAAATCACAAAGAAAAATATTGATAAATTTGACTATAAAAATTAAAGGCAGAGTGCAATGGCTCACGTCTGTAATCTCAGCACTTTGGGAAGCTGAGGTGGGCAGATTGCTTGAGCTCAAGAGTTGGAGACCAGTGTGGGCAACATGGCAAAAACCCAACTCTACAAAAAATACAAAAATTAGCTGGGCGTGGTGGCATGTGCTTGTAGTCCCAGCTACTCGGGAGGCTAAAGTGGGGAGAATGGCTTAAGCCCAGGAAGCAGAGGTTGCAGTGAGCCGAGATCATGCCACTGCACTCCAGCCTAGTCAACAGAGCCAGACCCTGCCTTGGCAAAAAGAAAAAAAAAAAGAAAAAGAAAATTAAAAACATCTATATGACAAAAGACAGCATAAACAAGTTAAAATACAAATGACAACCTCAGAGAAGATATATGCAACATATGTGACTAATAAAAAATTAGTACTCAGAATGTTTCAAAACAAACCACCCAATAGAAAATCAGGCAAAATACGTGAGCAGCCAACTCATAAAAAAGGAAATTAAATGGTCAGTAAGAAAGATGATCAACCTCACTAGTATAGTCATGTGCTCCATAACGATGTTTTGGTCAATGATAGACCACATACATGACGGTGGTCTCATAAGATTATAATGGAGCTGAAAAATCCCCATTGCCTAGTGACATTGTAGTTATCCTGACATAGCCATGGAAATGTCATAGCACAATGCATTACTCACGTGGGTGTGGTGATGCTGGTGGGAACACACCTACTGTGCTGCCAGTCCTATAAAAGTATAGTAAATGCAATGATGTGCAGTACATACTACTTGATAATGATAATAAATGACCATATTACTGTTATACGTATTTATAATGCTTTGGATCACTACTTTACAGTGTACTTCTTCTACTTATTAAAATAAAAAGTTAACTGTAAAACAGCCTCAGGCTGGTCCTTCAGGAGGTATTCCAGAAGAAGGCATTGTTATCATAGGAGATAACAGCTCCATGCATGTTGTTACTCCTAAAGACCTTCCAGGAGACAAGATATGAAGGTGGAAGGCAGAGATACTGAGGATCCTGACTCTGTGTAGGCCTGGGCTAATGTGTAAGTTTGTGTCTTAGTTTTTCACCAAAAAAGCTTAAAAAAATTAAAGTTAGAGAAAAGTTTATAGAATAAGGATATACGGAAAGAAAATGCTTTTGGACAGATGTACAACATGTTTGTGTTTTAAGCTAAGTGTTATTGTAAAGAGTCAAAAATTTAAAAAATTTAAACATTTAAAAAGTAACAGAGTTACAGCAAGCCAAGGTTAATTTATTATTAAAGAAAAAAAATTTTAAATAAACTTAGAGTAGCCTAAGTGTCCAGTGTTGATAAAGTTTACAGTGCTGTACAGTAATGTCCTAGGCCTTCACATTCACTCACCACTCACTCCCTGACTCACACAGAACAACTTCCAGTCCTGCAAGCTCCATTCACGGTAAGTGCCTTATACAGGTGTACCATTTTTTATATTTTATACTGTACTTTTACGGTACCTTTTCTGTGTTTAGATATGTTTAGATACATAAATACTTACTATTGTGTCACAGTTGCTCACAGTATTCAGTACAGTAGCATGCTATACAGGTTTGTAGCCTACGAGCACAAGGCTATACCATGTAACCTAGGTGTGTAGTAGGCTATAACATCTGTTTGTGTAAGTACATTCTATGATGTTCACACAACTACAAAATTGCCTAAAAATGAGTTTCTCAAAATGTATCCCCATTGTTAATTAATACATGACTGTAATTAGGGAAATGGAAATTAAAGCAATAACAAATGAACACTCTCCAAGTTGGATTGGCCAAGGAAACTTTCACTTAATACTGTTTTTGATATCTACTCTGAAGTCCAAAATTCTGTTGTTGTTTCTTTCCCTTTATCTTTTTTTTTTTTTTTTTTTTGAGGCCGAGTCTCGCTCTATGGCCCAGGCTGGAGTGCAATGGTAAGATCTCGGCTCACTGCAACCTCCGCCTCCCGGGTTCAAGTGATTCTCATGCCTCAGCCTCCCAAGTAGCTGGGATTACAGGTGCTCACTACCATGCCTGGCTAATTTTTGTATTTTTAGTAGAGACAGGACTTTACCATGTTGTCCAGGCTAGTCTCGAACTCCTGACCTCAAGTGATCTGCCTGCTTCGGCCTCCCAAAGTGCTGGGATTACAGGCATGAGCCACCATGCTCGGCCCCCTTTATCTTTTATATTATATGTGTGGATTTATGACTTTAACGTTCATACATGTATGTACATATTTTCTCTCATTCTAGTTTATTTGGGAAGAAGCAGCTGTAAAAGTACCTTTAATCAGCTATTTTAACTAATTAATTAATTAAACTAATTTAGCAAATTAATCTATTCATGATTAATTTTTACCCTTAAATAAAACTCATTTTAAATGTAAAATTTATCTTTAACATAACCACAATACACCTATCACTTATTAAAATATTTAATAATTTCTCAATATCACCAGTATCATAATATCACAGTTAGTATCCAAAATTTCCAATCATCTCATACATTTATAAGAAAATTTTAGTAGTTGATCCAAAGCAGAATCTAAATAAGGTTTACATATTGGGAGTGGTTGGATATCTTTTAAGTCTGTTTGAAGCTATTGTTTTCCCCTCCTCTCTCATTTTTCTTGTGCTAGTTTGTAGTGTTTTTATTGTTGTTTTTGAAAAAACAGAGCTATTTGTCTTTTAGAATTCTCCACAATGTGGATTTCACAGAATGAATGCATCCATGTGATATAGGTGAGATTTCCTCCGTCCTCTGTATTTTCTATAAAATGGTAGTTGGATCTAGAAGATTGATCAGATTTGGGTTCAGTTTCTTTTGGCTAGACATCACAGTTGGTTTGTGCTCTTCCATCAGGAGGCACACAATGTCTGTTTCTCTCTCTTTTGTGATGTTAGCAGCAGTTGATGAGAATTAAACCCATTATTTTATTACAAATTGAAAAATGGTTATATTTTCTCAGTTCTTCTTTTATTATCTGGAATACTATAAAGAGAAACTTCTTTCACTTACTATTTGAATAACCAACAGTAATAATTTATATTTTAAAAAGCAGGATAAGCATATTTTATGTGTTTTTCAATCCATTGCAGTAAATATCCTTAACTATAATCAAGCATTTCCATCTTATCAAGCATTTCCATCTTTGCCACTGGGAACCACTTCAAGTTGGGTTCTGTGTTCTTTTGACATAGCTCTAGCTGTTCCCCAAAGACAAGATTGTCTAGCTTTGTCTTGTATATTCCCAATCCCTTTTTCTTAAAATCAGCCCTTTTTCAGAGAGTTCTTGTTTCTTTCAGTAAAAAATAGTATTTGGAGACCACAGGTAGGATACTAGCAATGCTTATTGTTACCAAGTCGGTCAATATATTTAGACCTATTCAGGAGACAGTGCTAAGTAGCTATTTTTAATGAAATATTTTATATACACCAAAACACATGTGTAATACAGATAGAGTTTAATCTTTGAGTATTCCCATACCCAGGTAATAGCCCTTTTCAGTTTTGCTTATCATTCCCTTACTTATTATGTATGCTTAAACAATGTGTTATTTTTCATTTTTTGAACTTTGTATAAATGGAATCATACTACAGATATACTCTGTGACTTTTTCGTTTGTTTATTGTGTGTTTTTTGTTAATATACTTGCTCAAGTTAGAGCACTCATCCCACAGTATAAATATATCATAATTTATTTATCTATTCTCCCAAAGATACAAATTTGGGTCATTTCCAGTTTCTTGTTCCAGTGAACAAAACAATTATGAATTTTTTGTATACGGTTCTCTTCGTGCACATGTGCACAAGTTTCTTAGTTGCTATAACTTAGAGGTGGAATTTCTGGGGTCTAGGGTCAGTCTAGCTTTTGTCCCTTCAATGACACAGAAACACCTTTGTCAAGGTTACCAAAGGCCTCTATAGTGCCAGATGAGCAATGTTCTGTTCTCCTTATGCTTGGTTCCTCAACAGTATTCAATGCAGTCTTTCCCTCCTTGGTTCACATTCCACTACAGTGGTTCTCAGGCACCACACCCCTGACATAGCTCCCATTCTAAAGGCAGCTCCTCCTCACTGTATTTTACCAGCTCTCTTAATCCTCTCTATCCTACCTCTTAAAATCAGAGCTCCTTGAAAGTACTTAGTGAGTGCTTTCTTTTCCCAACTTTATCCACACTTTCTCTAGGAGAACGCATCATTACCACGACTTCAAATACCATTTGTTTGTTTCAGATCCTAATTCTATTGACCCTCAGCTTTCTTCTCTGAACTCTGTTTGTGTAATTAACTGCTCAGATGACTCAGAGTCATCTCAAACTTAACATGTTTAAAATGGAATTTTAAATTTTTCATCATACATCCAGTGCTAACTCTAGTCTCCTAATAAACAGCACTATCATACTCTCAGCTACTGAAGCCAGTAGCCTGGCACTAACTCTTGATGCCTTCCTTTCCTTCACCACTACCCAGTCAATTCCTCACTGTGTCCTGTTGGCTTTACCTCTAAAATATATCCTGAATCTGAATGTCTCTCCACTTCGATTACCACCAACATAGCTCGAGCTATTAACTTTCACCTGAGCTTTGGCAATGATACCGTAACAGATCCTTCCACTTTTATTTTTGTTATCCTTAAATCCAATCTTTCTATAGTGACTAAAATGAAGTTTCCATTTATCAATCAAGCTCTCCCTTCCTTAAAGATTTCTGGCTGGGCGCAGTGGCTCACGCCTGTAATCCTAGCACTTTGGGAGGCCAAGGCAGGTAGATCACCTGAGGTGAGGAGTTCGAGACCAGCGTGGCCAACATGGAGAAACCCTGCCTCTACTAAAAACAAAAAAATTAGCCAGGCATGGTGGCGGGCACCTGTAATCCAGCTACTGGGAAGGCTGAGGCAGTAGAATTGCCTGAACCCAGGGGATGGAGGTTGCATTGAGCCGAGATCGCACCACTTCACTCCAGCCTCAGCGAAAGAAGGAGACTCCGTCTCAAAATAAATAAATAAATAAAAATTTTAAAAAATAAAAATAAAAATAAAAAAAGACTTCCAAAAGTTTCCCAGACTCTTATCGATGCTTTTGCAAAAGTCCATTCGTTGGTGAAGAAATGAATTTAGTGGATATTGATTAGTATTTTAAAATGAATAGAAAATATCATAGGCATTACACATTGTAAGGGTAGGATTTTCTAAGTAAACATTTTGTTTTATTTGAGTAGTGGGTGAGACATAAAATATACTTCCTACTATGAGCCATGGTCAAACATGTTTGAGAAAAGCTGCTCTACGTGATCTGTCCCCATCTGCCTCTCTAACCTCACTACGTGCCACCTTTCCCAGGGTCTGACGCCGTGGCTGTACAGGGCTACTGTCAGTCCTTCCATAATATGGCAAGCCCTTTGCCTTGCAGGGCCTTTGTACTTGCACTGCCTCTGCCTACAATGCTCCTCCTGCCAGCGTTCCCATGGATGGCCTCTTTTCATCTTTCAGGTCTTAATTAAAAGTCCCCAACCCAGAGAGAACTTCTCGGACCACCCTATTTATTTAGTTCCCCTGAGTTATTTTCTGTCTCAGCAACTTTTGTATTCCCTTCAAAACAGTAATCACATTTGTAAAAATATATTTGAAAAAGTTGTTTACAGTCTGCCTCCTCCATTAGAACATAAACCCCATTGGAGCAGAAGCCTTGTCAGTCTTTTCGCTACATTTACCCAGCATTTTGAAAACTTAATCCCATTTTGGTTACTAAAACGTCACACTTGTAAGTAAGACCCACATCACATTCAGAGATGTGCCAGAGTCAATAATTGATTATTATCTGTGAAATATTCATTGGACTTGGCAGGAGATGTGTTTTGTGGTAATAGAGGTGAATTTCCTTAATAAATTCCTGTCTGGTTCAATTTACCTTGTTACGTTGCTTCCTTAATTGGAGGATGTTTGATGGTGGCTTCCGAAATGCCGTCAATGCCTTGTTTAAAATTCCATCTAAGTTCTTAGCCTGACCGCACAGCGCTGATCAAAAGTTTAGTCTTGAGGAAATGAAGCAATTCCTTTTTCTTGGCTTAGAGTCCACCTGAACAGCCACCAAGGGTCTCTTTGTTCGGTTGGGTGGGTCCAGCTTTATGAATGAATAGCCCCTTCACTAACAAACAATAGCAGAGATCTGGGCCACTAACTAGTTGAGCAATGTTAATCTCCTTTCAGGTAATTATTTCCAGAAGTGTAGCAACTATTAGAATGTTTAGATTCCTACTGTTTGATAGAAATTTAACAAACAAATTTAAAATGTTTTATAAATCTTTTAAAGGTTTTACTTTCTGATGCAAACTTTTTAATGTCAAAAAAGCATGGTTTCATATTGAAATTCTGAAAGTTATAAACATTTTAATGAAATTATTATGAACTTATAGTTTAGAATCTAAGAGCCTGATTTTATTCATAAGTTTAATTCACTTTCAAGCCTTAAATCAAACATGGGAGACTGGTTCATTGATCAAATGTGTAGTTAACTGTTTTAATGCCTTTACCTCTCCAACTGAAGTAATGCATAAAACTTACAAGGAGGGACTGCTGTGACCTCAAATGTTTACTTCAAGAAGTTAAACATCAGACTCTGAGCAGTGGTTGATTAACAGTCTATTTCTAATAGCGTACTGACAAAGGCAACCCTATTCCATGTCTTCTTAAAAACCACCAGCTAGTTACTGTAATTGTAAGCTATCCTGTAACTTCATGGCAAAAAATAAAAAATAAAAAAATAAGCATGCCTTGCCCCAATGTCCTTAGAAACCACGGAGTCCTTAAAAACCAAAAATAAACTTTAGAATGAGAAAAATAACTTTTAAACTTTATCTTTTTTCCAAAACTACAGTTGCGAGTTAAGTAAACTGAGACTCCTCCTCACACCTTCTTGTGAACTGAAACATTTCATACTGAGTAAGAGCGGACTGGAAATGAACCATGATGAATTTAGCCTATATCTGAAAAATACCACAGCCCTTCTCCACTGTTTGACCATATTTACTGTCTTGTTAGAAGGAACTTCCAAGGGGCATTGATCCTCCCTATTTGTCTTAGACTCTGCACCTTTGTTTATAGGGTACTGCTGTGTATGGGAGGACTTCGGTTGAATTCTGAATGCTGAAAAGATAAGTGATAGGTTTATCTAAAATATGCCATTTGAAGATACTGTTCATGTCTTATAGTGTCTTGAATTCATCCCAGCCCATTTTACGGCAAGATTTATAAGCAGACTGATTTAATGTTTAAAACCCCTAAGACCTCAGATTAAAAAAAGAAGAACAAACCCCCGCAACAGCTTGTCATTTTTAACTTAATCTTGCTATCATTTAGATACCAAACTCTTGTGTGGGTTGGGACTTTTCATTCCTCTGCTGTAACTGTCAGTTTTCAATTAAAGGCCTGAACTGCTTTGGGTTCCTCAGTTCATCTTCAATTTCTCTAGTGATAAGCAAAACACATTTGTTGAGCTAACCTGGCTTTCAACACTGACGTAGGACAGCCTTCACTCTCTCATGAGTTATGCAGTGTTTCATATTATATCACAGTGACATTAGGCAGAAGTAGCCTCCAAGAATAGATTTCCTAATTGGTAATATTTCAGTTTGGCATTTCCATTTGCATTATCTAATTACAAAATTTAATTTTTAAAATTATATAAGCAAATAAAATATAAGTGAAAAGAAAGAAAAGTGTTTCTATGAGAACTAAGTTGAATGCCTTGGAACCACTTGATTGATTAAATCACTTAAACTTTTTTAGTTTTCAAATTAGATGTGGGTGACACAATATTAAAAATAACTGATATAAAAAAGTCTCAGAACAAACGCCTCAAGCATAATGGAGTAGCCACCTCCTGGCTACAAGAGTTAGTGCTATAGGCATCAGGTAGCTCAGATAGGTGGAGGTTGTTAAGAAAGTACATTTTAGTGTTGACTTAAGCCGTTTTTATGATATTCCTATTGAAAAGTATATCATAGGCCGGGTGCAGTGTCTCATGCCTGTAATCTCAGCACTTTGGGAGGCCCAGGAGGGCGGATCACCTGAAGTCAGGAGTTCGAGACCAGCCTGGCCAACTTGGTGAAACCCCGTCTCTACTAAAAATACAAGAATTAGCCAGGTATGGTGGCGCGCACCTGTAGTTCCAGCTACTCAGGAGGCTGAGGCACAAGAATCGCTTGAGCCTGAGAGGTGGAGGTTGCAGTGAGCCGATATTGTGCCACTGCACTCCAGACAGTGCGACAGAGCGAGACTCCGTCTCAAACAAAAAAAAAAGTATAAAGTGTATCATGAATGTGAAAAAGTGTGCCAAAGAAATGCAGTTGAACAATGAAGAGAGATTGATAAATAATATAATAATAAAAGCAGCAACAAAACATTCCAAAGAAAATGCCTTTTCATTTATGATTATAAACAACTCAATTTGCATTTTTAGTTACAAGCAAGAGAAACTGACTCTGGATATTTAAGCAGTTTATTAACCTAAGTTTATTTAAAAGATATTGGGTTAAAGCAGGTGAATTTTAGGGTATGTAAACTACTTCTCAATAAAGCTGTTAAAGAAAAAAAGGATACTGGGTAGCTAACAGAAGAGTGGGAGGACTGGCTTAAGGCTACGTTTCCAGGAATAACACTGAAGACCATGGTACAGAACTGGCTGATGAGGAACCTGCTGCTGCTGCTTCTGTCCTTCCCACTACTGAGGGGCACACCATTGGCCCTGCTGCCTAGGACTGACTTTACAGTGCCCCGTACTGCGGCCCAGCACCAAAGCTATCTCCTGGGTGAGAACCTTTCTGAAATAAAATTTCACATGCTTATGTTCTAGCTACAAAGGACCCCAGGGAACTGAGTTTTCTGGGTTTGTATCTTGGGAAGCAGAATTCCTAAGGCCAGAGATTTCCTAAAAATAGCAAGAATGATCAAAAGATGCTGGACAGCCTAAAAACATAAGAAATATCTATATCAACAGCTTACAATTTTCAGTGGATGTATGTATGTTCAGTCAAATTCTTCTAATCCAGGACTTATGATACCAGAGCTCTAGAATTCCACATCCAGTGTGTGGCTTATCGAATCTCTGATTTCTCCAAAAGAATACAAGAAAATCTGTGGTGACTGTATATATAGTCAGCCCTCCGTATCTGCAAAGGATTCAACCAACCAGATGGAAACCTGCCGATAGAGTATGGAGTATGCCAGGACTGTACTACACAATTTTATGTAAGGGGCTTGAGCATCCACAGTTTTTGGTACCTGCAGGAGTCCTAGAGCAAATCCCCCCACAGATATGGAGGGCCGACTGTGTTTCTCCTAGTGGTTAAGGGTATGATCTCTGGAAGCAGATCTTCCGGATTCAAGTCCCAGTTTTGCTCCTTATTATCTGTGTAACCTTGGGCATATTTACGTAATCTGTTTCTTGAACTGTAAACTGGAGATAATAATGGTAACCTGCATTGCATGTTTTAAATGAGTCAATGTATGCAGAGCTTTTAAAACAGTGCTTGACTGAATCAGAGTGAGCTATTATCATGGGTAATGAATAAGTACTACAACCAAATGGGAACATACTGAACCTATGAACTATAGAATATGTGCAAAGCACATAGATGGAGGCTCAGAGATGAACGAGATGTGACCCTTGCACTCAATGCATTGGAAAGAAAATGTGGAAGATAAACACATAAACTGTAATACAGGACAGATAGTGATGGTGATAAGTGTACAATATTGGTACACACAAAATATTATGTAACTATTAAGGATGGTGAGATTCTTTTCTGCAAGAACCTTGTGAGACATTTTGGAGTCTGTCAGGTTTTAACTATGTCTTAAATAAATAGTGCAAATTTGATGGGCAGATATTGCAGGGAGGAAGGGAAAGACGGCATTCCAAACAGGAATAGAGCAGTTTGAAAAAAGCCCAGAGGTAAGAAATGATATGAAAGGAATCAGGTGTTTGCATGAGATAAGGAAAGGTTAGTAGGATACAAGGCTAGAAAAGGCAGCATGGACCAGATTGTGGAGTGCTTTAAATGCTACTTGGGGGAGAGGCACCTGATGATGAATGTAATGAAATCTTAATTGTTTTGTGCCTGGGGAGCTTCAACCCATCCCAAATCATTCTATCCCAGACTGTTCCATTTTTTTCTAGTCCATAGTTACCCTCCATTTCTAAGCTCTTTGGAAAAATATCTTTTCAAGTTGGCAAGATGAAATAAATTACATTTATAAGACAAATTGGAACCTACTTTGAACTGACCTTGACTGGAGTTTTAAAATTCCCCATAACTATATTCTTCCCTGAGCTGCCTAAAGGTGATTGTTATTATCTCAACAGGCAAAAGCCAGTTAAAACTATTCAGTGATTCAAGTTTTTCAGCATTTATGAGGCAAAGATATGACCACTTTTCTCACTCACCTCTCTACAAGCACATTTTTTCCCTCTTACTCACCCTAAGATCAAAGAGAATGGTATGGAGAAATAAAGTTTAAGTCGTGCAGTTCTTTATCTAAAATGAAGATAGTTTCCCCTTTCCTTCGTGTTTGGTATGTTCCCAGCAGGAACGAATCCACAGAAAAAGATGGGTGAGTGGCTCCCTTGAACAGCACTTGTTCATTTATGTTCCCTTGGGCCTTAAGTCCCTGGGCCAGCCTAGGTCTGGCCAGAGTCCCTGGTCAGTCCAAAGCTCCAGCATCTCTCATCCAGCAGTAATTCCTTCATGTGGCGAGCCTTCCAAACCTGCAACCAATGAATTGACCTATGAAACATGTTACCAGCAAAACACATTTATGGCTTAGACTTTTAAAACATAAAATGAATCTAAGTTAAAGAGTACTCCAAAAGAAACAGGATTTGGAATTCTTAGTGATAGAGAACATACTCTTGTTAAAAACTCAGTGTGACTGTGCATGAAAGTCCATGCTCTGTAAATTTGGGTCTATGACTCAAAACCAAATAGGGGTCAGGCACAATGGCTCACACCTGTAATCCCAGAACTTTGGGAGGCTGAGGTGGGCAGATCGCTTAAGGCCAAGAGTTCGAGACCAGTCTGGCCAACATGGTGAAACCCCTTCTCTACTAAAAATACAAAAATTAGCCAGGTGTTGTGGCGTGAGCCTGTAATCCCAGCTACTTGGGAGTCTGAGGCATTAGAATTGCTTGAACCCAGAAGGTGGAGGTTTCAGTGAGCCGAGATTGCACCACTGCCCTCCAGCCTAGACAACAGTGAGACTCTTTCTCAAAAAAACAAAACAAAACAAAAAAACCCACCAAAATGGGAAACTCACTTGTTCTACCAAATACCTGATTGCTTTACTAGTACATACAACACAAACTATTAGTTTTTGTTTGTTTGTTTGTTTGTTTGTTTGAGATGGAGTCTTGGTCTGTCTCCCAGGCTGGATTGTAGTAGTGCAATCTCGGCTCACTGCAACATCTGCGTCCTGAGTTCAAGCGATTCTCCTGCCTCAGCCACCTGAGTAGCTGGGATTATGGGAGCTGGCCACCATGCCCAGCTAATTTTTTATAGATAATTTTATAATATTTTAAAAATAAATATAATAATTTTTATAGATAATTTTTTGTATTTTTAATAGAGATGGGGTTTGAACATGTTGGCCAAACTGGTCTCAAACTCCTGACCTCAAGTGATCCACCTGCCTTGTCCTCCCAAAGTGCTGGGATTACAGACGTGAGCCACCGTGCCTGGCCAAAAACTTTTTAAAAAATAACTGGCCAGGCGTGGTGTCTCATGCCTGTAATCCCAACTACGTGGGAGTCTGAGGCATGAGAATTGCTTGAACCCAGAAGGCGGAGGTTGCAGTGAGCTGAGACTGCACCACTGCCCTCCAGCCTGGACAACAGAGTGAGACTCTTTCTTAAACAAAAGAACAAAACAACAAAAACACCAAAATGGGAAACTCACTTGTTCTACCAAATACCTGATTGCTTCATTACAACATAAACTATTAGTTTTTGTTTTGTTTTGTTTTTTGGGTCGGAGTCTTTCTCTGTCACCCAGGCTGGAGGGCAGTGGCGCAATCTTGGCTCACTGTAACATCTGCCTCTCGGGTTCAAGCGATTCTCCTGCCTCAGCCTCCTGAGTAGCTGGGATTACAGGCGTGCACCACCACGCCTGGCTAATTTTTGTATTTTTTAATTAAAAAAAAATAATAACTGTCTGGGCACAGTGGCTGAGACCTGTAATCCCAGCACTTTAGAAGGACAAGATGGGCGGATCCTCGAGGTCAGGAGTTCGAGGCCAGCCTGGCCAACATGGTCAAACCCCGTCTCTACTAAAAATACAAAAATTAGCCAGGCATGGTTGCCAGTGCCTGTAATCTCAGCTACTCGGAAGACTGAGGCAGGAGAATCACTTGAACCCCACAATTGGATGTTGCAGTGAGCCGAGATTGGGCCACTGCACTCCAGCCTGGGTGACAGAGTGAGACTTTGTCTCAAAAAAAAAAAAAAAAAAAGCTTGGGTATTTATTGGCCCACATAACTGAGGAGTCCAGAGGTTGTTCCAAGCTTCAGGCATAGTTGGATCAGAAGTATGGCTTTTCTTCTTTCTGCCATTATTTATGCCATCTGCTGTCTTTGTACCCAGGCTGGCTTCCATCATGGTTACAAGAGGGCTCTCAGCAATAGGGCTACCTCTTGGAAAATAATCTTATTATTTCATTGTAGGTTTAATAAATTGTTTTACTTTCCTTCAAAATCTAGTACACACTGCATTACACAAAAGCAGGGTCTTTGACAATGATTCTTCAAAGTATCAAAGTGCTGAAGCATCAACCCTCTGATAATGGGCAAGGGGTAAGGGTTAAGGTATCATGGGTGCTGTGGATGTCCTCATTGTCCAATCCTATAAGGTTTCTTCAAGCTGGATAGCTCTGCTTGTCATATGTCAGGGCAGCGCCTAGACCTTAGCTTAATTGGGAGCTCTGGCACACAGGGCTAAGCCTTCTTTTGTTGCCAGAGTTCCTCCATTATCAGTTACTTTTAAGGGATTTGGAAAATAAAGCAAAGGATATAATAAAATATTGAGACTGCTTTCTGTGGACATTGAGGAAGCCCAAAACACATTGTGAAAAGAAAAACATCTCAGTGTATCATTTTCTATTTATTATATTTTAATATGCAGGATTGTTCTATTTTTAGTCCAATTGTTAGGTAGATGAGTTAATTTGTGTAATTGCTGAAACAGTACTGAAGACGTTTTCTCTAAGGTATAGCCTGTATTTCTTTGGTGTGTGGGTGCATATGAATGTGCAGACTGTATGTGTGGTGGGGAGGTGGGTAGTCAGGGAAGTGAGAATTTGATTCCGCTTCTGAGCTAAGTGGCAGGTAACATAAACTAAACACAATTATGTGCCAACCACAGTTTTAAGCTCTTTATATACATTATCTCACTTAATTCTCCTAACTACCAAATGATGTATGTTCCATTTTTATTCCCATTCACAGATGGAGAAACCGAAGTTCAAAAAGGCAAACAAATTTCTTGAGGTTGCATAGCTAGAAAGGGGTTGAGCTGGGATCTGCGTCCATACAGTCTGTCTCCAAAGCCTGAAGACTAAACCACTAGCCTGGACTGGCTTCCATAGCTCTTTCCCCCAAAGTGTACTGTCTGATGTTCCTTAGCAATATGACAAAAGATGTCTCACAGCTCCAGAAGTGCCCTCTGAAAAGGCTTTTCCCTGGGAATTCCATAGACTTATGGTTCAGCAACAAGAACAGAAGAGCTTGTCTAAGCCTTTCCTTTTCAGGGAAACATTTGCTTTCTCCTGGTATAATGACCCTTTTCTCTTTTCATATAGTTCCACAGGTTTCAAAACTTACACAAAGAGCTACTGTTTGATTCTTTAAAATATATTTTTCTCATTATGAAGGAAATACATGCCAATTGAAAACTTCCTAAAGAAAGAAAACATAGAAATACATAAAGAACCACATAAAAATCTCCTAAAACTCCAGAGATAACTGTTAACATTTTTGTGCATTTTCATTTAGGACGTACAGCTTCATAGTGTGTTTTTTCCTATGTGGTTAGGTGGTGAACATTTTCCCATAATTCTTGAGGGCGACAACTATGTATATCTTGAGCAATGTTATATTTCCAGGGCCCAGAACAGAACCTGGCATATAACAATTAGCACCTAATTAGTAATATCTAATTATTTTATTTAATAAATATTTGTTGAATGAATGAGTGACATATGTTCCTCCAAAACGTTTTAAAAGGCCACATAACTATGAATCTATGAAATAAAATGTAACTGTCAAATCACATTAAGATAGTGCATAACTCACTTTTAGAGGTTTCCCCAGGTGAAGGCAAAGTAGTAACACAAAAAGAGCTCTGGGGCAGGAGTCAGGCAGGCAGCCTCTAGCTTAGAGCAGCCGTTATAGGCGTAACAATACAGGCTCCATTTTACTTCCTAACACTGCGGTTTCTTCACTAGTACTATGAAGGAGTTGACTGAACTGTTTGCTAAGATTCCCTTCGATGTTTACACTATGTCTTTATTTTATTTTATTTTATTTTGAGACAGAGTCTCACTCTGTTGCCCAGGCTGGAGTGCAGTGGTGCAGTCATGGCTCACTGCTGCCTTGACCTCCAGGGCTCAAACTATCCTCCGGCTTCAGCCTTCCGAGCAGCTGGGACTACAGGCACTCGCTGCCACACCTGGCTAATTTCTTTTGTATTTGTAGAGATGGAGTTTCACCATGTTGCCCAGGCTGGTCTCAAACTCTTGGCTCACCCACCTCGGCCTCCCAAAGTGCTGGGACTACAGGTGTGAGCCACCGTACCCAGCCCAAGTGTGTCCTTTTTTAGTCTTTGAAAGAGTGTTCCAGTTTTTTAAAAGATGCAGAAGTAGTATGTAAATATATTTTATTTTAAAACTTTCAAGTAATACAGAATTACATAGGGTAAAATATGAAATTGAAATTCCTCTTTTACAACCACCCCCTTCCCAATACCACTCTCCTCAAAGACTACAACTGGTACAGTTTGGTGTCTGTATGTTCTTCCATCCTTTTTCTATGCTTGAATATATGTCCAAATACAAACGTGTAATTGAAAAGAAACACAAATGGAATCATATGATACGTATTATTCTGAGAATTGCTTCTCTCCCTCCCCTTCTCTACAGTATACCTTTGGGGCCTTTTCTGAGTCAGGGCACCTAGATTGACTTCATTTTGACAATATGAATACATCATTGGTTATTTAACGATTCCACTAGTGCTAGACATGGGCTGTTTCCAGTTTTACACCACTATAAACAATGCTACAATAAATATCCTCGTATTGCATAGCATAGTGGTTAAGAGCAGGGGCGTTGGGATCCATGCATTCGAATCCTGGCTCCACCTCTTCACAGCTGTTACTTAACCTGTCCCTGCCTCAGCTTCCTCATCAATAAAATGGGGATCGCCAGGCTGTTTTTAGAGATAAATTAGTCAACGTATGTAAAGTTCTTGAACTGCACCTACCACAGTAAGTGCTAAATGCTATTATCATTATTATTAAAACTACTATAAATAAAATTTTTGTGTGCATGTGCAGCATTTCGGGGGAACTTATATCTAGAGATGGAATTGCTGGGTTGAAATTATGCACACTTAAAATTTTGAAAGTTTTTTTTTTTTAACAAGATGCCTTCCAATAAGATTTTAACTATTTCTATTTCCATCAACAGTGGTTGAGAGTGTCTGTTGTCTTCTGCCGTTGATACCCCAGTTATTATACATTTTAAGTGTCTGCTCCATTATTAGATATTTATACACTGTTCAAATTGTAGGCTAATTAGCTGATGTTATTCTTAGTGTCTTTTCCTATCAAAATTGAAACCTAAGACTTCTGATAGTTAAGACAAGTTTGGGCCATTGGCTTTTCACCAGGGTAGCTTTAGTCGGAAGTTTTAGGTTGTGTCTTGTCCATACCCAGTACTGCCTCTCCTTAGTGGAGTTCATGTGCCCTTAAACATGTATGGTGATTCTTTCTTTTTTGTGTGGTTTATGTAAAATGAAATTAAAATCATTGTTTACCTCCCAAAGAGCTGAAAACAAAAGCAGAACACAAAACAAGTATCAAGGGGTTAGTACACATTATGAAATGTTGAAGATTTAGCAGAACATCACGTCTGAGGTGAAAGAAGTGTTATATGTTACGGAAATGTGTCCGAGCTTGCCCTTTAGCAAAGTGCTGTGCTGTTGTCTTCTGAGTCAGGACTTAAAGCTATGCCTGGCTGAATGCTTCAGGCTCCACCCAGCCCTTTGGGATTGCGGGGGGGCCCTTCAATAGCCCGAAAGCTCTCTAGTGCTCTCCTCTGGTCAAAATAAGGAGGTACAGGCTTCAAAGAACTGTTGTGTTTCTTACTGCCATTGAGTATTTGTTTCCAAAGTGTTTGTTTGTTTGTTTGTTTAGTTTTTTTGTGGTTTACAAAGTTAATGTCAAAGAGTTGAGGAGGAAAAAAATTAGTGTTCTAAGAGAGAAAAATTATTTGTGAATAAATGGCCGAATGAAGTGTTCATTAATACTTATTTTTTCAATTGAGGAAAACAAAAGGAAAAAGAAATACAATTACATTTCACAGCATCCTGGTGTGCACCTCCAAAATAATACAAACCAAATCTCCACCATACAAAACTTCCAAAATACCTAAATCCCCAGTGTACTTATTTAGTGTTTTCTGACTGATGTGAGCCTTATTTATTCTTACATAGGGAAATATGAAAATAATGTGTTAGTATTAAAGACTTCCTAAAACTGTGTTACTACTAATTTATCTATGTTCTTTATAACTGAACTGTACCCTGGGAATGACTTGGTGATGGAAAAAACTTTCCTTATTTTGCAGCTGTCAAAGTCCAAGATTTTCCTTTTGACCTCCTTCAGATCTTTACTCAAACATCATCTTACGGGTGAGACCTTCCCTCTCTGCTCTGTACAAAAATTATATCCCGGGCCTACTCTCCAAAATGTCCTCATCCCTGCTCTGCCCTATCCATCTCCATATTTTTATCATTCTCCATAGCACCTAACTGTCACATAATGTGCCATAAATTTTATTTCTAAAAATTGAGATATAATTCACATACCATACGGTTCACCCATTTAAGCATACAATTCAATGGTTTCAGTTCTCAGAGTTGGGCAGTCATCATCACAATCAATTATAGTACATTCTCATCACCCCAGAAAGAAATCCTGGGCCCATTAGCAGTCAGCTCCCATTCCTTTTCAAACTCTGCCCCTCTTCCCTGGCAACCCCCAACCCCCAGCCCTAGGCAACCACTAATGTACTTTCTGTCTCTATTGATTTGCCTATTCTGGACATTTTATATAAATGGGATCATATGTTATATGGGTTTCTGTGACCTCATTTTCTGTCATTTAGCATGTTTTCAAGGTTCATCCATGTTGTAGTATGTATCAGCAGTACTTTATTCCTTTTTAAATAGCCAAATAGTATTCTACTGTATGGCTATACCACATTTTATTTATCTGTTTATCAGTTGATTGACATTTAAGTTCTTTCCACTTTATAGCTATTATAAATAATTCTGCTATGGATGTGAATGTACAAGTTTTGGGGTAGATATGTGTTTTTATTTTCTTGACAATTTTACGTAAAAAATCATGTTTATTGTCTGTCTTCAGCACCAGCACCAAATACCATGCCAGCACAGAATAGGTGCTCAATACATATCTGTAAAATAAATGAGCTATTCTCTCTCCTCTGCAGAATCTCAAGCGTGTTGCCAACGAGATTCTTCAGTTTGTTTTAATTTTGGTCCTAACTTTTTACCTAAAGCCAGTTTAGGTGACTCTTTGTAACATGGCTTATGCATATCTCTACAGCCTGAGTTTTTGTCCCAAATTGTCCTCTACTCCTGCTATATTCAGCTACCTAGACCAAGTTCTTCTACCCCTGGATAAAGCCACTAACTACTCTCTCTGCTTAGAATATTTACCTTACTCCATCCCCGCATTCTGTCCCTGCTTTAGGTGCCTATAGTTTCCTTCTCTTTCATAACTCAGCCCACCTGGGAATTTTATCTGCTAACAGAAGTAGAAATTAATTACATTCTTTTTGGGAAACGGCTTGGCAATACTGAGAGCGTTAAAATGTTTCTACATCTTGACTCAGTAATCCCACCTTCCCCTAGAGGAATATCTGAAATATAAGCAAAAGCTTATGCACAAAGATATTCAAAATGGCATAGTTGATGCTATAGAAATTAGTGTAGCCCAAATGCTTGAAAATATAAGGTTATACAAATTATATTTATACCAAGAAATTACATGCCACTCTTGAAAATTATGTGTTTAAGTAATTTTTAATGATATGAAAATGCTTATCTAAATAGAAAAACAAACTATAAAATTTAATATGATCTAAACTTTGTAATAGTGTGATAGAAAAAAAAATACTAAAAGAAAATATACCAAAATCTAGTAGTAGTTATTGCTGAGCATTGGAATTACAGTTCATTTAAGTTTTCTTCTTTCTTATGCTTTTCTGTATTGTCCAAATTGGCTCAGGGTAGAGGCATTGCTTTCATAATTAGTAAAAAGTAGGTCGTCGGCAAAGCCGGAGTCCTGTCTTCTTATTCTCCTCTGCAGACAGCATGAACTTCACCACTCGCTCCACCTCCACCAACTACCAGTCCCTGGGCTCTGTCCAGGCGCCCAGCTATGGCCCTCCGCCAGTCAGCAGCACAGCCAGCGTCTATGCAGGCGTCGGGGGCTCTGGTTCCCAAATCTCCATGTCCCGCTCCACCAGCTTCCAGGGCGGCATGGGGTCCGGGGGCCTGGCCGCGGGGATGGCTGGGGGTCTGGCAGAAATGGGAGGCATCCAGAATGAAAAGGAGCCCATGCAAAGCCTGAACCACCACCTGGCCTTCTACCTGGACAGAGTGAGGAGCCTGGAGACCAAGAACCGGAAGCTGGAGAGCAAAATCCGGGAGCACCTGGAGAAGAAGGGACCCAGGTCAGAGACTGGAGCCATTACTTCAAGACCATCAAGGATTTGAGGGCTCAGATCTTCGCAAATACTGTGGATAATGCCTGCACTGTTCTGCAGATCGACAATGCCCATCTTGCTGCTGATGACTTTAGAGTCAAGTATGAGACAGAGCTGGCCATGCGCCAGTCTGTGGAGAGTGACATCCAGGGGCTCCGCAAGGCCATTGATGACACCAGTGTCACTCGGCTGCAGCTGGAGACAGAGATCGAGGCTCTCAAGGAGGAGCTGCTCTTCATGAAGAAGAACCACGAAGAGGAAGTAAAAGGCCGACAAGCCCAGATTGTCAGCTCTGGGTTGACCTTGGAGGTAGATGCCCTCAAATCTCAGGACCTTGCCAAGATCATGGCAGACATCTGGACCCAATATGACGAGCTGGCTTGGAAGAACCAAGAAGAGCTGGGCAAGTACTGGTCTCAGCAGATTAAGGAGAGGACCACAGTGGTCACCATGCAGTCCACTGAGGTTGGAGTTGCTGAGATGACGCTCATGGAGCTGAGACATACAGTCCAGTCCTTGGAGATCAACCTAGACTTCATAAGAAATCTGAAGCCTAGCTTGGAGAACAGCCTGAGGGAGGCGGAGGCCCACTGCACCCTGCAGATGGAGCAGCTCAATGGGATCCTGCTGCACCTGGAGTCAGAGCTAGCACAGACCTGGGCAGAGGGACAGCGCCAGGCCCAGGAGTATGAGGCCCTGCTGAACATCAAAGTCAAGCTGGAGGCTGAGATCACCACCTACTGCGGCCTGCTGGAAGATGGCAAGGACTTCAATCTTGGTGATACCCTGGACAGGAGCAAGTCCGTGCAAACCATCCAAAAGACCACCACCCGCTGGATAGTGGATGGCAAAGTGGTGTCTGAGACCAACGACACCAAAGTTCTGAGACATTAAACTGGCAGAAGCAGGATACTCTTTGGGGAGCAGGAGGCTAATAAAAAGATCAGAGGTTTAAAAAAAAGCAATAAAAGTTATTTTAGCTCTCTTGCTTCTGCTCCAGCCATGTAAGATGTGCCTGCTTCCTCTTTTCCTTCCGCCATGATTGAAAGTTTCCTGAGGCTTCCCCAGAAGCTGAGCAGGTGCCAGCATTGTGCCTCCTGTACAGCCTGTAAAACCGATGGCTCTAGGCAAGATGTTATAGACAAATGAGAATGATGCCATCCCTCAAAATGTTATAAGGACATTTGGGTAGGGACTATCTAGACAAATAGAATGGACGGATACTGGCTAGATGGAGGAAAGACATTCTGGAATTTGGGGCTAAGAGTTGAAGGCACTGAAAAAAGAGACTTGGTATTTGAACCCTCGTCTTGCCTGGCATCTTATCCTGCAATCTTCAAGAAGTTGACTACACCATGAGAGTCAAGCCAAATTTGGGGAGTGAGAAAGAGACAAGGCTTTTCTGTCAAGAAGAGGGACAGTGGCTGTGCATGCTTCACTTTTCAGGACCACTTGGAAGAGTGCGAAAAACTCTTCCACCCCTTTCTTCTCATACAGCACAGAGTAGTTTGATGGTGAAGAAAGAGAGGGATCAGGCTGAGCACAGTAGCTCACTCCTGTAATCCCAGCACTTTGGGAGGCCGAGGCGGGCAGATCACTTGAGCTCAGGAGTTGGAGACCTGCCTGGGCAATATGGTGAAACCCTGTATCTACTAAAAATACAATAATTACCCAGACATGGTGGTGCATGCCTATCGTCCCAGTTACTCGGGAGGCTGAGGCACGAGAATCGCTTGAACCAGGGAGGTGGAGGTTGCAGTGAGCCGAGATTGCGCCCCTGTACTCTAGCCTGGGTGACACAGCAAGATTCTGTCTTGGAAAAAAAAAGAGAGAGAGAGAGGAATCCCTTTCTGCTGTTGGGCTTTTATCACTCTAATCGTTGCTATTGTTATTCATCTCCCAAGAGTAAATGGGAAATCTACTTCTCACTCAGTCCATCCTCTTGTACCTGCAGGGAGACTCTCCAATGTTGCTGACTGTTTTGAATTAGCACATTTCTTTGCAGTCCCCCATATCCACCAGGATACATTCCAAGGCCCCAGTGGATGCCGGAAACCGTGCATAGTACCATACCCTACATATGCACCAATTACTTTTTTCTCCTTCACAATTTCACAGATAGAACATTTGTTCTTACCGTAGATCTTCGCAACTTCAGTAGAGAGTTTTTTCTTTTTTTTTTTATTAAGTGGAGAGTTAGTTACTTACTTAGAAATGTTTCTTTTCTTATTAGGTTTTTTTTTTGTTTTGTTTTGTTTGTTTGTTTGTTTGTTTTGAGACAGAGTCTCGTTCTGTCTCCCAGGCTGGAGTACAGTGGTGTGATCTCGGCTCACTGCAACCTCTGTCTCCTGGGTTCAAGCGATTCTCCTGCCTTAGCCTCCTGAGTAGCTGGGACTACAGGTGCCCGCCACCACGCCTGGCTAATTTTTGTATTTTTAGTAGAGACAGCGTTTTACCATATTGGCCAGGCTGGTCTTGAACTCCTGACCTTGTGATCAGCCCACCTCGGCCTCCCAAAGTGTTGGGATGACAGGTGAGAGCCACTGTGCCCAGCCCTTATTAAGTCTTTAAGTGGGAAGCTTTTCTTTTCACTTTTATTTTATTTTATTGAAATATTATAACAAATCATTGAAGAAGATAGTGTTATCATTCCATTCTGATAAAACCAATTAACTTATCCAAGCATGTGCATGCTGTACACAGAAGATCCACCGTTAAAAAGTCCCTATTTTTACTTACTTTTCTTAGATTCAGCGGATACATGTGCAGGTTTCTTATATGAGTATATTATGTAATGCTGAGGCTTGCACTTTTAATGATCCAGTCACCCAACTAGTGAGCATAGTACCAAATACATAGTTTTTCAAGTCTTGCCCCCCTCCTTCTCTCCTCCTTTTTGGAGTCCCCAGTTACTGTTGTTCCCTTCTTTGTGTTCACATGTACCCAGTGTTTAGCTCCCACTTATAAGTGAGAACATGGTTTTCTGCTTCTGTGTTAATTTGCTTAGGATAAAGCCTTCCACCTGCATCCATGTTACTGCAAAAATCTTGTGCCTTTTCACAGCTGTATAGTATTCCATGGTGTATATGTACTACATTTTCTTAATCCAATCCACTACTGTTGGGCACCTGGGTTGATTCCATATCTTTGCTATTGTGAAGTGCTCCAATGGACATACAAGTGCATGTGTCTTTTTGGTAGAATTATTTATTTTCCTTTGGATATATACCCAGGAATGGGATTGCTGGGCTGAATGGTAATTCTATTTGTAGTTCTTTGAAAAATCTCCAAACTGCTTTCCACAGTGGCTGAACTAATTTACACTCCCACCAACAGTGTGTAAACCTTCCTCTTTGCTCCACAATCTCACCAGCGTCTGTGAATTTCTGACTTTTTAGTAATAGCCATTCTGACTGGTGTGAGATGGTAATGGTATCTCATTGTGAAATTCCCTATATTTTTATATGATTCTCAGGGGGTATCATGGGTCTGAATACTGACTCATGCCCTGGGCATGACTTCCACATTGCAGAATTGAGAAGTTGACCCAGAAATGCATTTCAGGCTGAGCAGACAATTATCAGAGGAGCTGGCTAGACCACAGCTGTGGTCAGATGTGTCATAGGGACCATGGCCTTTCTGTAGACTCATGGTCAGAGGTGGAGAGGAGCTGTGAACCTTCTTGTGAAAAAAGTCAAGGTGAAAGCTGCCCCGTGGTGATGGGCGCTGGGCCTCACCTACCACATACTGTGCATCTCCTGGCCTGCTGGGCTCAGTCCCCACCCCACTGCTTGGCACTCGACTGGCAGAATCTGAGTGATGCCTTCTGCACTCCCTGCCCTGCTCTGCCACTGGCTGTGTCTGAGCCAGAGGATCAGTGCTCAGCAGCAGACTCTCCCAAAACCCATCATCTGGGCTGAACCCAGTTCATGAATCCAAATGAAAAGCCGGTGACCATCTGTCACTGGGGAGATTCTGAGGCTGTTGAATACCAGCTGTACTTTGAAGGAAGCCTTTCTGCCATGGAGAGACCAAAACCCCCTGAATGGATTAACAAAGTTGAATTCCACATCCTACTCATGACCTTCCGCACAGCAGGGCTATACAGCTGCTTCTATCTGGCTGGGGAGCTCTGGTCGGAGCCCAGTGACTCTGGATCTGGTGGTAACAGGAGGGAAGATCCAGCCGCACACAGTGCAGATATGGGAATGTCCAGGCGGAGTTCCCCATTGGTCCTGTGACCACAACCCACAGAGGGACATACCGATGTTTTGGCTCCTATAACAACCATGTGTGGTCTTTCCCCAGTGAACTGGCAAAGCTCCTGATCATAGGTGACATTGAGAACACCAGCAGACCCCACCTCTTCTGGCTCTTGGGACACCTACCTTTTAACCAGAGACGGGACTCCAGAAAGACTGTGCCCTCTGAGACCACACTGCCCAGAATCTCCTTCAGATGGGCCTAGCTTTCCTTGTCCTGGTGACTCTGGTGTGATTCCTAGTTGAAGACTGGCTCAGCAGGAAGAGGACTAGAGGGCGAGCCAACAGAGCTTCCACTTGGGATTGCGGCAGAAGGTTGAGAACACAAAGACCCCTTGAAGAATGACCAAGAAACGCAGTGGCCATGGGTGGAACTGAAAGCCGATCTTGAGCCTGGGCATTGGGAGCTCTGTGTTGGGAGAAGGGAGTCATTGTAGGAAAAAGGGACAGTGGTATTCCATTTGTCAAAGCATCCTGGAGGAGACAGGAGGTGGGAGAAACAAGCTAAATTTCTTTGGGAGGCAAAAAAAAAGAAAAAAGTTGTTTTAAAAACTCAGCTTAAGTATCCCTTCTTTGGAGAAGAAAGGTCCTTTTCTCCTACAATGTGGAATATATGTGTATATATATACACACACACACACACACACACACGCATATATATACACACATAAATAAATACAAATTATTTGTGTGTATATAAATATATATATGTATGTATTTATGTGTATTTACATAAATAAAAGCATGGTCCTTACCAAACACAATCATCTACTGACCCATCTGTATCTTTCACTAGGATTACGAGGGCAGGGATTTGGTCTTTTACCTCTATAACTGTGGCATCTACGCATTGTGTGGCATGTAACAGATTTCTAACAAGTATTTGCCTTTTGGAGGAAAAGGGAGCTGTTGCTGTTTTTAAACTTTGGCCCAGGACAGGTGGTCTTTATTATTCAGAACCTAAGAATTAAAAAACCCATAATTTATCAAAAACAAACTTTTGAAGAAACACTAGAGTAAAACATTTGTGTGTGTGTGTGTGAGTGAAATATGCAGTTAGTATTGTTATAAACAAAGTCCAGGACTCAACGAAAGGAATAAAGTAAGAATAGAATTGAAACATGATGCATGTTGTAATTATTCCCTAAACTACAGTAACATGATGTTAATTTTTTTTTTTTTTTTTTTTTTGAGACGGAGTCCCGCTCTTTAGCCTAGGCCGGATTGCAGTGGCGCAATCTCGGCTCACTGCAAGCTCCGCCTCCCAGGTTCACGCCATTCTCCTGCCTCAGCCTCCCGAGTAGCTGGGACTACAGGCGCCCGCCACTGCGCCCGGCTAATTTTTTGTATTTTTAGTAGAGACGGGGTTTCACCGTGTTAGCCAAGATGGTCTCGATCTCCTGACCTTGTGATCCGCCCGCCTCGGCCTCCCAAAGCGCTGGGATTACAGGCGTGAGCCACCGCGCCCAGCCACATGATGTTAATATTTTCCTCAAAATAAACTCAGAATTTAACATAGTGTTCTTCCAGACGAGTGTGAAGGAAGGCAGGTGTTTTCCCAATGCTGTTCTCCTTGGGAGCTGTCAGCTTCAGTGCAGTATTTCACAGCTAGACTGTGAACAAACGTTAATTCCAATTGGCTCAATATACATTCAACAGTAAAATACCAGAAGTGAGTGGTCTCTGTTGTTCTCCAAAATGTATGATCTGGAACAGACTTTTATCGTGAAAGTGTTCATAGTTTGCACACATCACTCCCAGCTGGAAGTTGTTGTCCAGTTTAACAGTTATATAATATAATCTTTTATGTGAGAATTTTGAATAGCACAACAGAGACAAGAAAACAGACTAACTTCTCCTTGGTATGACCACATCTTGGCAAAAAGTGAAAGTCCTATTTAAAATGTAAAGGAAATCCTATTTGGTGAACCCTGTAATAGGTGGGGGCTAAAAGGGAAATCTAGGTTGCTGGATTTGTCACTAGGGTTTCCTCTAGTAATAGCCAGAGGGTTCCAGTTAGTGTCACCTCCCAGTATGAAAATAAATTTTCTTTCAGGCTTTGTTTGTGGAGTGGTAGGTGGAGCATTTTTTTAGGTCCTGATGACCTGGAAGGTGACTCATAATCACCCTGAAACGTATGAGGACCCTAAGGAAACCTCCCCTGGGGGAGACAGAGGGCTGGGGTTAGAGCCATTGCGTTGGGCTCGTCTGGCACCTTCTGGTGTGTGCGGCACCTGGTGGGGGTTCGGCACGGAGCCGCACCCAACACTGACCCGGGCCCCCCCACCCCTGTCCTGAGCCCAGGCGCTTCGCCCTGTCCCACCTAGCTCTGAGCAGCGCCCCCCAGCACCCTGAATGCGTCCGCAGGACCCCGCGCTCTACCCGCAGGCCCCGCACCCCCTAGCTCTGGGCCGCGCCTCACATCCCTCCCAGAGCCGCAACACCCCACCCGGCGGGACGCCCTCGAGCAGCCGCTCGTTGCGGGCCTGAAGCGCAGAGCGCCTATTGGCCAGAGCGGCCGAGGGCGGGAAAAGTGGCCAACGGCTGCCTCGGCCCTCGGGCTGCTGAGGAGATGGCGTCGGGCTCCAAGGCCTCGGTGCCCGCGGACTCATTCCGCACCATCAGCCCGGACAGGCGAGGCGAGAAGTCCGCCTCCGCTGTCTCCGGGGACACGGCGGCCGCGACCACCCTGAAGGGCACCGCGATCCCAGTGCGGTCGGTGGTGGCCTCCCCTCGCCCGGTGAAGGGGAAAGCGGGCCGGGAGACGGCCAGGCTGCGGCTCCAGCGCCTGCCCGCGGCTCAGGCCGAGGACACGGGAGAGGCGGCGGCGGCGGCGGCGGAGGAGCCCCTGCTGCCAGTGCCTGAGGATGAAGAGGAGGCGCAGCCCCTGCCCCCAGTCTGCGTGTCCCGTATGAGGGGGATGTGGCGGGACGAGAAGGTGTCGCTGTATTGCGACGAAGTGCTGCAGGACTGTAAGGTGAGCGGATCCGGGACAGGAAGACTACGGTCGGAAGCTCGTCGGAACCTGGGGACAGGCATCTGGGGCTTCCCTCTTAGGCGGATGGGGATCCACAGGGCACAACGAAAACTTGCGTTTCAAAAAAGTAAATGGAGTCAACATGTATAGAGCGTTCACCTTGTTAGAGGTGCCCGCGTCCTGCCCTAGAGGAGTTAAGGTTCGAGTTTCCGACAAAATTCGTCAGGTAACGGGACAGCCCTGAGAGAGAATTTTCTGAGAGCTCCTAAAAAATGAAGATATATTGGCCTTATCATTGCACAGGCATGAATCTTGGTACCTTTATTTAACAGTTTATGTCCAAACATGAGTAAGATCACTTAGCCTTGACTTTTACACTAGAATGCTAGAAATTACTTTAAGGGTACTTCCCACTCAGCAGTCCACAATGCGGCATGATATATATGTGTGTGTATATATATATATAAATGTGTGTGTGTGTGTGTGTGTGTGTATATATATATATATATATATATATATATATATATATATATATATTTTTTTTTTTTTTTTTTTTTTTTTTTTTTTTTTTTGGAGACGGAGTTTCATTCTTGTTGCCCATGCCGGAATGCAGTGGGGCAATCTCGGCTCACACAACCTCCGCCTCCCGGTGCAAGCAATTCTCCTGCCTCAGCCTCCCGAGTAGCTGGGATTACAGGCATGAGCCACCACGCCTGGCTAATTTTGTATTTTTTTTTAGTACAGATGGGGTTTCTCCAGTTGGTCAGGCTGGACTCGAACTCCCGACCTCAGGTAATCTGCCCGCTTCGGCCTCCCAAAGTGTTGGGATTACAGGCATGAGCCACCGTGCCTGGTGGCATGACTTTCTTTTATAGAAAATACATATCTGATAAAACGGAATAGAGCAAATATTTCATGTTTCTAACCTATTTTTTTAAGTTGTAGCAGAAGAATTTGTGTACCTGCATATTCACTGCAGTGATATTTATAAAAAGTTGAAAATTAAGACATAAACAATAACTAGCTGTCTTATCTATGAATTATTCGAGTGAATAGATCTCTTTTAAGTTTAATTTTTTGTTGGTGATGTTTTCCACTAGATGCGGTTTCAGTTAAAATCTGTAATTTTCCAGGTCATTCATTATTTAAGGCTATATTGGTTCCATTTTAAAATAGAAATCAGTAAAAAAAAAAAAAACCACTTAGTTTAAAATCTATAATTTCATATATTTATATGTAGATCCATTTTTTCTCTTGTTAGGCAGAAGATGCTGATGAAGTTATGGGTAAATACCTATCAGAAAAATTAAAGTTGAAAGACAAATGGCTTGGAGTCTGGAAGACTAATCCCAGTGTATTCTTTGTGAAATATGAAGAAGCTTCTATCCCTTTTGTTGGTATATTGGTTGAGGTAAATAAATTTTATTTGATCTTTGTTCTTTTTGAATCAGTTCTTTTAAAGACTAAAATATGACTTTATTATTTGGAGATTGATACACAAGAGTTGACACATTTTTACTTCTGTTTTAAGTTTCCGAGAAAATTAATAGTGTAAAAAGAAGGTTAGGGGAATATTAGTGCCTGTAAACCATTATCATTAAATGGAATCTAGTAGTATCAGACAATATTTATTAGCCTAGTTTTTGCTCAACTAATGTAAAAATAACAAAAATGCATTTCTTATAAAATTAGTGATTCAGTCTTTAACAAACTTGGGCCTTCTTTTTCTGTCTTTTCCCTTTAATCTTCATTTATCTGAATTAAGAAGTTTAGTTCAGATGAGGAAAAAAAAAGAAATGGATCAGAAAACTACTGGGAAAATTTGAAATTTTTTTCCTTTGAAAAGTACCCTTTTTAGGGAGGCTGAGGCAGGAGAATGGTGTGAACCCAGGAGGCGGAGCTTGCAGTGAGCTGAGATCATGCCACTGCACTCCAGCCTGGGCAACAGAGTGAGACTCCGTCTCAAAAAAAAAAAGTACCCTTCTAGTATAATATCTTCCAAGCCTTTATCTGATAAGATTTTTCTTTTTTTTTTCTTTTGAAACAGAGTTTCGTCCTGTCGCCCAGGCTGGAGTGCAGTGGTGTGATCTCGGCTACTGCAACCTCTGCCTCCCCGGTTCAAGCGATTCTCCTGCCCCAGCCTCCCGAGTAGCTGGGATTACAGGCGCATGCCACCATGCCCAGCTAATTTTTTGTATCTTTGGTAGAGACGGGGTTTAACCCTGTTGGCCAGGCTGGTCTTGAACTCCTAACCTTGTGATCTTTAGCAGAGAAGGGGTTTCACCATGTTGGCCAGACTGGTCTCGAACTCCTGGCCTCGTGATCTGCCTGACTCAGCCTCCCAAAGTGCTGGGATTACAGGCATGAGTCACTGCACCCGGCCCTAATAAGATTTTTCTTTGTTAGGCCTGTAGGCTAAACATTGTGGCATGTTTGATTCTGTTAAAGGTCAATTATCCTTATATAGAAATTAATATTTATAACCACAAATGATACCCTTACCCCAGATAGTTAGTTTAAATCTGTATTTTTGGATACAAGAAAAACTTATGTATGTAACTTGTTGTATTATATACTACTTGAAAACAATTTAAAAATATGTGTTCTGTGGAAAAGTCAGTGTCAGTTTTACAGATAAAGAATGGCGGCTGGGCGTGGTGGCTCACGCCTGTAGTCCCAACACTTTGGGAGGCCAAGGTAGGTGAATCACTTGAGCTCAGGAGTTAGAGACCAGCCTGAGCACCATGGTGAAACCCCATCTCTACCAGAAAAACAGGCACACACCTGTGGTCCCAGCTACTCAGGAGGCTGAGGTGGGAGGATCGCTTGAGCCTGGGAGGCAGAGGTTGCAGTGAGCCTGGGTGACATAGTGAGGCCCCATCTCAAAAAAAAAAAAAAAAAGAATACCATATTTTCAGTCACAGAGATTACAAAGGAATGTAAAAGATTATTGGGATTAGTTAATTTTTCAATAAGACTCTATTAGTTAATATTTCAGTAATACTGTTTCTTTTCCTTTTTCTTTTTTTTTCAAGATAAGGTCTAACTCTGTTGCCCAGGCTGGAGTGCAGTGGTGCAATCTCAGCTCACTGCAACCTCTTCCTCTAGGTTTCAAGCAGTCCTCCCACCTCAGCCTCCTGAGTAGCTGTGACTGCAGGCGTGTACCACCACACCCGGCTAATTTTTGTGTTTTTAGTAAAAACGGGATTTCACTATGTTGGCCAGGCTGGTCTCGAACCCCCGACCTCAAGTGATCCACCCACCTCAGTCTCCCAAAGTGCTGGGATTACAGGCAGAGCCACCATGCCCAGCCAGTAGTACTCTGTTTTGTAGAGGTTTGCTCATCTTCAGACTTTGAGTAGCTTTGCCGAGATCTTTCACAACTTCTCTGGATTTTTTTCATCTGGATAAAAATGGTTTTCATCTGGCTTTATGACTTTTTTTTTTTTAGTATAAGTTTGTGGGTTTTTTTTCAATCAGGTTTTATGTGGAAGCTTAACATTAAAGCAGAACATTTCTGATTGAAATGGATGATGGTGTCTTAGCAGCTCTCTCCATACCTCATGATAGCCCCTATACTCCATAAAACTTTTCAAGATCTCTAAAGTTCCATGGAAACTCAGTGGATTAGGTAACCTTAAAGTTCTATCAATTTCTAAGGTTTTACCTGCAATACATTGATTATTTAATCTGTCCCTGCCTTGCTTTAGAATTTGTGAGGGTCTAGTAATGTCCTCTAAATGTTAGAAAGACAGGATGAAGCATAAGAACAGAGGAAAAAGCAAAACAGTATATTGGCAGATTCTAATTCTTTTGTGGCAGAAAAACAAGTGAGAATGGCTCTTGGGACCTCTTAAGATAGTGCTGCACAATTCATATTGTTGTTTTATCTGACTCTGCTTCTTTAGTCTTACTTCAGTTGAAGTATTAATAATGCTATATAATACTCTTTGTTCTGATGTCACAATAATTTATTCCTATGGGCCCCTGATCGCTTTTTCTTTAGATGCTGTATTAGTTTTCTATTGCTGCCACAACAAATTACCACACTCAGTGGCTCAAAGAATACAAATTTATTATCTTACAACTCTGTAGGTCAGAAGTCTGACATGGGCCTAACTGAGCTAAAATCAAGGTGTATGCAAGGCTGCATACCTTTATGGAGGCTGTGTGGGAGAATCTGTTTCCTGGCCTTTTTTAACCTCTAGAAGCAGCCTGCATTCTGTGGCTTGTGGCCCTCTTCCTTCATCTTCAATGTGCTTCTCACACTGCATCTTTCTGCTTCACTGCAGGCTAAAAAGGCAGTCCCCTTTTAATAGACTCGTGATTAGAATGGGCCCAACTGGGTAATCCAAGATGACCTCCACATCTCAATGTCTTTAGTTGTAATCACATCTGTGAAGTCCATTTTGCCATGTAAGGTAACATATTCACAGATTAGGATTAGGGAATGGACGTCTTTGGGGGCCATTATTATGCCTATCATGAATTCATACAATAACCAACCAACAAACAAAAAACTTAGAAACATAGTGTTGACTCCTGAACAGTGCAGGGCCCTGCACAGTCAAAAATCCGTGTATAACTTTTGACTTCCCAAATACTTAACTAATAGCCTACTGTTGACTGGAAGCCTTGCTGATATCGTATACAGTTGATTAACATATTTTGTATGTCATAAATATGATAAACACTATATTCTTACAATAAAGTAAGCTAGAGAAAAGAAAATGTTATTAAGAAAATTGTAAAGGCAGGGCACAGAGGTCTGTGCTTGTAGTCCTAGCATTTTGGGAGCCCAAGGCAGGAGGATCGCTTAAAGTCAGAACTTTGAGACTAACCTGGGCAACATAGCAAGACCTCATCTCTACTGAAAATTTTAAAATGAACTGGGTGGTGGTGCACACCTATAGTCCTCTCTACATGGGAGGCTGAGGTGAGAGGATCACTTGAGCCCAGAAATTTGAGAGCAAGACCCTGTCTCATAAAAGAAAAATCATAAGGAAGAGAAAAATATATTTACTATTCATTATATAGAAATAGATCATCATAAAGATCTTCATTTCTGTTGTCTTCATGCTTAATAGGCTGAGGAGAAGGAGGAAGAGGAAGAAGAGGAGTTGGTCCTGCTGTCACTAGGGTAGCAGAGGCAGAAGAAAATACGCATATAAGTGGACCCATCCAGTTGGAACATGTGTTGTTCAAGGGTCAACTGTATTTGATGGGAAGGAAATCTAGCATATCCTTAATTTTGGTTATAAAATGGTCCAGAAATTAAGAAAACTTTTTTATAACTTCTGTACAAAGCAGTTTAGCAAAATATATCAAGAACTTTAAACTAGCACTTTATTTCTGGAAATGTCTTCTATGAAAATCGGAAATGTGGAAAAACATTGCTTCTTGGCCTTTTGCCTAAGATCCAAGTGTAGAAATGCAGAAAAAGATTTAGGTGTTAAGGTGATCATTGTGATTTTTTTTTTTTTTTTTTTTTTGAGACAGAGTCTCACTCTGTCACCCAGGCTGGAGTACCATGGCGCGATCTCGGCTCACTGCAATCTCCAGCTCCCAGGTTCAAGTGATTTTCCTGCCTCAGCCTCCTGAGTAGCTGGGATTATAGGCGCGAGCCACCATGCCCGGCTAATTTTTGTATTTTTAGTAGAGACGAGGTTTCACCATGTTGCCGAGGCTGGTCTCGAACTCTTGACCTCAGGTGATCCACCTGCCTCAGCCTCCCAAAGTGCTGAGATTACAGGCGTAAGCCACCGTGCCCAGCCACCTGGGCTTTTCTTTGCACCATATATTCTAGATGGGGTACTAGAAGAGCTAACAACCTGGAAACATCAACGTGTAAAACAGCAACAACAAAAAGCAGAATGAAGACAGGACAATTATTGTGCTTGAAGATAGAAAAATAGAAATTATCAAATCCTAACACCATAAAGAAAATAGACTTAAAAGGACAGAACCTCAGGAACATGTTGGACTATAACAAAAGACCTAGCATTCATGTCTTCAGAGTTCCAGAAGGAGAGAAGAAAGAGAGAGGGCTAAAAAATATTCAAAGAATGGCAGAAAATTTACCAAATTTGGCAAAAGATATAAACCTACAAATTTAAGAAGCCAAATTGAGGAGCATGGTTAAGGGTGGGAGTACTCCCATTGGGAAGAAGGGAATTACATGAAAATTTGCTGGTACTGAATGTTGGGATCCTCTATCTTCTACCTTCCAACTCTGCTTCTAGAACACAGGCAGCTAAGGCATATCACTCCAGGAATGAGATTTGAAATATTTTTGTATGATCATATGCTAAAAAAAAAAAAAGACTTAATGATACTGATTTACCACAGAAAGAGCCTGGGTGGATCAACCAGTGAAGAGGAGATGAGGAGGAGAAGAAAGGAAGAGAGAAGAGAGATGGGGGAAGAGGTTGGTGGCAAGAACAGAAGAAAGCAAATTGTCAAATTGTAAAGGTTTCTCAGAACCAAAGGTCATAAATTTCTAGACTGAAAGGGCCCACTTAGTGTCCAACACATAATGAAATTTGGGAATACTGGGACCAAAGAGAAGGTCCAATAAGATTCCAGAGAGGAAAAAGATAGGTTTATATAAAGAATCAAGAGGTAGAATGGCATCAGACATCAGACCTTTCCTTTTTTTTTTTTTTTTTTAAGACGGAGTCTTGCTCTGTTGCCCAGGCTGGAGTGCAGTGGTGCAGTCTTGGCTCACTGCAACCTCCACTTCCCAGGCTCAAGCAATTCTCATGCCTCAGCCTCCCGAGTAGCTGAGACTGCAGGCATGCGCCACCATACCCAGCTAATTTTTGTATTTTTAGTAGAGATGGGGTTTCACTATGTTTACCAGGCTGGTCTGGAACTCCCGGCCTCAAGACATCCTCCCACCTCGGCCTCCCAAAGTGCTGGGATTACAGATGTAAGCCACCACACCCAATCCAGACTTTTCAAAAGTAATTCTTAGTTTTAAAAAGCTATGAAAATGTATTTTCAAAAATTTTAGGGAAAGTGATATCCCACTGTATAATTTTATACCTAGGCACACTATAAGTCAAGTGTAGAAAAAATACATTTTCAAATATGTGAGGTCTCAAAAGTTATGTCCAATGCACCCTTTCTTAGGAAGTTAATGGATGTCATCTACAGTCAAGGGAGTAAATCAAGAAATACGAAGACATCAGATTCAAAATGTAGAGAAGCCACAACCTAAGAGAAAAACAAAGGGAATTCCTGGGATGATGGCAAAGTGATAACAGCTATGTACATAGCAGGCCTAGAGAACCACTTCAGAATAGAACTGGTCAGAGAACTCTGGAAGAGTGCTTTAAATAAAATGAAACCAGTATTTTATTTCAAACACAATCTATTGGCTTTGAACATATTGAAAGGAGATTTTTACAACTTAAGGAATTTGGGGCTAAATTAATGAAAGCCACGTAGAAAATGAGCAAATGGCTGGGCGCAGTGGCTCACGCCTGTAATACCAGCACTTTGGGAGGCCAAGACGGACGGATTGCCTGAGGTCAGGAGTTCAAGACCAGCCTGGCTAACATGGTGAAACCCCATCTCTACTAAAAATACAAAAAATAGCCGGATGTGGTGGCGCACGCCTGTAGTCCCAGATACGTGGGAGGCTGAGGCAGGAGAATTGCTTGAACCCGGGAGGCAGAGGAGTTGCAGTGAGCCCGAGATCACACCACTGCACTCTAGCCTGGGTGACAAAGAAAGGCTCCGTCTCAAAAAAAAAAAAAAAAAAAAAGAAAGAAAGAAAAAAGAAAATGAGCAAATGAAAAGCAATACAATTATTGACTGCTGGGAAAACGTTTTTTGCAGGAATGAAAAATCAGCTCACACCATATGGCTCACCTGTGAATCACATTTTTCAAACATATTAAGATAAATGCTGAATACTTAAGATATAACCATATTGGTGAATGAAAGGCCAGGAAAGAGTGGTTGTATATTAAGGAAATGAGGCAAAATGAAAGAGATAACTAAATTCTTATCTTTCAGAGTTGGAAGTCAATATCCAATGCCAAAACTGGAAACAAAACTTTAAGTAGCAATATAAGCATATTATTTAAAGATAAAGATATAAATGTCAAAAAATAATCAGCTAAAAGAGTTAAAAATGGTTGCCTCTGAGGAGCAAGAATTAGAGGGTGATAGAAGACCATCAAGGAATTCTATTTTTCTTTCTTTTTTTTTTTTTTGAGACTGAGTATCATCTACGGCCATACCACTCTGAACACGCCCCATCTTGTCTGATCTCGGAAGCTAAGCAGGGTCGGGCCTGGTTAGTGCTTGGATGGGAGATGGAGTCTCGCTCTGTCACTCAGGCTGGAGTGCAGTAGCATGATCTCGGCTCACTGCAACCTCTGCCTCCTGGGTTCCAGCGATTCTCCTGCCCTAGCCTTCCACGTAGCTGGGACTATAGGTGCACGCCACCATGCCTGGCTAATTTTGTATTTTTAGTAGAGACAGGGTTTCAGCACGTTGGCCAGGCTGGTCTCAAACTCCTGACCTCAGGTGATCTGCCTGCCTCGGCCTCCCGGCCTCTTTTATTTATTTATTTATTTATTTATTTATTTATTTTGAGAAGTAGTCTTGCTCTGTTGCCCAGGCTGGAGTGCAGTGGCGCGATCTCGGCTCACTGCAACCTCCACCTCCCAGGTTCAAGCTATTCTCCTGCCTCAGCCTCCTGAGTAGCTGGCATTACAGGCACGCACCACCACTCCAGGCTAATTTTTGTATTTTTTAGTAGAGATGGGGTTTCACCACGTTGGCCAGGCTTGTCTTGAACTCCTGACATCAGGTGATCCACCCGCCTCGGCTTCCCCAAGTGCTGGGATTACAGGCGTGAGCCACCGCACCCAGCCTGAACTCTATTTTTCATAACAAACCTGGTACAGCTATTTGATTCTAAACTATATGCATGTATAATACTGAAAAAAATCAAAACTAGGCCAGGCCAGGTGCAGTGGCTCACGCCTGTAATCCCAGTACTTTGGGAGGCTGAGGCGGGTGGATCATCTGAGGTCGAGAGTTTGAGACCAGCCTGGCCAATATGGTGAAACCCTATCTCTACTAAAAATACAATAATTAGCCAGGCTGTGGTGGTGCATGCCTGTAATCCCAGCTACTTGGGAGGCTGAGGCTGGAGAATCGCTTGAACCTGGGAGGCAGAGGTTGCAGTGAGCTGAGATTGCACCGCTGCACTCCAGCTGGGGCAACAGAGTGAGACCCTGTCTCAAAAAAAAAAACAAAAACAAACACAAACAAACAAAAAAAACTAGGCCAGGCATGGTGGCTCATTCCTGTAATCCCAGCGCTTTGAGAGGCTGAGGCAGCAGGATCACTGGAGGCCAGGAGTTCAAGACCAGCCTAGGCAACATAGTGAGACCCTGTCTGTACCAAAAAAAAAAAAAAAAAAAAAAAAAATCAAGAATGGTGGCACAGGTAGTCCTAGCTAATTGGGAGGCTGAGCAGGGAGGATTGTTTGAGCCCAGGAGTTCGAGGCTGCAGTGAGCTATGATCGTGCCACTGCACTTTAGCCTGGGCAACAGAGTGAAACCCTGTTTCTTAAAAAAAAGAGAGAGAACTAAAATATTAAAATATAAAGCTCAGTATCATATTTCGTAATGACTCTTTGGAAATATATTTTTGTCCTGTCACAAATATGGATTGCAGATCATTTATTATCTTCAAACACCCAGTTTTAAGTTGTTATTCTATTTTCTAAGTTTTCTTCTGTCCCATAACTGCTTTGAAGAACATAATTTATATTAAATTAGTTATAAACTTTGTATTTCAAAGTTTGGTTAGTGATTTGAAGATATTTCCTGTATTTAAGTGATTATTGTTTTATGTGCTGATGATATAACACTTACTGATATTTAAAATATTTTTTGTGACATAACTCTACCGAAAAATAAAGAATTTCATTGGCTGTACTTGAAAATTTTTAGAACAGATTTTGGAAGTGTTTGTGTTAATACTAATTTTGTGCCAACATTTTAAAATTTGTATTAATGTGTAATTTATTAAATTTTTAAAAAACTATCAACTTTGGTTCTGAAGCACTGATTTTCAGACAAGTGCAGGGAAGTATCACTATACTATGGTGAAATAAGATGAATAAACAATATAGCATGTTGTTCATGAAGCTAAATCAACTTAAGAATTTTACTCTTGGTGGGTCTCAGTAGCTCGGGCGGCGGGAGGAGTGGCAGCGGCCAGGCAGCCCAGTTTCGCGGAGGCTCTCGGCGCGCCACGGCCCGCAGGCACCCGGCACGCGCCCTGCCTGCCGCCAGGATACCCAAGAGGAAGGTCAGCTCCGCCGAAGGGGCCGCCAAGGAAGAGCCCAACAGGAGATCGGGGCGGTTGTCAGCTAAGCCTCCTGCAACAGTGGAAGCGAAGCCGAAAAAGGCAGCAGCGAAGGATAAATCTTCAGACAAAAAAGTGCAAACAAAAGGGAAAAGGGGAGCAAAGGGAAAACAGGCCGAAGTGGCTAACCAAGAAACTAAAGATTTACCTGCAGAAAATGGGGAAACGAAAACTGAGGAGAGTCCAGCCTCTGATGAAGCAGGAGAGAAAGAAGCCAAGTCTGATTAATACCATATACCATGTCTTATCAGTGGTCCCTGTCTCCCTTCTTGTACAATCCAGAGGAATATTTTTATCAACTATTTTGTAAATGCAAGTTTTTTAGTAGCTCTAGAAACATTTTTAAGAAGGAGGGAATCCCACCTCATCCCATTTTTTAAGTGTAAATGCTTTTTTTTAAGAGGTGAAATCATTTGCTGGTTGTTTATTTTTTGGTACAACCAGAAAATAGTGTGGGATATTGAATTATGGGAGGCTTTGACTGTCTCAGGTATCAGCTTAACATTCCATAGGTGGGGGGTTAGTTTTTATATCCTATAATACAAAGCATATTAAATGGCAGTATGGAGTCAGTACTGCATTTAATGTCTTGAACATTTTAAATTACTTCCATTCCCATGTTTTTTAGAAGAATTGTTTCCTAAAGAAAACCACTCTTTGATCATGGCTCTCCCTGTCAGAATTGTGTGCACTCTGTAACATCTTTGGTTGTGGTAGTCCTGTTTTCCTAATAACTTTGTTATTGTGCTGTGAAAGGTTACAAATTTGAATATGTAGTGTAGGTGCTATTCAGTTGTGAACTGGTGGGCTGTATGTAACAGCTGACCAACATGTGAAGATACTGGTACTTTATAGCCTCTTAAAGAAAATTTGCTTCCAAATTTTAAGCTGGAAAGTCACTGGAATAACTTTAAAAAAGAATTACAATAAATGGCTTTTTAGATTTTTGTTACATATGTCAAGAATTGTGTACAAATTGAAATGTCTGAACTGATCCTTAACCAATAAAATCTCAATTTTGAAAAAAAAAAGAATTTTACTCTTTATGTCCTTTCTCCTTTTTTTTTTTTTTTTTTTGGTGTTTGAGTAGCCATTCTTCTACCAATGGTGTAATACAGATAGCAGGGCTTTTTTTTTTTAACATGCTTTTGTTTGTTTTTGTTTTTTTGTTATTATCATTGTCATTTTTATTATTTTGCTACTTTATTCAGTGCTTACTGTGTGCTAGATGCCCACTGGAAGCTTATAATTATGATTTATTATATTTAACATGCTTTTATGGCAAAATTTGTTGAAAAATTTTTCGATAATATTAGCTGGGCACAGTGGCATGTTCCTGTAGTCCCAGGTCCTGAGGAGGCTGAGGTAAGAGGATGGCTTGAGCCCAGGAATTCAAGGATTAGTGTGCAATGATTACACCTGTGAATAGCCACTGCACACTAGCCTGAGCAACCACAGTAAGACCCTGCCATATGTGTGTGTGTCACACACACACACACTGTTTTATGAAATCTCAAAGTCTGGCAACTCAATCTTAGAAACAAATAATGTAGGAGATACAGAATTCCTTTCATGAAACTGAAAAAAAATGTATTTAAGAAGTAGGGTTTGTAAAACTATTGGTAGTATATTTAATATTGATCTATAATTATTCTGTATGTTGATTGTTGAAGAAGTCATAAATTTAAAAGAAGAAACTTTATAATGAGCTCATATATGAGAAAGAAATCCTGCGGTTTACTGATATTTATAACTATATCTCTTATCTCTTATGATATTTATCTTAGGTAACTTGTGAACCATACCAAGACTCATCATCTCGTTTCAAAGTTACTGTTTCTGTTGCTGAGCCCTTTTCTTCCAACATTGCAAATATTCCAAGAGATTTGGTTGATGAGATTTTGGAGGAACTGGAACACAGTGTGCCTCTTTTGGAAGTGTATCCTGTTGAGGGACAAGATACTGATATACATGTTATTGCTTTGGCCTTGGAAGTTGTCAGGTATTAGGGCCTTTACTTTTGAAAATTAAATTTATTATATCCAAAAGTTAATGTGAAGGTTTTGTTCATATAATCGCTTTACAAGCACTTACTGATTTAATTTTCACTCACTACTGCTGGATTAAATTTGTCCATTTTAAATTAACATATTGTATTTGTAACTTTTAGTAAAAACATTTCCTTGCAGAAACATTATATATGGGTAATGAAAAGTTTGCAATTTTTTGATCTTGCATTTTATAAAAATAAAATTTAAAGGAATTCTTGAAATAAGTAACATTAACTTCTATTCATATTTAAGCATCTTAAATTTATTAACATTCATTTCTCAAATTTAAAGGCATTACAAATACTAGATATCATCATTCACATTATGATTGCTTCTTATAAGTTGATACAATTTGAGGGAAGCTATCCACAAACAAAATACAGAATATTTTTTGGCATGTTTTTGTTTTTCTAATGTTTTCCTCCCATACAAATTTGGTAGTATCTTACATATTATTTATTTTTTGAGCAAATAATAGCCAAAATCTATAAAATTTAGAAACAATTTTACAGTCCCACTCATTATCTCATTCACTGTAACCTAAAATAGAATGCAGATCATCTAATTTTTGAAGTTTTACCTTTTAGTTCACTCAAAGGTCATTTTAAAATATTTTGCTTAAGAATTAAGATTGAGGTAGAGAATTCTGACATCAGAATATCCATTTAGCTCTAAATCAGTAGTGGCTGTTTTTGATTACTGTCATCTTAATTTGGTTTATCGTAGGTTTTTTTATGACTTTCTTTGGAGAGACTGGGATGATGAAGAAAGTTGTGAGAATTATACTGCACTTATTGAAGAAAGAATTAATTTGTAAGTATAGTTTATAAACTTATACCGCACATTAGAAAAAATAAACATTGTAATTATGTTGATAATTTTCAGGTGGTGTGATATACAGGATGGAACAATACCTGGTCCTATCGCACAACGTTTTAAAAAAACTTTGGAGAAATATAAAAACAAACGTGTCGAGCTCATTGAGTATCAGAGCAATATTAAAGAAGATCCATCTGCAGCAGAGGCTGTTGAATGCTGGAAAAAATACTATGAGATAGTCATGCTCTGTGGATTACTGAAAATGTGGGAAGATTTACGCCTCCGGTAATAATTTGCTCTATTTCAAATAGAAGCAAAAGTTTACATGGTTATTATTTTATCATAGCACTTAATTTGTGGTATATGTTCTGATTAAAGTGAAGTATAAAATTAGATGTCTAATTTATGAGGTAAGCACAAGGTACAACTATCAGTATTAGAAAATTGTATTAGCTGAATTCACTGAAATCATTGTTTTTTTTGACCAAAAGAACTCATTAATCCATTTCTTTCCTTATCTTTCATTTTAACTCTTTTGATTTTGGCCAAAGCATAAGAAAGGAAGAGGTGGACCTCCTCTATATATAATATGTGAAGCAAATAAGATAACTGGATTATAGCTAAAAGAGTAGCAAGACATAGACAGAGTCTGTCTACATAACAGTTTTTAAAAGAAGCACAAAGACAGGCTGGACATGGTGGCCCACACCTGTAATCCCAATACTTTGGGAGGACAAGGTAGGAGGATCACTTGAGGCCAAGAGTTTGAGACCAGCCTTGGGCAGCATATTGAGGCCCCATCTCTACAATAAACAAACAGATTTTTAAAATTTAGCTAGGAATGTAGTGGGGTGTGCCTGTAGTCTCAGCTACTTGGGAGGCTGAGGCAGGAGGATCACTTGAGCCGAAGAGTTTGAGGCTGCAGTAAGCATCGATCATGCTACTGCACTCCAGCCTGGGCAACAGAGCGAGACCCTGTCTCTTTGTTGTTGTTGTTGTTGTTTGTTTGTTTTTTTGACCCTGTCTCTTAAAAGAAAAAAATAAAAGAAGAAGCACAAGCTGGGTGCGGTGGCTCACGCCTGTCATCCCAGCACTTTGGGAGGCCGAGGTGGGCAGATCACCTGAGGTCAGGAGTTTGAGACCAGCCTCAACATGGAGAAACCCCATCTCTACTAAAAACACAAAATTAGCCGGGCGTGGTGGTGCATGCCTGTAATCCCAGCTACTCGGGAGGCTGAGGCAGGAGAATTGCTTGAACCTGGGAGGCGGAGGTTGCGGTGAGCCGAGATCACGCCATTGCACTCCAGCCTGGGCAACAAGAGCGAAACTCCATCTCAGAAAGAAAAAATAAGAAGCACAAAGACAAGACGGGGGACAAAAACAAGGAAACTAGAGGAATTTGAAGCTTCTGACACCTACAGCTATAGTACCCATTAAACACAACCTAGCCAGATTAATATAAAACCTCACACTAAAGGCCTTTTAACCTGTTCTGTTACCTGATTTGTCATGTTGGGCTTTGAACAATAAATTATAAGGCATGCTAAAAGGCAAGAAAAATAAAAACACTTCAGAGAAACAAAGCAAATATCACAGAGACTCAGGTATGATTTTGGAATTCATCAGTCAGAGAATTTAAAATTCATCAATAGCTGGGATACATGATCTATTGTGGGAAGAAAGAATTAATAATGAGTTTAAAGATTTGTCAATAGAAACTTCCCAAACAGAAATGCAAAGAAAAAGGAATGAAAGAAACTGAAGAGAACATTCAAGAACTGTGGGACAGTTTCAAAAGGTGTTAACATATGTGTAATTGTAATACCAGAAGAAGAAGGAAGAGCAAATGGATCAGAAGAAATACTTGAATTAATAATGATGAGAATTTTCCAAAATTAAATACAGACACAAAACCACAGATCCATAAAGCTCAGAGAACACCAAACAGGATAAATATCAAAGAATCAACACCTAGGCATATCACATTTAAACTGCATGAAACGACAAATAAAGAAAAAATATCCTGAAGGAAGCCAAAGGAAAAAACCCACATTACCTACTATAGTGAACAAGAATTTCTCAGAAGGAACTATGAAAATAAGATGAGAGTGGAGAGAAATATTCAAAATGTTGAAAGAACCACCAAACTAGAATTCTGTATCTAGTGAAATTATTCTTCAAATGTGAGCAAGAAATACTTGCTCAGACAAAACAAAACAAACAAAACTGAGAGTTTATCATTAGTAGGCCTGTTCTGCAAGAAAGGTTAAAGGAAGTTCTTCAGGGAAAAGAAAAATGAGAAAAACTCATGTCTACATATAGTAAGGAACAATGTGGGAGAAGGAATAAAGGTAAAATAAATTATTTTATTATCATTATTATTATTATTTTATTTATTTATTTTTCTGAGACAGGGTCTTGCCCTGTCACCCAGGCTGGAGTGCAGTGACGTGATCATGGCTCACTGCAGCCTCGACTTCCCAGGCTCAAGTGATCCTCTCACTTCAGTCTTCTGAGCAGCTGGGACCACAGGTGTGTGCCACCATGCCTGGCTAATTTTTTTATTTTTATTTTTGTGGAGGCAGGGTCTCACTATATTGCCCTTGCTGATCTCAAACTCCTGGGCTCAAGTGATCCTCCCACCTCGACCTCCAAAGTGCTGAGATTACAGGTGTGACCCACTGTGTCCAGCCTCTATTTTTCTTATTGTTGATTGATCTAAAAGATAGCTATTTAACATAATAGTGGTAATGATTCATTAGGTAATTAAAGCTCATGGATTACTGAAATAAATGAAACAATATCATAAAAGATGGGAGGATAGAATTGGAATACTCTGTTATATGGTATCTGCATGACATGTGAAGTAGTATAGTGTTATTTGAAAGTGGACTTAAATTAGTTAAAAATATATGTTGCAATCTCTAGGGCAAATATTAATTTTTTAAAAAAAGAAGTATAATTGATTTAAGAGAGTAGATACAATGGAACAAAATAAAATGCTAAATTAAAACTAGAAGAGGCAGGTCTGGGTGTGGTGGCTCATACCTGTAATCCCAGCATTTTGGGAGGCCAAGGTGGGTGGATCACCTGAGGTCAGGAGTCCAGACCAGCCTGGCCAACATGGTGAAACCCCATCTCTACTAAAAATAAAAAAATTAGCCAGTTGTGGCGGTGCATGCCTGTAATCCCAGCTACTCAGGAGGCTGAGACACGAGAATCACTTGAACCTGTGAGGTGGAGGTTGCAGTAAGCTGAGATCATGCCACTGCACTCCAGCCTGGGTGACAGAATAAGACTCTGTCTCAAAAAAAAAAAAAAAAAAAAAAACAAAAAACAAAAAAGCAACCAAAACACTAGAAGAGGCAGAAAAGAAAGGGAAAAAGGAAACAAAGGACAAGTGCAACCTCTGTATTAATAGAAACCAGCTACAATATGGTAAATGTTAATTATGTCAAAATAACTGTAAATGTAAATGGTCTAAATAAAAAAGCAGAGATTATGAAAATGGATTTAAGAAAACAATATCCAACTATATGTGATCTGTAAGAAACCCACTTTATAAAGGTTCAGATATGTTCAAAGTAAAGGGATGGAGAAAGATATTTCATGCTCATGCTAATTAATAAAAATCTGGTGTGGCTATATTAATTTCAGATGAAGCAGCCTTTAAGAACTAGGACAATTATCAGGACAAAAAGGGACATTTCATGATGATAAAGGGTTTGGTTCTCCAGGAAGATGTAACAATTCCTTACCATTCCTATTCACCTTCATACTAGAAGTTCTAAATAATGCAATAAGACAAGAAAAAGAAACAAAAGGCCTACAAACTGGAAAAGAAGAAATAAATCTATCTTTATTTGCAGATGACATAATTGTCTATGTAGAAAATCCCAAAGAATCAAAAAGGAACAAAACTCCTGAAACCGATAAATGAGTATAGCAAGTTTACAGGAAGCAAGGTTAATATTCAAAAATCAACTGCTTTTTTATATACCAGCAGTGAGCAATTTATTTTAAATTTTAAAAATTATTGACAATAGAACCAAAAATGTGAAATACTTAGGTATATACCTAACAAAATATAGGACCTATAATGCAGAAAGCTACAATACACTGATGACAATAAATGGAGAGATATCTTATGTTCTTGGATTGGAAGACCCAATATTTTAAAAATGTCAGTTCTTCCCAACTTGATCTGTAGATCCAGTGCAATCCCAGTGAAATTCATAGCAAAATATTTTGTAGATATTGGCAAACTGTTTCTAAAACTCATGTGGAAAGGCAGGAAACCTAGAATAGCCAAAAAGTAGAAGGACTCATACTACTCGATTTTAAGACTTACTATGAAGCTGTAGTAATCAAGACAGTATGGTATAAGTCAAAGAATAGATTAATGGAAGAGACAGATAGAACAGTGAAAGGAAATAGAGTCCATAAATAGAGTCCTTATATAGTCCAGATTAGAGAGTCCATAAGATCCACACATAGAGTAGACTGACTTGACAAAGGGCAAAAGAAATGTAATAGAAAAAGGATATTCTCTTCAACAAATGGTGCTGGAATAATTGAATATCTATATCCAAAAACGTGAACCTAGATACAGACCTTTCACAAAAATTAACTCAAAGTGGTCCATAAACCTAAACATAAAACTCAAAACTATAAGACTCATAGGAAATTATAGATAATCTTGTGTTTGGCAGTGGGTTTTTAGGTACCACAACAATACTGTATGTTATGTGAGAGAAAAAAGTCATAAGTTGGACTTTGTTAAAATTGAAAACTGCTCTGAAAAATACACTATTAAGAGAATGAAGAAACTAGCCACAGATTAGGAGAAAATATTTGCATAATGCATATCTGATAGACTTGTATCTAAAATATACAAAGAGCTCATAAAACTCAAACATAACAAACAACCCAATTAAAAATGGGCAAAGATCTGAATAGACACCTTACCGAAGAAGACACACAGACAGAAAAAAGCATATAAAGAGATGCTCAACCTCATTTGTCATTAGTAAGTTGCAAATTAAAACAGCAGTGAGATGCCATTACATACCTATTAGAAATGGCTAAAATCCAAAAAGCTGATAATATTAATTGCTACTGAGAATGTTGAGCAAAGGAACTCTCATTCTTTGTTGGTTAGAATGCAAAATGGTACTGCCTCTTTAGAGCACTGTTCGGCAGTTTCTTACAAAGTGAAACATAGTTTAACCATAGGACTCAGCAGTTGCAATCCTACTTGGTATTTACCCAATTAATTTGAAAACTTAGGTCCACATAAAAACCTACACTGAAATAAAAAGGATTACAAAGGAATAGTATAAATAAGCCAACAAATTAGATAACCAAGAATAAATGAACAGATGCCTAGTAAGACACAATCTACCAAAAATGATTCAAGCAGAAACATAAATTCTGACTGGCTCTATAACAAGTTAAGTAGATTGAATTAGCAAATGAAAAACTACTCACAAAGGAAAGTCAAGGACTAGATGTCTTCACTGGTGAATTGTGACACACATTTAAAGAAGAATCAACACTAATTCTTCAAAAACTCTTCCAGAAAATAAAAGGTAACAATTTCCCAACTCATTCTGTGAGACCAATATACTACTCTGAATCCAAAAGCAAAGACATCACAAGAAAAGAAAACCTACACGAATATCACTAATGAATATAGATACAAAATCCTCAACAAAATACTAACAAATGGAGTCCAGCAACATATAAAAAGATCAGTCACTATGACTAAGGTGAGATTTATCCCAGGAATCCAATGTTGTTTTAAAATACGAAAATCAATCAGTATAATATATAATATTAATAGAATAAAAAAACAAGACACACAGTCATCTCAATAGACACAGAAAAATCATATGACAAATTAACACCCTTTCATGATAAACACTCTAAAAAAAACTTGGAATAGAAGGCATTTTCCTCAACCTGTTTAAGGCTATCTATGAAAAACTCACAGCTAGAGTCATCATTTTTTGTGGTGAAAGAAGAGATGTTTTTCCCCCTACAATCAGGAGCATGATAAGGATATTTACTCTTGCCACTTTTATTCAAATTGTACTGGAGGTTCTAGCCAGAGCAATTAGGCAAGAAAAAGAAATAAAAAGCATACAGATTGGAAAGGAAGAAGTAAAGTTATCTCTATTCACAGATGACATGGTCTTGTATATAGAAAATCCTATAATGAAATACTGCTCAGCAATATAAAGAAGTAAATTGCTGGCCAGGTGAGGTGGCTCATGCCTGTAATCCCAGCACTTTGGGAGGCTGAGGCAGGCAGATCACAAGGTCAGGAGTTCGAGACCAGCCTGACCAACATGGTGAAACCCCGTCTCTACTAAAAATACAGAAATTAGCCAGGTGTGGTGGTGTGTGCCTGCAATCCCAACTACTCAGGAGGCTGAGGCAGGAGAATTGCTCGAACCTGGGAGGCAGAGGTTGCAGTGAGCTGAGATCGCACCACTGCACTCCAGCCTGGGTGACAGAGTGAGACTCTGTTTCCAAAAAAAAAGTAAATTGCTAACACACACAATAACAATAACATGGATGGATCTCAAAAATAGGCTGAGTGAAAAAAGCAGACACAAAAGAATGCATAGTATATTATTCTACTTTAAAATTCCATTGAGAGGCTGAGCAGGATGGCTCACGCCTGTAATCCCAGCACTTTGGGAGGCTGAAGTGGGCAGATCACCTGAGGTCAAGAGTTCGAGACAAGCCTGGCCAGTATGGCAAAACCCCATCTCTAATAAAAATACAAAAATTAGCAAGGCATGGTGGTGCAGGCCAGTTGTCCCAGCTACTTGGGAGGCTGAGGCAGGAGAATTGCTTGAACCCGGGAGGCAGAGGTTGCAGTGAGCTGAGATCGTGCCGCTGAGATTGTGCCACTGCATTCCAGCCTTGGCAACAGAGCGAGACTCTGACTCAAATAAATAAATAAATAAATAAATAAATAATAAAATTCCATAAAAAATTCCTAGAAAGGTGTGGAACAACAGGAATTCTCACTTATTGCTGGTGGGAAAAACAGTATAGTCACTTTGGAAGACAGTTTAGAAGTTCCTTACAAAACTAAAGATGCTCTTATCATATGATCCAGCAATCATGTTCCTTGATAATTACCCACATGAGTTGGAAACTTATGTTCACACAAAAACCTGCACATGGTTGTTTATAGCAGTTTTATTCATAATTGCTGAAACTTGGAAGCAACCAAAATGTCCTTCAGCAGGTGAATGTATAAATTGTGGGACACCCAGACAAGGAATGTTGGGACACCCAGACAAGGAATGTTATTCAGCACTAAAAAGAAAAAGACCTGTCAAGCCATGACAAGACATGGAAGAAACTTAAATGCATATTACTAAGTGAAAGAAGCCAATCTGAAAAGGCTACATACTGTATGACTCCAACTATATGACATTCTGGAAAGACAAAATTGTGGAGGCAGTAAAAAAAAAAAAAAAAAAAAAAAAAAAAAATCAGTGGTTCCCAAGTATTAAGGGAGAGGCAGAGCATAGAGAATTCTAAGGGCAGTGAAACTCTTCTGTATTATACTATAATGGTGGCTACATGTCATTATACATTTGTCCAAACTCCTATAATGGACAACACCAAGAGTCAACTCTGATGTAAACTATGGACTTTGGGTGATAATGATGTGTCAATATAGGTTCATCGGTTGTAACGAGTGTACCACTCTGGTGCCAGATATTGATAGTGGGGCAGGTTGTGTGTGCGGGGGGAACAAGGGATACACAGGAACTCTCTTCTTTTTGATCAACTTTGCTGAAAATCTGAAACTGCTCTGAAAAATAAAGCCTATTAAGAAAAATTTGAAGGAAGGGAAATACGTAATGACAGAAAGCAGACCAATGTTTGTTCAGGACTGCAAAGATGCATGAGGAAACTTACCAGTATGATGGAAATTTTTTATATCTTTATTATTGTGATTGAGTTAAAAACATATATACATTTGTGAAATCTCATGGAATAGTTCACTTAAAATGAATACCTTGTATGTAAATTATACCTTAATAAACCTGATTAAAAAACACCTATATATACCTTTGATTTTAAAACTAGGATAGCATGATAAACTACTGTGGTTTCCTGAATGTTTAGGATGTCTTACTTTTGGAGCAGCTAATTAACTGGTATATAGCAAAAAAAAAAAGTGTATGAATGGTTCCCTGTTTCTCAAGATCAAGACCACTTGCTTAAATAGATATAAAAATGCTGAGTGGGTTTGATTTTGAAATGTTTAACGAAACTTTTGGAGGATACTGCTATATGTTTAAATTCAGTTTTTAATAACTTGCATAGAAAATTATTAGAAAGTTTCCTGAAATCATAAGTTTTACAAAAATATATAATAATTGAGATACAGCTCAAAAATATTGGTACTGGCCAGGCTCATGCCTGTAATCCTAGCACTTGGGGAGGCCAAGGTGGGAGGACTGCTTGAGGCCAGGAGTTCAAGACCAGCTTGGGCAATGTAATGAGACCCTGCCTCTTAAAAAAAAAAAAAAAAAAGCCAGGCAAGGTGGCACATGCCTGTAGTCCTAGCTACTGGGGAGGCTGAGGTGGGAGGATTGCTTGAGCCCAGGAGGTCAAGGCTGCAGTAAGCCATAATTGCACCACTGCACTCCAGGGTAAGACCCTGTCTTTAATAAAAAAAAAAAAAAAAAAAAAAAATACATATATATATATATATATATACACACACACACACACACACACACACACACACACACACACACACACACACATATACTCCAGGGCAAGACCCTGTCTTTAATAAAAAATATATATATATGTATATATGTGTATATATATATATATATATATATATATATATATATATATATATACACACACACTAAAGCCACATCCTCTTAGCATAAAGCACTAATCAAAGTGCAGCAGAGAATGCAAAAGATTACACTAAAGAGATTACTGGTAAATCCTTATCTATTGGAAAAAGAGTGTCCCTTTTGGCTGACAGTAATGATAAAAGCCAACAGTTATACTGAAACTTTTTATCTGACTTTCTGTTGGAGACACTTAAATGATAGAGATACGAACAGGAAACATAAAGAAAAGCAGGAAGAAGAGAAAGAACTAATTAGAAGTGCTGAATAGCAAACAATATAAAAACAACTAAGAGAGAAGCTGGAACAGTTCTGCTGGGAGACCAACAGCCAACTATTTTATGGAGATAATATCCTTTGAAACAAAACGATATATTAATTGAGCATAGTATCTAAAATTATGTATATTCGAAAATATTCTGATGCCTCCCTGTCACAGGCATAACCCATCTTTGTGTGAGTCTACAACTCAATGGATTATGAAAGTACACCCCGGAAATTTTTCTACTGTATTGGAAGGTTGAGGTAGCTGAGGCAATGGTTGCAGAGGGTTGCATGCAGATTTCCAGGTACTATCAATTAAAATGAAAATATTTTAGAGTTTAAGGATTTAAACATGCAGTGATCTAAAAGATCTGAATCATTACATTGCTCTCAAGTTGCTCATTGCTCTCAAGGAACTTATAATTGATGAAAACATTTCTCAAAGATGCTTAGTACCAAGTTTTTATTTACAAGTAAGGACAAGGTCAGTCTTTTTCATGTTAATTTAATTATAACTAAATATTTTCAACTATAGAGTTCATGGACCTTTCTTTCCAAGAATTCTGAGGCGTAGGAAAGGAAAAAGAGAATTTGGAAAGACTATAACACATATTGTAGCAAAAATGATGACTACTGAAATGGTAAGAAATAAACTATTCTTATTTGTTATTTAAGTATTAGCTGTGTATAATCGGAAAAGAAGCTCCCTGAGGGTGGAGTCCTTGTCTAATCATTAATGCCTTATTTTCTCAACTACCTCCAGCTCAGTTATTGCCATATAATAGATACTAAATAAATAAATGGTGACAACTATTTACTGAGTACTAACCTTGTAGCCAGGTACTATGTTAGTTGCTTGGTGAAGATGAGACATAAACGTGAGAAAGACTGCATTTAGGGGAGACAAAATGTTGATCCAGACCCACAGTCTTCCTTCTTCACACATTTGAAAATTTCAAGCATGGTGGAAATATGGACACAAGTATATAGGCAGTTACAATTATGACACAGAATGATAAATGCTATGATAAGGATATGTACCCGGTACATGTAGAATGGGTACATAAGACAGAATTAGGAGTCTGGAAATGCTGAATAGAAGAAATAACTCAGCTGAATCCTGAAGGATGAATATAAATTTATCCAGCTCAAGAACAAACAAATGTTCTGAGCCAAAGAGCAAATATTTTCATTTCACTTGACCTCTCAGTAGCGTTTCAAATCTCTCTCATTGAAATAATCTCTTTCCTTGTTTTATGTTAGTATACTTTCAAGGTTTTCATTCTTTCTAGTTACTTTTTTTCTCATGTCCTCTAAATGCTTGGTACTTGTCTTTTTTATGCACTATATTATCCCAAAGTGATTTAGCTAATCTTCTCCCATAACTTCACTTATATATACAGGTACTTTTCCAGAATGTATTTGCATAGCCCAAACTTTTGCTCTAAGCCCCAAACCTATGTGTCCAACTGCCTATTGCTTATGACCACTTAATTGTCTCACCAGTACATCAATTAATTGTCTGCAATTAATTTCATAATCTTATCCCATTGACTTGCTTTCATTCTGGAGTTCTCTGTTTCAATAAATGGTACCATCATCTACTTGGTTGCTAATAACAATTTTCTGGGAGTTATCTTGTTCATATTTCTCATCACTTTCATACACACTCACTTTTTTCCTTCACTCACCCTACATCCTGGGATAAGCTGTGTTGTTTCCTCTGCCTGCTGAGCCACTGTTCATCCTTCAGGTCTTGATTTAAATATTTCCACAGGAAAAGGCCTTCTCAACCTTTCATAATACATTAGACTGCTGTATACAATTATAGTACCTTGTATTTTTCCCTATTGACACTTTCCTTTATCATGACTACATTTAACACTTTTGTGGCTATTTAATGTCTGTCTCTTTCACTAGTATGTGAGCTTCTTGAGAGCAAAGAGTATTTACCACTCATCCAGTCACCTAGCATGATGCTTGGTACATGGTAGGTGCCCAGCAATTTTTGGTGAATGAATAAATTAGTGTATGTAACAAGAGAGGTTAGTATATATGAGGAACCGAAAGAAGGCCACCAAGGCTGGTGGTTAACATCTAAGAGAGTGATGAAAGATAAAGCTGGCATATTAGATAGTCTTGTCTGCTATTCTACCAATTTTTATTCTTTTCAACAAAATTTAATTTTCCTTTTAATTACTTATTGGAGCATATTATTCAATCATGTTGATTATTCCACTAACATCTTTATAAACACCTTTTAAAACATCTTTTTAAAAAGGTATAAATCTTGCTTTTATCCTCAGCTTTATTTTGTCATTTTTATTTTTACTTCTCCTTTTCACTTTTAAATAGGTCCTGGCTTTATTCACTTTCTTATATGACAGAAATTTCTATGATTTTTTTTGTTCAGTGCTTTGCAATTCTGTTTTCATTTGTGTAATTATACCTGAACTTTGGAGGCCAGAATAATTAGAGGGAGACTACTGTGAGGAGAAAGTATCATCAGCTTCCAGTTTACTTAGACCTTGGATTTTAGATTTACTTTTGAGGTTCATGAAATATAGCTTGATAGTAGTATAGCTGTGCATATAAGCTTTTTTTTTTTTTTTTTTTGAGACGGAGTCTCGCTCTGTCGCCCAGGCTGGAGTGCAGTGGCGTGATCTCGCCTCACTGCAAGCTCCGCCTCCCGGGTTCACGCCATTCTCCTGCCTCAGCCTCCCGAGTAGCTGGGACTACAGGCGCCCGCCACTACGCCCGGCTAATTTTTTGTATTTTTAGTAGAGACGGGGTTTCACCCCGTTAGCCAGGATGGTCTCGATCTCCTGACCTCGTGATCCGCCCTCCTCAGCCTCCCAAAGTGCTGGGATTACAGGCGTGAGCCACCGCGCCCGGCTGCTGTGCATGTAAGCTTTAACAATTTCCTCATCTTTGAAGATTCTTGACTGAGAATTCTTGCTCTATACCCACCCCTTAGACGCAGTTTATTCATGCCCATCATCTTATGTTGGTGATCTTTACAAGCAGTGCAGTGGAAAGGCATGGACTTTGTAGTTAGATACCCAATGTTCAAATACCCTGAGACCACTTAATAAACAATCTTAGGCAAAGCGCATAACCTCTAAGCCTCAATTTCCTTACTTGCAGAATGCTTTAAAAGGAGAGAGAGAGAGTATATATATATATATATATATATATATATATATATATATATATATATATATATATATATATATAGTGCTAGTTAAGAGCATGGGCTCTAAAGACAAATTGCCTGGATTCTTGGTTTTGCCACTTACTAGTTAGGTGATTTTCAACCAATTATTTAACCCATCTGTAGTTTAGTTTCTCATATGTAAAATTGGGATAATAATCCTATGTTTCATATTTATAGAGTTGCTGTAAAGATTAAATGAGTTTATATTTGTAATATGCTTAGAATAATGCCCAGCACATAGTAAATGCTCAATAAATGTTTACCACTTGTTTCAGTTTCTGAACTAAAGTTAAACATTAGTCATTCTCCCAGATCTAGGAGAAACAGTGGTATTCCCATTGTGTATCATAGGCCTTTATCCTCTTGTTGATCACAGGCTTTTCCTTCTTTCAATCTGGAGACGGTATAGTGTGATGTTGGAGAACATAGACTTTAAGATCATAAAAACCTGGATTTGATTCACAGTTTTGCTTCTTAATATTTCTATGAGATTAAACAAATTACATGGTTTCTCTTATTTCCTCATCTGTAAAAGAGAATAATGAAGTCTGTCCCATAGAGTGTTAGGCTTAAGTGAAATAATTTATATAAATCTTTTAGCAAAATGCCTAGCACATAAATAAATGTCAACTGATATTATTATTACTATTTTGCAGTTTATATCCCAATAATATAGCCATCATTTTTGCCAGATTTTTCCTGAAGTGCTACAGAAGGTGATAACCATGTCTGAAAATATACGAAGTACAAAGAAGAATTTAATCAGTTTTCTTCCATCTGTACTACTGATTCTGTTGCCATCTGCCTCCTCAGAGACAGTGTGCTCTCAGTTATTCCTTCTTTTTTTTGGTATCTTTTTTCCTTTCTTAAAAAACTTGAGGTGAAATTTACATAGCAAAATTAACTGTTTTAAAGTGATATTCATTGACATTTAGTAGGGTCACAATGCTGTGTACATCTGTCTGGTTCCTAACCATTTTCATTACCCAAAACCAGAACCCCATACCTCCATTTCCCCTTTCCCCCACCTCCTGACAACCAACAATCTGCTGTCTCTGTAGATTTATGATTCTGGATATTTCATATAAATGGAATCATAAAATATCTGACCTTTATGTCTGGCTTCTTTCATCTAGCATGATGTTTATAAGGTTCATCCACATTGTAGCATTTATCAGTACTTCATTCATTTTTCTGGCTGAATAATATCCTTTTGTATGTATATACAATGATCTGCTTATACATTCATCAGTTGGTGGATATCTGAGTTGTTTCTGCCTTTTGACTATTGGGGAAAGTGGGGCTGTGAACATCTGTGTGCAAGAGTTTGTCTGACTACTTGTTTTCGATTCTTTGGGGTATATACCAAAGACTAGAATTACTGGGTCATATGTGCAACTTTATGAGGAATTGCCAAACTGTTTTTCACAGGGGCTGAAACATTTCACATTGTCATCTGCAAAGTATTAGAGTTCCAATTTCTCCAGTCCTCACCAAAACTTTTATCTTTTTTTATTATTTATTTTTTCTCTTTCTTTTATTTTTAAAATTACAGTGATCCTAGCGAATGTGAAGTGGTATTTCATTGTAGTTTTGATTTTCATTTAACTAATGACTAATGATGTTGAAGATGCTGAACATCTTTCCATGGACTTGTTGGCCATTTGTGTATCTTCCTTGGAGTAACATCTATTAAATTCATATCCCATTTTGTAATTGGGTTGTTTGTCTTCTTGTTATTGACTATAAGAGTTATTTATATATTCTGAATACTAGACCCTTATTAGATATATGCTCTGCAAATTTTTACCCCCCATTCCTTAGGCTTTTTCACTTCCTTTTGTGCGCTTTATTGCCACTTAGGGGATGCTAGGAGCATTGCCTGTCCGTGATCACTGTCATTGCTGTTAACCTTATTCACTATTTCATATGTGATCCCTCTTCCTCCCCCTCCTTCTTTCTTTCTTCACTTCTTTCCTTCCTTTCCTTCCTTTCCTTCCCTTCCTTCCCTTCCTTCCCTTTCTTCCCTTCCTTCCCTTCCTCCCCTTCCTCCCCTTCCTTCCTTTCTTCCTTCCTTTCCTTCTTCCTTTTTTTTTCTTTCTTTCTTTCTTTCTTTCTTTCTTTCTTTCTTTCTTCCTTCCTTCCTTCCTTCCTTTCCTTTCTTTCTCTCTCTCTCTTTGTCTTTCCCTTCCTTCCTTCTTTCCTTCCTTCCTTCCTCCCTCCCTTCCTCCCTCCTTCCCCCACCCCTCTCTTCCCTCCTTCCTTCCTTCCTTTCTTTCTCTCTTTCTTTCTTTCTTTCTTTCTTTCTTTCTTTCTTTCTTTCTTTCTTTCTTTCTTTCTTTCTTTCTTTCTTTCTTTCTTTCTTTCTTCCTTTCCTTTCCTTTCCTTTCCTTTCTTTTGTAGTTGGATCGGAATAGCACTGCATCTGTACATTGCTTTGGTCAGCATGGTCATTTTAACAACATTGATTCTTTTGGCGGGGCGCGGTGGCTCACACCTGTAATCCCAGCACTTTGGAAGGCCAAGGCGGGAGGATCACGAGGTCAGGAGATCAAGACTATCCTGGCTAACACGGTGAAACCCGTCTCTACTAAAAATACAAAAAATTAGCCGGGCATTGTAGTGGGCGCCTGTAGTCCCAGCTACTCGGGAGGCTGAGGCAGGAGAATGGCATGAACCCAGGAGGCAGAGCTTGCAGTGAACTGAGATCAGCCACTGCACTCCAGCCTGGGTGGCAGAGCGAGACTCCGTCTCAAAAAAAAAAAAAAAAAAATTGATTCTTCTTATTCTTGAGCATGGAATGTTTTTCCATTTGTTTGTGTTGTCTCTTATTTCTTTCAACAGCATTTTGTAGTTTTGCAATTCTTGTTGTAGAGCTTTTTCACTTCCCTCGTTAGCTGTATTCCTAGGTATTTTATTTTGTGTGTGTGGCCATTGTGAATGGGATTGTGTTCTTGATTTAGTTCTTCAGCTTGGACATTGTTGGTGTATAGAAATGCTATGGATTTTTGTACATTGATTTTTGTGTCCTGAAACTTTGCTAAAGTTGTTTATCAGATCTAGAAGCTTTTGGGTAGAGGCTATGAGGTTTTCTAGGTATAAAATCATATAGTCTCTAAAGAGATAATTTGACTTCCCCTCTTCCTATTTGGATGCCTTTTATTTCTGTCTTTTGCCTGATTGCTCTGGCTAGGACTTCCAGTACTGTGTTGAATCGAAGTGGTAAGAGTGGGTATCGTTGTCTTGTTGTTTTTCAAGGGGAACGCTTCCAGCTTTTGCCCATTCAGTATGATGTTGGCTGTGGGCTTGTCATAGATGGCTCTTGTTATCTTGAGGTATATTCCTTAAGTGCCTAGCTTGTTGAGAGTTTTTAAGATGAATAGATGTTGAATTTATAGAAAGCCTTTTCAGCATCTGTTGAGATGATCATGTGGTTTTTGTTTTTAGTTCTGTTTGTGTGCTGAATCACATTTATTGATTTTTGTATGTTGAACCAACCTTGCATCCCAGGAATAAAGCTAATGTTATCATGGTGGATTAGCTTTTTGACTAATGGCCACTTAGGTCATTGATGTGCTACTAGATTCAGTTTGTTAATATTTTGTTGAGGATGTTTGCATCTGTGTTCATTAGGAATATTGGCTTGAAGTTTACTTTTTTTGATGCTTCTGCCAGGTTTTGGTATCAGAATCATGCTGGCCTCAAAGAATGAGTTAGGGAGGAATGTTTTGGAATAGTTTCAGCAGGATTGGTAGCAACTCTTATACGTCTGGTAGAATTCAGCTGTAAATTTGTCTCATTCAGGGCTTTTTCTGATTGGTAGGTAGGCTCTTTATTACTGATTCAGTTTTGGAACTCATTATTAGTCTGTTTATGGTTTCAGTTTCTTCCTGGTTCAATCTTGGGAGATTGTGTGTTTGCAGGAATTCATCCAGTTCCTTTAGATTTTCTAGTTTTTGTGCATAGAGGTGTTTGTAATAGCCTCTGAGGGTTTTTTTGTATTTCTGTGGTGTCAGTAGTAATGTCCTTTTTGTTGTTTCTGGTTATGTTTATTTGGATATTCTCTCTTAGTCTAGCTAGCAGTCTATCTTATTTATTCTTTCAAAAAACAAAGGTTTTGTTGATCTTTTGTATGGTTTTTCACATCTCAAATTCATTCAGTTCCACTCTAATTTTGGTTATTTTTCTTCTTCTAGCTTTGGGATTGGTTTACTCTTATTTTTCTAGTTCCTCCAGGTGTGATGTTAGGTTGTCAATTTGAGATCTTTCTAACCTTTTGATGTGAGCGATTAGCAGAATAAACTTTCCTCTTAACACTAATTTAGCTGTGTCTCAGAGTTTCTGGTATGTTATATCCTTGTTCTCATTAGTTTCAAATAATTTTTTGATTTTTTGATTTCTGTGTTAATTTCAGTGTTTACCCAAAAGTCATTCAGGAGCAGATTGCTTAATTTCCAAGTAATTGTATGATTTTGAAAGGTCTTCTTAGTATTGATTTCTTTCTTTTTTTTTTTTTTTAGATGGAGTCTCGCTCTGTCACCCAGGCTGGAGTGCAGTGGCATGATCTTGGCTCACTGCAACCTCCACCTTCCAGATTCAAGCGATTCTCCTGCCTTGGCCTCCCAAGTAGCTAGGATTACAGGCATGCACCACCATGCCTGGCTAATTTTTTGTATTTTTAGTAGAGATGGGGTTTCACCATGTTGGCCAGGCTGGTCTCAAACTCCTGACCTCAAGTGATCTGACCTCAGGCGATCTGTAGATGTCTGTTAGGTCCATTTGGTCGTGTAGAGTTCAGGTCTCAAACATCTTTCTTAATTTTCTGCCTCAATTATCTGTCTAATACTGTCAGTGGGGTGTTGAAGTCTTGCACCACTGTTGTGTGGTTATCTAAGTCTCCTGATAGGTTTCTAAGAACTTATTTTATGAATCTGGGTGCTCCAGCATTGGGATTATATATATTTAAGATAGTTAATTCTTCTTGTTGAATCAAACCCTTTATCATTATGTAATGCCATTCTTTGTCTTTTTAAAATCATTCTTGGTTTAGGAGTCTATTTTGTCTGAAATTAAAATAGTAACCCCTGCTTTTTTTGGTTTTCCATTTGCTTGGTAGATTTTTCTCCATCTTTTTGCTTTGAGCCTATGGGTGTCATTGCATGTGAAATGGATTTCTTTTTTTTGGAACTGAGTCTTGCTCTGTCGCCTAGGCTGGAGTGCAGTGGTGTGATCTCAGCTCACTGCATTCTCTGCCTCTTGCCTCAGCCTCCCAAGTAGCTGGGATCACAGGCACGTTGCCACCGCGCCTGGTTAATTATTGTATTTTTAGTAGAGATGGGGTTTTGCCATGTTGGCCAAGCTGGTCTCGAATTCCTGACCTCAGGTGATCCACCTTCCTTGGCCTCTCAAAGTGCTGGGATTATAGGTGTGAGCCACCACGCCCTGCCTGAGATGGATTTCTTGAAGACAGCATAGAGTTGAGTCTTCCTTCTTTATCTAACTTGCCACTTTGTGCCTTTTAAGTATGGCATATAACCCATTTACTTTCAAGGTTAATATTAATATGTGCAGATTTGATCCTGTCAAAACAAACCTAACAAACCTATTAGCTCGTTGTTATGCAGACTTGATAGTGCAGTTACTTTATAGTGTGAATGGTCTATGTCCTTAAGTGTGTTTTTGTGGTGGTAAATAACAGTCTTTCATTTCCACGTTTAGCACTCCCTTAAGGACCTCTTGTAAGGTCTGGTGGTAATGAATTTTCTTAGCATTTTCTTACCTTCACTTATGAAGCTTAGTTTGGGTGGATATGAAATTCTTGGTTGGAGTTTCTTTTCTTTAAGATTGCTGAATGTAGGCCCCCAATCTCTTCTGACTTACAGGATTTCTGCTGAAAGGTCCACTGTTAGCTTGATAGGATTCCCTTTGTAGGTGACCTGCCTCTCCTCTCTAGCTGCCTTTAATATTTTTTCTTTCACGTTGACCTTGAAGAATCTGATGACTATGTCTTGGGGATGGTCATTTTGTATAGTATCTCATAGGGGTACTCTGCTTTTTCTGGATTTGAATGTCAACCTCTCTGGAGAGGTTGGGAAATTTTTAGTGTACAGTATCCTGAAATATGCTTGCTTGCTTTCTCTCCCTCTGTTTTAGGGATGCCAATGAGTCGTAGGTTTGGTCTCTTTACATAATCCCATATTTGTCAGAGGTTTTGTTCATTCTTTTTTATTCTTTTTTCTTTATTTTTGTTGGACTAGTCTTCAAGCTCTGAGATTCTTTCCTCAGCCTGGTCTATTCTGCTATTAATACTTCCAATTCTTGGAGTGAGTTTTTCAGCTCCATCAGTTCAGTTTGATTCTTTCATAAAGTGACTGTTTCATCTTCCAGCTCTTGTATTGTTTATTGGATTCATTAGATTCTTTGGATTGGGTTTCAACTTTCTCCTAAATCTTGATGATCTTAGTTCATATCCAGATTCTGTATTCTGTCTGTCATTTCAGCCTGGTTAAGAACCATTGATGGGGAATTAGTGTGGTTGTTTGGCGGTAAGAAGACACTCTGGCTTTTTAAGTTCCCAGAGTTCTTGCACTGCTTTTTTCGCATCTGCTTGGGCCGATGTTCCTTTGAAGTTGATGTCCTTTGGATGGGGTTTTTTTGCTTTTATATTCTTTGATGCGTGTGAGGGTTTTACTGTGGTATAAGGTAGGTTCAGTCAACTGGCTTCATTTCTGGAAGATGTCAGGGGTCCAATTCTTACCTCAGTACTACTGGGCTGCATGCGCAACCCTGGGGGGCTGGTACCAGGCCCACAGCACAGGTTTGTTCTCTGGCCTCTCAAGGTTAATCACCTCCTGCACTGGAGGGGCTGAGGTGTTCACAGTCTGCTGGTAACAACACTTCGATGGTGAGTGCTAACCAAAGCCCTTTGTTGGGGCAGTGGCAGCAGGTCTGTGCTCCTGCATATGTGCCAACAGTGGCAGCGGTGCAGCAGGGTGTGCATGTATCAGCAGGGGCAGGGTGCCAGCGAGGGTGGGACTGTGGTGTTTGTATGTATGCATTAGTGCTAGTGGTGGCAGGACAACAAAGTGTGCATGCATGTGTGCTGGTAGGGGAGGGGTGGTGACGTCTGCCTGTATGTGTGCACTTCCAAAGCAGTGGGGGATGATGTGGTAGGGGGAGGCTGTGTGGATCCCTCTTTCTTGATTTAATATGTTACAACAAGCAAGTCATGGCCTCCAACTTTCAGATCTTTATCAAGTTTGGTAACAATAAGAAACATGGATCCATAGTTAGAAAATTCAATAAATGTTAAAACAAACACCCAGTTTGATCTTCCTCAGTGAACGACCATTCCAGTTTTATGCTTATAATTGAAATTAGCTTTGACCCATTGACCTGCCCAAAATTACCTTATCCCTCACCTAGTGGTCTATGCATGGTGCCTAGGCTTTTTTACATTCTTGATAATGTCCCTTGATGCCTTACAGTTTTTAACTTTGAGGAAATTCAGCTGCTTTGGTTTGGATGTTTTTGCCCCACTCCAAAACTCAAGTTTTGGAAACTTAATCCTCAACACAACAGAGTTGGGAGATGAAGCCTAATGGGAGGTATTTCAAGAGGATAGGGCCCTCACAAATGGATCAATGCCCCTATAAAAAGGAATTATGGGAGCTGGTTCTGCCTCTGTTGTTCTTCTGCCATGTGAAGACAGAGTTCCTCTCCAGAGTTCTTGCCTTTTGCCATGTGAGGATCCAAGTGGCAGGCAAGGTGCCATCTTGGAAGAGAATGGCCTCACCAGGCACCAAACCTGCCAGTGCCTTGACCTTAGACTTCCTAGCCTCCAGAACTGTGAGCTAATAAATTTATTTTATAAATTACACAGTCTGTAGCATTCTGTTATACAGCAGCACAGATAGACTAAGGCAGAAATTTATTTTTTCTTTTGTTACTCATGCTTTTGTGTCATACCTTAGAATCCGCTGCCAAGTTCAAGATCATGAAGATTTACCCTTATGGTTTTTCCTAAGAGTTTTATGGTTTTAGCTCTTATATATAGGTTGTTAATCAATTTTGAGTTAATTTTTGTATATGGTGTTGGGTTTGGGTTCAGCTTTATCCTTTTGCATGTAGATACTTATTTGTCCCAACACCATATGTTGAAGAGACTATTCTTTCCCCATTGAATGATCTTGTAACCCTTGTTGAAAATCACTTGCCCATAATTGGGTTTATTTCTGGATTTTCAGTTCTATCCCACTGGTCTATATGCCTATCTTTATGCCAGTACCACACTATTTTATTACTGTGGCTTTGTAGTAAGTTTTGGAATCAGAAGAGTGAGTCCTCCACTTTGTTCTTTTTCAGTATTGTTTGGCTGTTCAGGGTCCCTTGCAATTCATTATTAATTTGAAGATGAGCATGTTCATTTCTTCAAAAAAAAGGCTATTGAAATTCTGATAGGGATTACATTGAATCTGTAGATCAATGTAAGTAGTATTGCTATTTTAGCAATATTAAAATCTTCCAATCCATGAACATGGGATGGCTTTTCATCTATTTGACCTTCTTTAATTTCTTTGAGCAATGGTTTGTAGTTTCAGTATACAAGTCCTTCACCTCCTTGGTTTACATTATTTCTAGGCATTTTATTATTTTGTGTGCTATTGTAAATGGAATTTTCTTAATTTTCTTTTCAGATTGTTCATTAGTGATATATAAAAACAAAACTGATTTTGTGTTCTGATTTTGCATCCTTCAACTTTGCTGAATTTGTTTATTAGCTATCATATGTTTTTGGTGCATTCCTTGGAGATATATATGTGTGTATATATATGTATATATATATGTGTATATATATGTGTATATATATGTATATATATGTGTATATATATGTATATATGTGTGTATATATATGTGTATATATATGTGTATATATATACACACACACGTATATATGTGTGTGTATATATACATATATATGTGTATATATACATATATATATAGAGAGAGAGAGGAGAGTATATATAGGGTCATGTCATCTGCAAACAGTAAGTTTTACTTCCTCCTTTACAATTTGGATACATTTTATTTCTTTTTGCATAGTTGCTCTGGCTAGGACGTCTGGTTCAATGTTGAACAGCAGTGGCAAAAGTGGGCATCATTGTCTTTTCTGATACTTTGGGGTGTTATTGGCAGAATTGCGTCCCTCCAAAATTCATATATTGAAGTCCTTACCCCAGTACCCTAAAATGTAAGCATATTTGGAGAGCAAGTGTTTAAAGAGATGATTAAATTAAAATGAAGCCATTAGGGTTGGCCCTCCTCCAGTCTGACTGATATCCTTAAAAGAAAGGAAATTTGGACACAGAAAAAGACATCAGGAGTGCATGTGCACAGAAGGATGACCATGTGAAGAGGGAGCAAAACCACAACCACCTGCAAGCTGAGAGAGGCTCAGAAGAAACCAAATCTGTTGACACATTGATCTTGGGCTTCCATCCTCCAGAACTGTAAGAAAATAAATTTCTGGCCGGGTGCAGTGACTCACGCCTGTAATCCTAGCACTCTGGGAGGCCGAGATGGGTGGATCACTTGAAGTCAGGAGTTCAAGATCAGCCTGGCCAACATGATGAAACCCCACCTCTACTAAAAATACAGAAATTAGCTGGGCATAGCTTTTTCTGCATCAATTGAGATTATTGTGTAATTTATTTTTCCCCTTCATTCTATTAATGTGGTGTGTTATGATTGATTTTTGTATATTAAATCACTCTTGAATTCTTGGAATAAATCTCACTTCATCATCATGTATAACCTTTTAAATATGTTGTTGAGTTCAGTTTGCTAGGATTTATTGAGGATTTTTGCATTTATATTCAAAAGGAATATTGCTGTATAGTTTTCTTTTCTTCTGGTATTTTTGTCTAGCTTTGTTATCAGATAATGCTTGCCTGAGAATTAGGAAGTGTTCTCACAGATTTTGGAGGAATTTGGGAAAGATTGGTGTTAATTCTTTTTTTTTAACTTTTATTTTAGGTTTGGGGGTACACGTGAAGATTTGTTACATAGGTAAACTCGTGTCATGGGGGTTTGTTATACATATTATTTCATCACCCAGGTATTAAGACCAGTACCCAATAGTTATCTTTTCTGCTCCTGTCTTTCCTCCCACCCTCTACCTTCAAGTAGACACCAGTGTCTGTTGTTTTCCTCTTTGCATTCATAAGTTATTATTTAGTGTTCATGGTGTTAATTTTTGAAATGTTTGGTAGATTTATCAATGAAGCTATCTGATCTTGGACTTTTCTTTGTTGGGAGATTTTTGCTTACTGATTTTTTAATCTCTTTACTGTTACAGGTCTGTTCAGATTTTATATTTCTTCTAGAGCCAGTTTTGGTAAACTGTGTGTTTCTAGGAATTTGTATACTTAATTTTTGTTGGTATGAAATCAGTGCATTTGTTGGTGTACAATTGTTCATAGGTGTACATATAATGATAGTATAATCATAGAATATCATTATAAATAATTTTTATTTCTTTAAGGTCAGTAGTAATGTATCTACCTTCATATCTGATTTTAGTTGTTTGTGCCTCCTCTTTCTCTTAGTCTAGCTAAACTTTTGTCAATTTTGTTGATCTTTTCAAAAAATTAATTTTTGATTTTGTTTTTATTTTTCCTATTCTCTATTTCATTGAACTCTAATCTGTATCGTTTCCTTTTACTGTTGGCTTTGGGTTTAATTTGCTTTTTCTAGTTTCTTAAGTTGTAAAATTAGATTGCTGATTTGAGATCTTTCTTTTTTAATGTAGGCATTTACTGCTATAAATTTCTCTCTGAGCTCTGTTTTTCCTGCATCCTATAAATTTTGGTATGTTGTGTTTTCATTTTCATTTATCTCAAAGTATCTTCAGATTTTCCTTTTGTTTCATCTTTGAGCCATTTGTTATTTAAGAATATGTTGTCAGGCCGGGCGCAGTGGCTCACGCCTGTAATCCCAGCACTTTGGGAGGCCGAGAGGGGCGGATCACAAGGTCAGGAGATAGAGACCATCCTGGCTAACACGGTGAAACCCCGTCTCCACTAAAAATACAAAAAATTAGCCGGGCGTGATGGCGGGCGCCTGTGGTCCCAGCTACTCGAGAGGCTGAGGCAGGAGAATGGCGTGAACCCGGGAGGTGGAGCTTGCAGTGAGCCGAGATCGCGCCACTGCACTCCAGCCTGGGCGACAGAGTGAGACTCCGTCTCAAAAAAAAAAAAAAAAAAGAATACGTTGTTTAATTTTCACATATGTCTAAATTTTTCAGTTTTCTTTCCATAATTGACTTCTACTTTAATTCCATTGTAGTCAGAGAAGATGTATTTATTGAGACTTGTTTTGTGGCCTAATAGATGGTATATCTTGGAGAATGTTCCATATGCATTCCAGAAGAATGCATATCCTTTTGTGTTGGACTTGGGGGGCAGTGTATATATGTATGTTAGGTCTAGTTAGATTATACTGTTGTTCAAGTCCTCTATTTCCTTATTGTTCTTCTGTCTAGATGTTCTAGTTATTTTTGAAAGTGGTATAGAAATCTTCAACTATTATTATAAAACTATTTCTTACTTCAATTCTGTGAATGTTTTACTTCATACATTTTGAGACCTTGTTGTTTGGTTTGCATATGCTTATTGGTACATCTTCTTGATGAATTAACTCTTTTGTTAATATATAATACCTTTCTTTGTCTCTAGCAACAATTGTGTTATTAAAGTCTATTTTATCTAATGTTAGTGTAGCCACCCCAGCTCTTTTTCAATTACTGTTTGTACAGAATATCTTTTTATTCTTTCACTGTTAACCTACTTGTGTCTTTGAATCTAAAGTGAGATTCTTTTTTTTTTTTTTTTTTTTTTTTTTTTTTTTTTGAGACAGAGTCTGCCTCTGTTGCCCAGAATGGAGTGCAATGGTGCGATCTCAGCTCACTGCAACTTCCGCCTCCCAGGTTCAAGTGATTCTCCTGCCTCAGCCTCCTGAGTAGCTGGGATTATGCACCACCATGCCTGGCTAATTTTTGTATTTTTAGTAAAGATGGGGTTTCACCATGTTGGCCAGGCTGGTCTCAAATTCCTGACCTCATGATCCGCCCACCTCGCCCTCCCAAAGGGTTGGGATTACAGGCATGAGCCACCACACCCGGCCTGAAATGAGATTCTTGTAACATCATATAGTTGGATTATTTTTCTTTATCCTTTCTACCTGTCTTTTTTAATTGGTGATCTTAATCCATTTACATTTAAAATGTTTACTGATAAGGAAGGACTTACTTCTGTCATTGGCTACTGTTTTTCCTACAAGTAATATCTTTTTTTTGTTACGCAGTGCTTTCAGTACCATCTTCTTTTGTGTTTTATGATTTTTTTTTTAGTGTACCATTTTGATTTACTCCACATTTCCTTTTGTATGTATTTTTTAGTTATATTCTTGGTGATTATCAAGGGAATTGTAATTCACATCCTACATTTATAACGATTGAGTTTGAATTGATACCAACTTTGCTTTAATAGCATACAGCTCCATCGTCCCTTTATGTTGTTATTGTTACAAATTACATCTTTATACATTGTTTCCCCATTAGCATGGATTTACAAGGATTGTTTTAGGCATCGGTATCTTAAATTATATAGGAAACAAAAAAAGGAGTCACAAACCAAAAATACAGTAATACTGCCTTTATATTTACCCTTGATTTTACCTTTACTGGAATTTTTTTATTTCTTTATATGGCTTTGAGTTACTTCTGTTGTCTATTTCATTTCAGTCTGAAGGACTCCTTTAGCATTTCTTTTAGGATAGGCCTAACTTTTTTTATCTAGAAATGTCAATTTCTTCTTCATTTTGAAAAGGTATTTTTTCTAGATATAGAATTTTTGGTTGTTTATCTTTCAGCACTTTTAAATCCCACTGCTTTCTGGCTTCCATGGTTTCTGATGAGAAAGCAGCCTTAATCTTATTAAAGATCTCTTATACTTAATGCATTGCTTCTCTCATGCTGCTTGTAAGATTCTCTATTTATCTTTGGATTGTTTTTTATCATTATTATTTTTTGAGATGGAGTTTTGCTCTTGTTGCCCAGGCTGGAGTGCAATGGCATGATCTTGGCTCACTGCAACCTCTGCCTCCCAGGTTCAAGCAATTCTCCTACCTCAGCCTCCCCAGTAGCTGGTATCACAGGCATGTGGCACCACATCTGGTTAATTTTTGTATTTTTAGTAGAGATGGGGTTTCGCCATGTTGGCCAAGCTGGTCTGGAACTCCTGACCTCAGGTGATCAGCTGCCTTGGCCTCACAAAGTGCTGGTATTACAGGTGTGAGCCACTGTGCCCCGCCTATCTTTGGATTTTAATTGTTTGATTATAATATTTGTTAATGTGTGTTTCTTTGTGTTTATCTTACTTAAAGTCCATTACACTTCTTGGATATGTAGATTCATGTCTTTAATGAAATTTGGGATGTTTTCGGCCATTACGTTTTCAAGTATTTTTTCTGCCTTTGTTAGGAAAACACTCAAACCATATTTTCCCTCTGTTTTCACAACAAAACAAGAATTATCAATACAGAAAACTTCTGTGACCCCAAAATATGTGGGGCTTTCTCCCTGCCAGCAAGTAATCAATCAGTTCTCCAGCAGACCCCAACTGGGTGTCCTACAATTCTATTTCAGCATACAGTAGATAGTGTCACATTCTACAGGTTGGAGACTCAGCCTCCAAAACTGCTCCTCTCCCTCAGACACCAGTCACAAGTCTAGGCCTCCAGAACTTCTGACTGACTGACTTCAAGTTGGGGTTCTCACAACTCCTTTTTTGGGTTTAATTAGTTTACTAGAGCAGCTCACAGGACTCAGAGAAACATTTATGTTTACCAGTTAATTTAATTAATTAATTAATTTTTTGAGATGGAGTCTTGCTATGTCACCCAGGCTGGAGTGCAGTGGTGTGATCTCGGCTCACTGTAACCTCCACCTCCTGGGTTCAAGCGATTCTCCTGCCTCAGCCTCCTGAGTAGCTGGGATTACAGGCGCACACCACCACACCCAGCTAATTTTTGTATTTTTAGTAGAGAAGGGGTTTCACCATATTGGTCAGTCTGGTCTTGAACTCCTGACCTTGTGATCCACCCACCTCAGCCTCCCAAAGTGCTAGGATTACAGGCGTGAGCCACAGTGCCTGGCCTATGTTTACCAGTTTATTATAAAGGATATTACAGTCAAGCACAGTGGCTCATGCCTGTAATCCCAGCACTTTGGGAGGCCGAGGCAGGTGGATCACTTGAGGTCAGGAGTTTGAGACCAGCCTGGCCAACATGGCAAAAACCCGTCTCTACTAAAAATACAAAAATTTGCTGGGTGTGGTGGTGCACACCTGTAATCTCAGCTACTTGGGAGGCTGAGGCAGGAGAATCACTTGAACCCAGGAGGCAGAGGTTGCAATGAACCGAGATTGCGCCACTGCACTGCAGCCTGGGTGACAGAGTGAGACTGTGTCTCAAAAAAAAAAAAATTGATATTACAAAGGATACAGATGAAAAGGTGTGTAGGGGAAGGTATCAGGGAAAGTACACAGAGCTCCCATGCCCTCCTCCAGGTATATCATCCTCCAGGAAATGTTATGAGGTCAGCTTTCTGAAGGCTCTCTGAACCTAGTCCTCTTGGGTTTCTTTGGACAACTGTGTTAAAACATGATTGGCCTCAAATTATGGGGTGGAACCCAGTTTATTTATTTATGTTTTGTCTCTTTTTTTCTTTTTTGTGGATAACAGGGTCTTGCTATATTGCCCAGGCAGGTCTCAAACTCCTGGGCTCAAGCTATGCTCCCACCTCTGCCTCCCTAAGAGCTGGGAGTACAGGCGTGAGCCACCGTGCCTGGCGGAATCTGGTTTGGAATGAGGGTCTTATGACCCACAATCAGAAAAGCACAGGAATATTAGAGTCCTGCCCTGGGGCAGGTGAAAGGAGAGCAAGAGAAGGTTAGAGAGATTCTGTTTCATGAGGCCTAAAGCACCCAACATTATAACAAAAAGCTGTAATAAGGACTGTGGAAGTTATGAGTCAGGAGGTGTGAATGAAAACCCATATATACATACAAAGTAACAGCACACCCTTTTCTCTCTTTCCTCTTCTTCTGACACTTCCTAATAAGTATATTTATATGCTTCATAATATCCCACTGGTCCCTTTGATGCTGTTCATTTTTTTCTATAGTTCTTTTCTTTCTGATCTCAGGCTGGATAATTTCTATTGTGCTTTCATCAAGATTGCTGATTATTTTTTCTGCTTGCTCAAATCTGCTGTTGAACCCCTCTAGTGAATTTTTCACTTCAGCTATCACACTTTTCAACTACAGAATTTCTATTTTGTTTATATTTTTATTGATATTCTTTATTTGTTCAGACATTGTTCTCCTGGTTGCTTCTAGTTCTTTATTGTTTCCTTTAGCTCTTTGTGCACACTTAAAACAGTAGAGTTAAAGTCTTTGTCTAGTAAGTCCAAAGTCTTATCTGGGCTTCCTCAGGGATAGTTTCTGTCAATTTATTTTTCCTGTGAATGGGTCATGGTATCTTATTTTTTTTGTATGTCTTGCAATTTTTTTGTTGAAAGCTGGACATTTTAGATATTATAATATGGTAACTCTGGAAATTGGATTCTACTCCTCCCCAGGGTTTGTTTCGGTTGTTTATGACTGCAGCTGTATGTTTGTTTAATGACTTTTCTAAACTAATTTGCAAAGGCTGTATTCCTTTTCTTTGTGGCACTTGAAGTCTTTGTTGTGTTATCTCAGTAGATAGTGAGTGATCTAACAGAGATTTCCTTAAATGGCTCAGCTAAAAAGAAAAAACAAGGCCAGGTGCAGTGGCTTACACCTGTAATCCCAGCACTTCGGGAGGCTGAGGCAGGCAGATCACTTGAGGCCAAGAGTTTGAGACCAGCCTGGCCAACATGGTGAAACCCCACCTCTACTAAAAATACAGAAATTAGCTGGGCATAGTGGTGCACACCTGTAATCCCAGCTAGTTGGGAGGCTGAGGCAGGAGAATCGCTTGAACCCGGGAGGAAGAGGCTGCAGTGAGCCAAGATTGTCCCACTGCACTCCAGCCTGGGTGACAGAGCCTGGATCCATCTCAAAAAAAAACCACAACAACAAAAAAATAGATAAATAACTAGAAAAAAACAAAAACAAAAACTCTCCCAGTGTTTGCAGATTGTCTCTGAGCTGAGGCACTCCTTCAGAGCTAAGCCAGGCTGCCTAAAACTTTGTATTAGCTTTTGCTTCCTGTTTGCACAAGGCCCAAAGAGCAGCCAAAGGTGCAAGCCTAGGTTCTTCTTGGGTATCTTCTGAGCATACGTCTAGCCCTGCAGTGCATGTGCATTTCACTACTGATTTCCTGGTATATGGGAAGCCCTGATTCCTTTCAAGCCCTTATTCCTCCAAAAATCTTTCTCTTCAGCCCCTCGTCTGAGGAATCTTGCTTGTCTCTTTCTGTGTTCTTTGCGCTAGGCATCTATGGGGCAAAGGGAAAGCCACTCCAACCTGAGGGGTGAAAAAAAATATCATCTTTCTTTGCCAGTCTGTCAGAGAACTACCAGATAGGTCAGAATTTACAACCATAGTATTTTGAGAACAAAGCCTATATTGCACCCTACCACCTGGTGGCCTGCTGGCACCAGCAAGCTACACCAGGAATGTGGGCTGCCATTTCCATTGCTGCTGCAGAGCAGGGGATTGGGGGATGGTAGGTGGGTAAGCAAAAAAATGCCACACTTGTTTACTGAATTTTAGCAGCCACTTCATTAAGCATTTCCTTTGTTGCTGTGTTTGATTTAGGTTCTAGAGCTCCCAAAAGTTGATTCCATAGTTTTTGCCAACTTAATGTTTGCTTCAGTGGAAGAGCCATTACTTCACCATTTCTGTGCTGTCATCTCTTCCTTGTGTCTTTAACCTCTCCTCTCTACTCTCTCCTTCCTGAATGCAGTGAGATATGTTCAATTCTGTTCTATTTTAAATAGCAAAACAATATCTACCTTAAACACCACATCTCTGTTTCTTACCTTGCAGAGAAAAACTACTTGAAATATTTATCTGCATTTATTTCCACTTCTTCGTATTTATTCCTCTACTCACTGTGATCCGGCTTCTGTCTGCAGAATATCACTGAAAATGCTGTTGTGGTCACGTAGAATCTCCCTCTGGCCAATTGCAGTAGGTACAACTCAGAGATTACCATCTTGTTAATCTTTGAGCAGCATTTGACACTACCAACTACATTTGTCCCTCAGTATAGACAGAGATTAGTCCACAGACACTTGGCATGTATCCAAATCCGTGTGTACTCAAGTCCTGCTGTCAGCCCTGCAGAACCCATATATACAAAATTCAAAGTCTGCTCTCCATATACTCAGATTTTCATCCTGCAAATACTGTATTTTGATGTGTGTTTGGTTGAAAAAAATCTGTGTATAAGTTGGTCTATGCAGTTCAAACCCATGTTGTTCAAGGGTCAACTGTACTTCCTCCTTCCATGACATCCTAGTCTCCTGATTTTTTTCTACCACCTCTTTGCCTACTTTTCAATATTCTTTGTGAGATCTTGTGTTTCCGCCAGTTTGTTAAATATTCCTCAGTGTTCTGTTCTAGGTTGCTATCTTTCCCTCTTTACGCATTCTTGTAGCTAATTTCATCCATTCCTGTGCTCAAATTATCATATAAGTAAATAATTCTATGACCTTATGTCTAGTCAGGTCCTATATTCTAGACCCTTATATCCATAGTCTGCTGGATACCTCTATCTAGTGACTCCACTGGCACTTCAAATTTATTGGCACCAAAATTAAACTCATCGTCTTCCTCTATCACACTTTTTTCTCTCTCCTGTGTTTCTTATTTCAGTGAATAAAAAAAATATAAATGAGGAGGGTTTCAGAGTTCTTACAAATTATTTATTTACAGAGGTAGTCTTGTGCTATCTGCTTCCAATGTATGTAATACCTGCACAAATGAGTTTGTAGGTTGCTGATTTAGTAAGGTTTATAGGAATTTTACATATATCTGGAAAAAGTGTTCACTCTCACTTATCAAATAAATGGAAATGAAAATGAGGTGAGGAGGACTTTTGTCCGTTAAAATGGCAAATATTGTACAAATTTTTTAAAAATCCCATGTTGTTTTGTTTATGACAAAACGAGCATTCTTAACCCAAGTTTTAATTGATTAAGCTTTTCTGGAGAGGAATTTGGCAAAGTATATCCAAGAGTCTTAAAATGTTTATACCTTTTGATTCAGCAATTTCCTGTCTAGTAATGTTTCCTAAAGAAATAACTAGAGATATACATAAGGATCTGTTATAGTATTTTCATAATGTTGAAAACTCATAAACCATCCAAATAAGAGTGAGAAATTCATAACATGAGTTGTAATATATCTGTTTGATACATTAGTATGTAATTGTTAAAAGTTAGGCTTTGATGTGCTATTCATAATAGCAAAGACAGGGAATCAACCGAGGTGCCCATTGATGGTGGATTGAATAATGTAAATGTGGTACATGTACACCATGGAATACTATGCAGCCATAAAAAGAATGAAATCATGTCCTTTGCAGTGGCGTGGATGCACCTGAAGGCCATTATCCTAAGTGAATTAATGCAGGAACAGAAAACCAAATACTGCATGTTCTCACTTACAAGCAGGAGCTAAACACTAAGCACACATGGACACAAACATGAGAACAATAGACACTGCTAACTACTGGTGCAGGAGGAAGAAGGGAGGGGATGTCTGTTGAAAAACTACCTATCGGGTACTATGCTCAATACCTGGATGCAATAAACGAACATAGTAAACCCTGCACATGCACCCCCATATCTAAAATAAGTTGAAACTTTAATCATTAAAAAAATAGGCTTTGAAAAATTATTTAAAGACATGGGGAAGGTGATATAATGACAAAATCAGAATTCAAAAGTATATACAATATATGGTATGATTGATTGGCATATGAATAAATGAATATATGCATGGGAAATATACTAGAAGGAAATATCTATATAAATGAAGGTTTTCTTTAGTTAAGAATTTACAAGTTAATTTTTCAATTTTTGTTATGCTTTCTTTTCCATGTTTTTATAACAAGTATCACTTTTATAATAAAAAAAGGCTGGGTGCAGTGGCTCACGCCTGTAATCCCAGCACTTTGGGAGACCAAGGCGGGTGGATCACTTGAGGTCAGGAGTTCGAGACCAGCCTGGCCAACATGGTGAAACCCCGTCTCCACTAAAAATACAAAAATTAGCCGGGTGCAGTGGCACACACCTATAGTCCCAGCTACTCGGGAGGCTGAGGCAGGAGAATCACTTGAACCCGGGAGGTTGCAGTGAGCCAAGACTGTGCCACTGCACTCCAGCCTGGGCGACAGAGCAAGACTCCATCTCAAAATAGTAATAATAATAACAATAATAATAATAATAATAAGAATAAGAAAGATATATGCATGATAATGCCATTCTCATTGGGATCAAAGAACGATAGGCATTTTTTCAGAATATATTTCCAAATTTTATATTTGGATTTATTATTTATTTATTTACTTTTTTTTTTTTTTTGAGACAGTTTCGCTCTTGTTGCCCAGGCTGGAGTGCAATGGCACCATCTCCGCTTACTGCAAACTCTGCCTCCCGGGTTCAAGCGATTCTCCTGCCTCCACCTCCCTAGTAGCTGGGATTACAGGCATGTACCACCATGCCTGGCTAATTTTTATATTTTTAGTAGAGACGGGGTTTCACCATGTTGGTCAGGCTGGTCTCGAACTCCTGACCTCAAGTGATCCACCCACCTTGGCCTCCCAAAATGCTGGGATTACAGGTGTGAGTCACTGTGCCCGGCCAGGATTTATATTTTATATTAAAAGTCCTTCACACTGCTGGGCATGATGGCTTCTACCTGTAATCCCAGCACTCTGGGAGGCTGAGGTGGGTGATCACTTGAGCTGAGGAGTTTGAGACCAGCCTGGGCAATATAGAGAAACCCCACCTCTACAAAAAATACAAAAATTACCCAGGCATGGCAATGTGTGCCTCTAGTCCCAGCTACTCAGGAGGCTGAGGTGGGAGGATCACTTGAGCCTGGGAGGTTTAGGCTGCAGTGAGCCATGATCGTGCCACTGCACTCCAGCCTGGGCGAGAGAATGAGACCCTGTCTCAAAATAAATAAATAAAGCCCTCCAGTCTTTACGACACTAATAACAAATTTATCTCCTCTTTTCTACTCCCAATGCATATTTTAGAATCTTTGATAAGTATAATTTTGTTTATCTGGGGGCCGGGCACGGTGGCTCATGCACTTTGGGAGGCCGAGGCAGGTGGACCACCTGAGGTCAGGAGTTCGAGACCAACCTGGCTAACATGGCGAAACCCTGTCTCTACTAAAAATACAAAAGTTAGTTGGGTGTGGTGGCAGACGCCTGTAATCCCAACTACTCGGGAGGCTGAGGTGGGAGAATTGGTTGAACCTGGGAGGCAGAGGTTGCAGTGAGCTGAGATCGTGCCATTGCACACCAACCTGGGTGACAAGAGTGAAATTCGATCTCGGAAAAAAAAAAAAAAGAATTTTGTTCATTTACTAAAACTGGAGGGTCATTTTGAGTTAAAGAAAACAAAATGATACATAGGGAAGAGCATGAGATCTGGTGTCATATTGAACTGCATCTAAAGCTTGGCTTCACTACTAATTTTGACAATTCATTTAATCTTGCCAAGGTTCAATTTCCTTAACCTTATAGCGGGGGTAATAATACTTACGTTGCCGGGCACGGTGGCTTATGCCTGTAATCCCAGCAGTTTGGGAGGTCGAGGTGGGCGGATTGCCTGAGGTCAGGAGTTTAAGAGCAGCCTGGCCAACATGGAGAAACCCCGTCTCTACTAAAAATACAAAAAATTAGCCAGACGTGGTGGTGTGCACCTGTAATCCCAGCTACTCAGGAGGCTGAGGCAAGAGAATCGCTTGAATCCGGGAGGCAGGGGTTGCAGTGAGCCGAGATCGCAGCATTGCCCTCCAGCCTGGGCGACAGAGCGAAACTCCGTCTCAAAATAATAATAATAATACGTCAAGGAACTGTTGCAAGGCTTAAGGAGGTAATATGTAAAGTTCAAAATATGGCACATAGCTAATACCCAGTATTTAATAGTTATAAAATGATGAACGATTGTAAAGAAACATTTTATTTCAATATTAATCGATGAACTGATACTTTGAGCATTTAATAAATGCTAGTCTTTAATAAATGATAAGTCTTTTGGGAAAAGTACTTGTCCAGTAAGTAACTGATTAAAATGACATGTTTCAGTTTAACCTATTATTGAAAGCGCAAGTGTTTTATTTCTTTTTAGATAAAGGATTTATCTTCAGACACACTTCTCCAACAGCATGGTGATTTGGATTTGGCTTTGGATAATTGTTATAGTGGAGATACAGTAATAATTTTTCCAGGAGAATATCAAGCTGCAAATCTTGCTTTGTTGACAGATGACATCATTATAAAGGGTTAGCAGGGCATCCTTTGTAGTTTTTTTTACAGCAATGTATACTGGACAAATTGTGTATTCTAAACATGCTTAATGGAATTATTGGAAATTACAATAGAATTTATGTTTTACAAAAATCCTTTATGTTCATTTTATAATTAAGACATGTTCGTCATATTTTCTATAGCTCCATTTATATTTTTTACCCAAAGCACTTTTTTCTTATCTATCTTTACTGCTTTTCACATCACTTTACTAAGGAAAACCCAGATGTAAAGCTATGTTAAAATATGCTCATCATTTTCTCAAAAAGGCTAATATCACATGCTAACTCACCAAAACAGAAGTAGAAAAGCAGAATTTACTAAATTTATTTTAGGTCCTGAACATATTTAGAAACTTTCTCTCTTTTTGACGTTGAAGTAAGAGTATTCTCATTGTCTAACCAACAACAACAACAACAACAAAAGCTGGATATGGTGCCTCACGCCTGTAATCCCAGCACTTTGGAAGGCTGAGGCAGGTGGATTGCTAGAGTCCTGGAGTTTGAGAGCAGTCTGGGCAACATAGTGAAACCCCATCTCTACAAAAAATTCAAAAGTTAGCTGGATGTGGTGGCACACACCTGTAGTCCCAGTTACTTGGGAGGCTGAGGTGGGACAATCACTTGAGCCCAGGTTGCAGTGAGCCATAATCAAGCCACTGCACTCCAGCCTGGGTGAAAGAGCAAGACTGTCTCAAAAAAAAAGAAAAAGATTACACTATAGTTATGTATGTACTATATATTATTTGTTAAAAATATGTGAAGCTGGGCACTGTGCTATGCACCTGTAGTCCCAACTTACTCAGGAGGTGAGGCAGGAGGATCACTTGAGCCCAGGAGTTCGAGACTAGCCTGGGCAACATAGCGAGAACCATCTCTAAAAATGCGCATGCGCACACACACACACACACACACACACACACACACACACACACACGCACACAGGGAAAAACTTTAGTAACAGCAGTATTGTTGAATGACAATAAAGGGCCTTAAAATGGGAGATTACTGATTTAATGTATTTTTATCCCTATGAATCAGGAGTTGGAAAGAGAGAGGAAATTATGATTACTTCTGAACCTTCTCGTGACAGTTTTGTGGTGTCCAAAGCTGACAATGTGAAACTAATGCATCTATCTTTGATACAACAAGGGACGGTTGATGGTATCGTGGTGGTGGAGTCTGGTCACATGACTCTAGAAAACTGCATATTAAAATGTGAAGGAACAGGAGTGTGTGTTCTTACAGGGGCTGCTTTGACAATTACAGACAGTGAAATAACTGGCGCCCAGGTATTTCATTCTTTAAAAAGTATGGCCTTATATGACTATAGATGACAGCTTTGAGTGATCTTAATATACAAATAAAGGGTAGCAATTTCTTCATCTTTTAGTGGAATTCTAATTAAACTTAGTAACTGGTAGACATCAACAAAATGAGTACTGGAGTGTCATAGTACATTTAGGAAAAATGAAATGCTAGGTCCAAAGTAAAGAATATTTAGCTTTGTTTTATAAGGGTGACTTTTTAAAATCTGGAAAAGAGTGGCTATAACATAAATCATGAGTCAGTCATTTGATAGTTTAAAGAAATAAGACATGTAAGTTATCAGATGTTGCTGTTAGGTGTTGTGATTAGTTCTAACAGCTTCTGAATAATCAGGACATAAAAAACTTGAGGCCAAGCACAGTGGTTCACTCCTGTAATCCCAGCACTTTAGGAGCTGAGACGGGAGGATCACTTGAGCTGAAGTTTGAGACCAGCCTGGGCAACACAGAAAGACCTTGTCTTTAACAATAAATAAATAAATAATTAAAAATTAAGAGCTTGAGTCTTTAGATAACAATCACAAAGATCATTGAAGGACTGGAGAACTGAATGAGAAAAAGAATTAAAGGAAGTAGAAAAATAAGAGCATCTTTTTAAAGAATTTTTAAAATTTCCACTAAAATGAAGAAATATACTTTAGTGGCATTAAGTGGGATTTACAGTAGATATAAATTTTTATAACTATTGAAACAATTGCTTAAAGAGTGGACTCCTTTCTAGAGAATCATTTGGGTGGAAGAGTAAGATAATGGATTATATGACCTCAACCTTCTAAGTCTAATGACTCTCTAACAGATATTTAAATTTTCAATATTTTTAAATATTATCTTTACAATTAACAGTTGCATGCATGATCACGTATTTGCACGTAACTCAATGTTTATAGTGGTAATACAGAATTACGATTTTCAAGTCTAAAGATTTTGGAGAGAGGTTTGTGTATATATTTTGTAGATAGTTTTATTTGCTTTTAATTTACAGGGTGCTGGTGTTGAACTGTATCCTGGAAGCATAGCTATTTTGGAAAGAAATGAAATTCATCACTGTAATAACCTCAGAACCAGTAACAGTTCAAAAAGCACCTTAGGTGGAGTTAATATGAAGGTATTCTCTTATTTCTTGATGTAGCATTGTTATAAGAATTGTAAGTAATTATAAGTACTAAAATATTAGTTTTAGTCTTAAAAGGCAGTCTACATATTATCATTGATTTGGAAAAGAATAGTACAAGTAATAAAATATGGTTAAATGATAGCTGCTGGGAAATAAGTTTAGCCTTATAATTTAATAATTTGTACTTAAACTCTTTGCAAATAACCTTGAATATGAGAAATGGGATAGATTTTTCTCTTAAAGACATTTTAGAGTTTTCTTTGATCAGATCTGTAATACATTTTGGTATTTCAAATTACAAAGTAAAGCAAATTAAGAATAATAATATATTAAGAAGCATTTGAAGTCTTACTTTCAAAGTTGTGTTAAATGATTTAAGCTAACCAATTAAAACATTAATAGCAATAATTTCTAGGTGAAATGTCTTCCATCCTTTCTGCTTCTATAAATCTTGTCTTTCTAAGTCCCTCTCTAGGCTTGTGTAGTTAATGAACTTTTATGTTAGTGAAGTTTTTTCTAGAACATTCTAACTCTTTGTTTTATGAATGTACATTTTGTCTCCTCAAATAGATTACAAATTATCTAAGGGAAGGAATTGTATTATATATTACTAGTAGCCTCCCACTCTCTGTATGATTCTGGACACTAAGTCAGATAATTGGTTGAAAATAAGGTACAAGGCCAGGCACAGTGGCTCACACCTGTAATCCTAGCACTTTGGGAGGCCGAGGTGAGCAGATCACGAGGTCAAGAGATTGAGACCATCCTGGCTAACATGGTGAAACCCCATCTCTACTAAAAATACAAAAAAAATTAGCCAACCGTGGTGGCATATGCCTGTAGTCCCAGCTATTCAGTAGGCTGAGGCAGGAGAATCACTTGAACTCGAGAGGTGGACGTTGCAGTGCACCACTGCACTCCAGCCTGGGTGACAGATTGAGACTCTGTCTCAAAAAAAAAAAAAAAAAGAAAAAAAAAGAAAGAAAAAAGAAAAGAAGGTACAAATGGTAAATAGCAGTTTTAAAATCTTTGATTTATCTTTAAACATTTTTTCTGTTCTTAAATATTTTTCAGTTTTTCAGTGGTCCTTGAATGTTAGCATGCATCAGAATCATTCTTGCAGAGGCCCACTCTGCTTTCTGATTCAGTAGGCCTAGGGTAAAGCCTGAGAATTTGTTTTAGTAATTTCCTAGGTGATGCTGATACTGCTGGTTTAACTCACACTTTAAGAATCATATTCCTGATACTCAAAGTGTGAGCCATGGACCAGCAGCATTGGCATCACCTGGTAGTTTGTTAGAAGTGGAGAATTTTGAGCCTCACGCCAGACCTATTAAACAAAATGTGGTCTTTAACAAGCTCCCCAGATGATATATACATACGTTAAAATTTGATAAACATGGTTTATAAAATCTGACAAGATCTGGCCCCTGCTTTCTCCAACGTAATCTCCTTCCAATCTTCCTCTTATACATTATATTCGAGCCACACTGGCTTTGTTTGTGTTCCCAGAAATTATTAACCTTGTTCTGGCTGTTACCTTCACCTGAAGCACTCTTTTTTTTCTTTTTTGAGATGGAGTTTTGCTCTTGTTGCCCAGGCTGGAGTGTAATGGCGCGATCTCAGCTCACCGCAATGTCTGCATCCCAGGTTCAAGCGATTTTCCTGCCTCAGCCTTCTAGGTAGCTGGGATTACAGGCATGCGCCACCACGCCCAGCTAATTTTGTATTTTTAGTAGAGACGGGGTTTCTCCATGTTGGTCAGGCTGGTCTCGAACTACTGACCTCAGGTGATCCGCCCGCCTCTGCCTCCCAAAGTGCTGGGATTACAGGTGTGAGCCACCACGCCTGACCTGAAACACTCTTTCTATAGATCTTATTACTATCTGAATGTGGTTGTCCCTCTTCAAAGAAGCCTTTAATGTAAAGAACACTCAAGTGGTAACCTCTCCCCACCCAGTCATGCTATCACATTACCTTATTTTCTCCAAATCACATATTATTTGAAATTACTTATTTTCATGTTTATTATGTTATAAGAGATCAGCTTCATGGGTTGTATTGCCATACAGAATTAGTTGTTTTTATCAATAACTGATAAAAGTAAATTGAAAACTTCATTAAATATTTTCTTACACTTTTTTTTTCTTTTTCTTTTTGTGGAGAATAGGGTCTTGCTATATTGCCCAGGCAGGTCTCGAACTCCTGGGCTCAAGCTATCCTTCTGCCTCTGCCTTCTTAAGAGCTGGGATTACAGGGCATGAGCCACCGCACCTGGCTCATTTAATATTTTGTTATTGGCTGGGCATGGTGGCTCACGCGTGTAATTCCAGCGCTTTGGGAAGCCAAGGCGGGTGGATCACGAGGTCAGGAGCTCGAGACCAGCCTGGCCAAAATATTGAAACCCCGTCTCTACTAAAAATACAAAAATTAGCCAGGTGTGGTGGCACGCGCCTTGTAGTCCCAGCTACTTGAGTGGCTGAGGCAGGAGAATCACTTGAACCGGGAGGCGGAGGTTGCAGTGAGCCAAGACTGTGTCATTGCACTCCAGCCTGGGCAACAAAGCAAGACTCCATCTCAAAAAAAAAAATTCTTATTAAATATTTTTTGTAGTTAATATTACGTTAGTTGGTGTCATGAAAACAGTACTTAACACTTGTTCAAAATTGAGAGTCTTGGTTGTTTTAAAAAATCTGTTAATCCAAGAATAAAGTCTAAGCTAATTTTTATATGTTCATTACTTCATTTTTTAAATAAAATCATTGAAAAACTAATTTCCTCAAATAATTTAATAGGTTCTTCCAGCACCCAAATTGAAGATGACTAATAATCATATTTATAGCAACAAAGGCTATGGAGTAAGCATTCTTCAACCAATGGAACAGTTTTTTATCGTAGCAGAAGAAGCTCTCAACAAAAGGGCTTCTTCAGGAGATAAAAAAGATGATAAAATGCTCTTCAAAGTAATGCAAAATCTGAATCTGGAAATGAATAATAATAAGATAGAAGCAAACGTCAAGGGGGATATCAGAATAGTCACAAGTTAAAGCGTCTGAATTGATGTTAAAGTTTTATATTTCACAAATTTGTTTAATACATGATTCTCATACCCCACTGAAATGGTAGTTTCAATTCAAAGCTTAATTAAAAAATATTTAAATATCATGCTTTCACTGAATGATTCATTTTACATATTTTTAAAATAACAGCTTTATTAAGATATAATTCACATGCCATAAAATTCACACATTACAAAGTGTACAATTCAATGATATTAGTATATTTTTAGTATATAGTACAGTCATCACTATTTAATCCAGAAACAAATATGGTTTTAAATATTGTTTTCTAATACTCCTCCAATAAAAAGCATTAGGTGTTCCATATAGACAAGAGACAAAATTTAATTTATCGCTAATTCACAGTAACCAGAATAAGATAATATGTCATATATTAAGATAGGTTCTTTAAGCTCATTCTTATACATTTTAGAAGAAAAAAGTGAAAAAAAGAAAAAAATAGGATAGATTCAACAGCAAGAAACAAGGAAATCCAAAATAAGAGAGGTAAACAATACAGAAATGTATTTCTCCCTCATAGTCAATAGTTGCAGAGAATAGGGCTAATAGATGTTCCTTGTGGGAACTCAGCGTAGGGCTGGTAGGTAGGTATGTAGGTAGGTAGGTGTTTTGCGTTGTCAGAAATTCAGGTTTCTTCTATATTGTTTCACGATTGTAAGATTTCCATGAAAAATCACTATACGATCCAAGACAGCAATTGGTAATCAAGCTTTCATGCCTGGTTTTCAGCCAAGCAGAAGGGAAAGAACCTTTCTTCAAAGTTGCACACATTATTTTGACTTTCATGCTTCTACCTAGAATGTTATTATGTGGCTACGCTTAGCTGCAAATGAGAAATATAATCTTTACATTGGATGGTCATGTGGCCTCTAAAATAGAGAGTTGATTTTCTAAGAAACAACGAATGGTCTTTTCCCAAAGCAGAGCTTATGTTGACTTAAGAATATAAAAAGAAATTTAAGCATTCAGGCTTAAATACTTAAACTTTTGACTTTTACTTCATGTTATGTGTAACCTAACAAAGGTTACGCTGAATTGCCATAAACAATCTCTTGAGGCTGAGAGTTGATTTTTTTTTTTTTTTTTTGGGGAGATGGAGTTTGGCTCTATCGCTCAGCCTGGAGTGCAGTGGCGCGACCTCAGCTCACTGCAAGCTCCGCCTCCCGGGTTCACGCCATTCTCCTGCCTCTGCCTCCCGAGTAGTTGGGACTACAGGCGCCTGCCACCACGCCCGGCTAATTGTTTTTTTTTTTTTTTTTTTTTTTTTTTTTTTTTTTGTATTTTTAGTAGAGACTGAGTTTCACCGTGTTAGCCAGGATGGTCTCGATCTCCTGACCTCGTGATCCGCCAGTCTCGGCCTCCCAAAGTGCTGGGATTACAGGTGTGAGCCACAGCGCCCGGCCCAACAGCACTTTTTTAAAAGAAGAAAACCTATAGGCAGTTCCATAGATTTTGATTATACATAGTCTGTGTACACAAAGACTTGTTAAAATAATTCCAGGATTGTCCTTGGGGGCCTTAACAAGAAACATCTTTCTATAATGAACGTAGTGAGTATTAAGGGTGGGGATTTTCCTTTTCCATCCTCTTCCCCTACCTTTCTCAGTTTTTGGCTTCAGAAAGAATAGGTAATGGGCAAAGTAATATCTTTGAAGGTATACAATAAAAGCAGTAGCCTTGTGTAAACAAACTTCTTACTCTGGCCATCTACCTCCCTTCTGTTGCTGCCACTGGTTTCTAACCTATTTGTCTTTTCCCAGGCCAACTACAGAATATGGTGATGCTGTTTTTTCGTTTCATGATTCTAAAACGTGCATAAAGCATTTTTAAGATTTTCTAAGAATTTTGATATTTCATAAAATTAATTTTTTTCCTCTTCTACCTTTCCACCCCTACTTTTCCCCCTATACCTTATAAATGAAAGACTGAATTTATATATTGTATATATTGTGTTAGTTTTCCATTGCAGTCATAATAAGTCACCACAAACTTAGTGGCTTAACACAGATTTATAATCTTACAGTTCTGTAGGTCAAAAATCTGACATGGGTCTCACTGGGCCAAAATCAAAGTGTTGACAGGCCTGCATTCCTTTTTGGATGCTCTAGGGAAGGATCTGTTTCCTTGTTCATTTGGATGTTGACAGAATTCAGTTCCTTGTAGTTGTAGGATTCAGTTCCCTGTTTCCTTGACGGTTGACAGCTGAGTTTCTGGTGGCCGATTGCATTCCTTGGCTCATGGCCTCCATCCATTTTCAAAGCCAGCAACAGTGGATCAAGTGTCTCTCCTCTGAGTCTCTTGTCTATTCTTTTGTCTCATCTCCCTGACTCCTTCTTCTACCTCCCTCTTCCACTTTTAAGGACTCATATGATTAGATTGACCCTGCCTGGATGATCCAGGGTAATCTCACATCTCAAGATTCTTAACTTTATATATATAATTATATATATATGATTCTTAACTTTTAAAATATATATTTTATATGTTAAAAGTTAATAATCATATATAAGAACTATGTATGATTATATACTAGATAATATAATCTATAAACTATATAGTTAAATATATAAATAATATATAGTGTAATATATATACTTATTCTTAAATATTTAAATATGTATATATTCTTATATATTATATATATTTAAATACATATATTTAAAAAAATAAGATTCTTGGCCTGGCGTGGTGGCTCACGCCTGTAATCCCAGCACTTTTGGAGGCTGAGGTGGGCAGATCACCAGGTCAAGAGATCGAGACCATCCTGGCCAACATGGTGAAACCCTGTCTCTATTAAAAATACAAAAATTAGCTGGGTATGGTTGCGTGTGCCTATAATCCCAGCTACTTGGGAGGCTGAGGCAGGAGAATTGCTTGAACCTGGGAGAGATGGAGATTGCAGTGAGCCGAGATGGCGCCATTGCACTCCAGCCTGGTGACAGAGTGAGACTCTATCTCAAAAAAAAAAAAAAAAACTTGAGATGTGAGATTATTTATTATATAATAGATATATATTATAATGTACATATAATGTATTATATTAACACAAAAATGTAAAACTAAAATAATGTATTTATTGGTTATTTTTTACATGTTAGCATGAAAAATGTTTTACAGTTATGCCTGTTAAGATGAGAAACATTTAACATTTGATTATATAGCCAACTGCTTTGTTACCTTTATCTTAAATTTATTTCTAGGTATGAAAGAAATATGGAATTTCAAAGTTTGAAAATTCCTAAAAGTGCTTCCATTTAAGATAAATCCTAGGATGACCAATTCATCCCAGTTTGCCCAGGATTTTCCCAGTTTTAGCACTTCTTCTGTCTTAGGAAAACAGATAGTCCTGGGCCAATTGAGGCATTTGGCAACTCTAGTCAGTTCCCAGGAAGTAAAGATTCTTTTTACATCTTTTTTCTATGTCTTAAAATTTATTTTTTTAATCTTTAGTTTTGTGTATACATAGTGGTGTATATAGTTATGAGGTACATGAGATAATTTGATACAGGCATGCAATGAGTAATAACCACACACAATAAATGGGGCACCCATCACCTCAAGCATTTATTCTTTCTTTTTGTTACAAACAATACAATTATACACTTTTAGTTATCTTTTTTAAAAATTTTATTTCAATCGTTTTTGGGGAGCAGGTGGTGTTTGGTTACATGAATAAGTTCTTTAGTTGTGGTTTCTGAGATTTTGGTGCACCCAACACCTGAGCAGTGTACATTGTATCCAATGTGTAGTCTTTTATCCCTCACTCCCTCTTACCCTTTTCCCAAGTCCCCAAAGTCCACTATATCACTCTTATGCCTTTGCGTCCTCATAGCTTAGCTCCCACTTATAAGTGAGAACATACAATATTTGGTTTTTCCATCCCTGAGTTACTTTACATAGAATAATGTTCTCCAATTCCACCCAGGTTGCTGCAAATGCAATTATTTCATTCCTTTTTATGGCTGAGTAGTATTCCATAGTATGTATATACTACATTTTCTTTATCCACTTGGTTGATGGGCATTTAGGCTGGTCCTGTATTTCTGTAGTTGTGAATTGTGCTGCAATAAACATACGTGTGCAAGTGTCTTTTACATATAATGATTTATTTTCCTCTGGGGAACTACCCAGTAGTGGGATTGCTAGATCAAATGGTAGATCTACTTTTAGTTAAAGAATCTCTATACTGTTTTCCATAGTAGTTGTACTAGTTTACATTCCCACCAGCAGTGTAAAAGTGTTCCCTTTTCACCACATCCATACAAATATCCATTGTTCTTTTGATTTTTAAATTATGGCCATTTATGTAGGAGTAAGGTGGTATCTCACTGTGGTCTTAATTTGCATTTCCCTGATAATTAGTGATGTTGAGCATTTTTCATATGTTTCTTGGCCATTTGTATATCTTTTTAATTTTAAAATTTTTATTATTTTATTATTTTTAATTTTTGAGATGGAGTCTCACTCTATTGCCCAGGCTGGAGTGCAGTGGTGCGATCTCGGCTCACTGCAACCTCCGCCTCCCATGTTCAAGCCATTCTCCTGCCTCAGTCCCCCGAGTAGCTGGGATAATAGGTGCGCAACAACCACACCTAGCTAGGTTTTGTATTTTTAGTAGAGATGGGGTTTCACCATGTTGGCCAGGCTGGTCTTGAACTCCTGACCTCAGGCGATCCACCCACCTCACCCTCCCAAAGTGCTGGGATTACAGGCATGAGCCACTGTACCTGGCCTGTATAACTTCTTTTGAGAATTGTCTATTCATGTCCTTAGCCCACTTTTTGATTTTTTTTCTTGCTGATTTGAGTTCTGGATATTAGACCTTTGTTGGATGCATAGTTTGCAAATATTTTCTCCCACTCTGTGGACTGTCTGTTTACTAAGCTGATTATTTCTTCTGCTGTGCAGAAGTTTTTTAGTTTAATTAGGTCCCATCTATTTTTGTTTTTGTTGCATTTGTTTTTGGGTTCTTGGTCATGAACTCTTTGCCTAAGCCAATATCTAGAAGAGTTTTTCCGATGTTATCTTTTAGAATTTTTATGGTCTCAGGTCTTAGATTTAAGTCTTTGATCCATCTTGAGTTGATTTTTATATAAGGTGAGAGATGAGGATCCAGTTTCATTCTTCTACCTGTGGCTTGCCAATTATCTCAGCACCATTTGTTGAATGCAGTATCCTTTCCCCACTTTATGTTTTTGTTTGCTTTGTCAAAGATCAGTTGGCTGTAAATATTTGGCTTTATTTCTGGGTATTCTGTTCCATTGGTCTACATGCCTTTTTTTTATACCAGTACCATGCTGTTTTGGTAACTATAGCCTTGTAGTATAGTTTGAGTCAGCTAATATGATGCCTCTAGATTTGTTCTTTCCACTTAGTCTTGCTTTGGCTGTGCCGGCCTTTTTTGGGTCCATATGAATTTTAGGATTGTTTTTTCTAGTTCTGTGAAGAATGATGATAGTATTTTGATGGGAATTGCACTAAATCTATAGATTGCTTTTGGCAGTATGGTCATTTTCACAATATTAATTCTACCCATCCATGAGCATGGGATATGTTTCCATTTGTTTCTGTCATCGATGATTTCTTTCAGCAGTGTTTGGTAGTCTTCCTTGAAGAGATCTTTCACCTCCTTGGTTAGGTATATTCCTAAGTATTTTATTTTTGCAGCTGTTGCAAAAGTGATTGAGTTCTTGATTTGAGTCTCAGCTGAGTTGTTGTTGGTTTATAGCAGTGCTACTGATTTGCGTACATTGATTTTCTATCTTGAAACTTTACTGAGTTCATTTTTCAGATCTAGGAGCTTTTAGGATGAGTCTTACTGCATACCTAGGGTTTTCTAGGTATGCAATCACATCACTGACAGTGACAGTTTGACTTCCTCTCTACCGACTCTGATGCCCTTTCTCTTGTCTGATGCTCTGGCTAGGAAACTTTTAGTTTTCTTTAAATGTACAGTAAATTATTGTTGCCTGTAGTTGCCCTGTTGTGCTACCAAATTCTAAATCTTATTCATTCAATCTAACAATATTTGTGTACCCATTAACCATCCCCACTTTCCTACCACCACCACTACCCTTGCCAGCCTTTGGTAACCATTACTTTATCTCCATGAGTTCAACTGTTTTAATTTCTCTATTCTGTTCCATGAGTCTATGTACCTGTTTTCATGCAAGTAATGTTACAGTGGGTAGCTAGTTGGGTATGAGTGGGGCAGAAGAGAGCTCCGCCCCTTCCCCCACCCCCCACAATACACCAGGAGTGTCAGGCAACCATCAGGTGATGGTCAGGTGGTCAACTGTCTCTCTAAACTAATAACTGGTCACAGCCAGTGCCAAGGAAAGGCAGTCTCTCCTAATAAATAGAAAACACCTGAAACTGGTGATCAGCAGCTTCCTGATAAGAGCTCAGGAGTTTGGCAACTGGGGAGAAGTAACATAAAACCCCAGAAGTATGCCAGTGTATAAAACCCCAAGTCAAAAGGTCAAGCCACGCACTTGCGTCTTGAGTCACCTACTTGGCCCTCTTCCAAGTGTACTTTCCTTCCTTTTATTCCTGTTATAAAACTTTTATTTATTTATTTATTTTTTGGGAGATGGAGTCTCACTCTGTCACCCAGGCTGGAGTGCAATGGCATGATCTTGGCTGTCTGCAACCTCTGCCTCCTGGGTTCAAGCGATTCTCCTGCCTCAGCCTCCTGAGTAGCTGGGACTACAAGTGACCTCCACCACGTCTGGCTAATTTTTGTATTTTTTTTTTTTTTTTTTTGAGACGGAGTTTTGCTCGTTGCCCAGGCTGGAGTGCAATGACGCGATCTCAGCTCACTGCAACCTCTGCCTCCCGGGTTCAAGCGATTCTCCTGCCTTAGCTTTTCTGAGTAGCTGCGATTACGGGCGTGCACCACCACGCCCGGCTAATTTTGTATTTTTAGTAGAGACGGAGTTTCTCCATGCTGGTCAGGCTGGTCTCGAACTCCCGACCTCAGGTGATCTGCCCACCTCGGCCTCTTAGTGTTGGGATTACAGGCATGAGCCACCACACCTGGCCTTAATTGTTGTATTTTTAGTAGAGATGGGGTTTCATCATGTTGGCCAGGCTGGTCTCAAATTCCTGACCTCAGGTGATCCACCTGCCTGAGCCTCCTAAAGTGTTGGGATTACAGGCGTGAGCCACTGGGCCTGGCCCTTGTTATAAGACTTCTTAATAAAACTTTCACTCTTGCTCTAAAACTTGCCTCAGTCTCTCCTTCTGCCTTATGCCCCTCAAATTCTTTCCTCTGAGGAGGCAAACAGTACCATGTTGTTTTGGTTCCTATAGTTCTACAGTATAATCTGAAGTCAGGTAATGTGATTTCTCCAGTTTTGTTCTTTATGCTCAGGATGACTTTGGCTATTCTGGGTCTTTTGTGGTTCCATTTAAATTTTAGAATTATTTTTGCTATTTCTGTGAAGAATGTCATTGGTATTTTGATAGAGAATGCATTGAATCTGTAGATTGCTTTGGGTAGTATGGCCATTTTAACAATATCGATTCTTGCAGTCAAAGAACAGGAATATTTTTCCATTTTTTGGTGTCCTCTTCAATTTCTTGCATCAGTGTTTTATAGTTTTTATTGTAGAGATCATTCATGTCTTCAGTGAAGTTTATTCTTAGATATTTTATTTTATTTGTAGCTATTATAAATTGACTTACTTTCTTGATTTCTTTTTCAGATTGTTTGTTGCTGGCATAGAAATGCTATTGATTTTTGTATGTCTGTTTGTATCCTGCAACTTTACCAAATTTATCAGTTCCAGTAGTTTTTCTGCTGGAGTCTTGAGGTTTTTCCAAATATAAGATCATATCATCTGCAAACAAGGATAATTTGACTTTTTCCTTTCCAATTTGGTTGCCCTTTATTTCTTTCTCTTGTCTCATTGCTCTAGCTAGGACTTCCAGTTATGTTGAATAACAACGGTGAAAGTGGCATCCTTGTCTTGTTCTAGATCTTAGAGGAAAGTCCTTTCCCATTCAGTATGATACTAGCTGTGGGTCTGTCATATGTGGATTTTATTGTATTGAGGTATGTCCTTCTATACCCAGTTTTTTGAGGGTTTTATTTAAATCATGAAGGGATGGTTGTTTTTTTTTTTAATTATACTTTAAGTTCTAGGGTACATTTGCACAACGTGCAGGTTTGTTACATATGTATACATGTGCCATGTTGGTGTGCTGAACCCACTAACTAGTCATTTACATTAGGTATATCTCCTAATGCTATCCCTCCCCCCTCCCCCCACCCCACGGGATGGTTGAATTTTAACAAATGCTTTTTCAGCATTAATGGAAATTATCATGTTTTTTGTCCTTCATCCCGTTGATATGATTTATCACATTGGTTGATTTGCATATGTTGAACCATTCTTCAGCTGAAGGAAGGAGTCCTTCTAGAAGCCACAAGCTGTGCTTTCTGTTTTGGGGGAGGGGTGACGTAAACACTCCATTGGCTGCCCCAGCTGGCGTCTCACTAGGTTGTGTGTACCTGAAGTGAACTGGCTCAGAGCCCAGCACAGCACCAGGACTTGTCCAGGAATTGCAGTCCTTGTGGCCTAGACTGCCTTTCATTTAGGACCCCAGAGCACTTTGGTCTGCAGTGGCAGGGCTTGCCAGAAGTCAGGTTCCAACTACTGGGAAGGACAATTCATCTCTGGCTATAAATATCTAGGTGTCTAGGTATCAATATACCTAGCTATCTCTGGCTAGGTATAAATGTTTCCTCCATGGGCGTGGGCTAAATTCTTCTTTGCACTGTGATAGAGTAGCACTGAGTTCCAACGCAGTCTCACAATCTGTTCCCCCACTGCCAGGCACACAGATTCTATCTGCGCCATGTGGCCGCTGCCAGGGCATAGAGAAGTGGTGATGTAGGCCAGTCAAGACTGTCTTTCCTACCTTCTTCCGTGCCTCTTTCCTCAATATACCTCTTTCCAGGTACTGTGATCGCTCACCTGATTTTTAGTTCTTACAAAGGTTTTTGTGTGGATAGTTTTCAGTTTGGTGTTCTTGCAGGGAGATGATCACTGGAGGCTTTTATTCAGCCATCTTGCTCCACCTCTCCTCAACATCTTTTCTTAGAAGCTAAATTATCACTAAAATAGTCTCAGAAATTCAGGTAACCTCAGTTAACTTTGAGATTCAATATTAAATTTTCCCCACATGGTCCAGAAATATTTTATACTACATGTAATAGAACAGTCTGCAAATATGAAAGTTACACAAATACAACTTTAAAAAACTTCCCTTTTTGTCTTCTGGACAGTAATTCAAGTCTAAGTCTTTCTGGTAAATACAGTAGAATTCAGGAGCCGTTTTCCCAGTCAAAACCAAAATTCACATCAGTTCCAAATTAGAAATTCCATTTTTGGTTTTCTTTACTATCCTCCTGTCCCAATTCTGTTTCCAGATTCAGAAAGAGGGAAATTGGTATTCAAATACATGCTTGGCTAAAGTTAATGTCTTCTTTCTTGTTGTCTGGGCTGACCCCTAAGTTGGCACAACTATTCATATTCTGATCTGTTCCTATGGCATCGGTGACATTCAGAGGGTCTGGAGTGTAGCTTCACAGCACAAAAGATCCCACCAAATTGTAGCTGCTTACTTGAGGACACTGTACCTACACATTCTGTTAACGCAGGGAGGTCTGCAGCATGGCTTCCTGCAATTGGCACATCAGCTTTTTCTTCCAGTTAACTTTCAAACTGTCAACCACAGACCAAACACGTGCACATCAGGCCACTCTTTCCTGTCTGAACTTCTAGAAGGGCTGACTCAATTGTCACTGCCAACTCTTATTACCCCCAAACCCCGGCAGATATGTGCTGTGAGAGAAGGGGTGGTAAGCAGAAAACTTTCTACATTATTTTTTCCTCGAATTCTCTCCCATTTCCTGAATGGGAACGGTGTGTATTCAAGCTCTCATTTTGGAAGAACTTTCAGTCATTGCACACTTGCTGTGACATTCTTTAACTATTGTCTTTGTTCTAAGCAAAATGTAGAGATGGCTAAGAAAGGAAATGAAGGCGGGCTGTGGTGGCTCATGCCTGTAATCCCAGCACTTTGGGAGGCCGAGGCAGGTGAATTGCCTGAGGTCAAGAGTTCAAGATCAGCCTGGGCAGGTGAAAACCCATTTCTACAAAAAATACAAAAATTAGCTGGGTGTGGTGGTGGCAGGGGCCTGTGGTCCCAGCTATCCACTGCTTAGGAGACTGAGGTGGGAAGATTGTTTGAGCCTGGGAGGTAGAGGTTGCAAGTGAGCTGAGATTGTGCCACTACACTCCAGCCTGGGTGACCCTGCCTCAAAAAAGAAATTAAACAGTGGTTGATGTCTCAAGGTATTAATGTCACAAAATACTCTACGTAGCCTTCTGCTCTTTTAAGTCTCATCTAAGAAAAGGAATGATTTCTGGACCTTATGATGGATTCTTTGGTAACTGGATTCCCACTTACAGCTATGACAAATACAAATGGCACTGAACTTTTCCTCCCATGTAAGCAACTAGTGAAACAGCTGCTTTCAGACATTAGGTAACAGGCAATGCAGAACTGTGATCCCCAATAAGGAAAACAAATGAGACAAGTCCATGGCTATGTGGAAGCACTTTCTGGGTCATGGCAGAGGGAGAAAGTACCAAGCAGAGCACTGCGGTTAAGAGACAAACGAGTTTAGGGAGGACAGCTGGAATATGTGGGGCACAAGACCGGGGGAAGCTACACATGGAGCTCCTCAGGTCTTTAGCTGAACATGGTAACGTTAGAACTGTGCCTTAGTGCTTCTTTCAACCTTCAGAGAATGCACTTTGACAACTTTTGGCCATTTATCAATTTACATTTCTAATTGAATTTGTTGGAGGGATGAGTACCATTCAAATGAACCATTACTGATTTTATACCTTTTATGGGAGTTTTCACAACTTGCAAAGGGAGAGAAAGCTCATGATCAATCGATGGTGCTAGTTCAGTTTGGCTAGCTACAGCTGTACAGCAGAAATGAAGGTAGAGCCGGAGTGAGTGGCTAAGAAGGGAGTTTAGCCTCTACCCTGACGGCAGTTAAGAACCATTAGTTTAAGTCAGGAGAGGGGGTATGAAACTGGATTTGTTTGGGAATGTTTACTGTAGCTGTAGTGGAGATCATCTTGAGGCAGGCCTGTAGGCAGGATCAGTTAAGTTGCTGTGGCACTGTATGTCCAAACTAAGACTGAATAGAACAGAGGCAACTCAACTATAAAAGTATATTGAAAGATATTTTGAGCTGACTAGAGATGGTGGCTTAAGCAATTAAGCAGCTGAAACTCCAAAGAGCAGAGCAGAGAACATAGTACTGTCAGGACACAGGGTAGGTGGGGAGGGGAAGGTCAGTTTGGAAGGCACTGAGATTTTTTTCTGTGGGATATTTAAGCAGAGACGCATGTTCAGTGTGCAGTTGTTTACATGGCTCAGAAAGGAAATTTCGGTTGGAGACAGACTTGTGAGTCTGCAGATAGGTGCCATCAGCTTAACAATAATTGCTGAAGGTGATCTAAAACATGTATGCAGGATAAAGGACTTTGAAAAGGAAACCAAAACAAAAATATGCCCAAGATCATCCACATGGTTGAGAACAGAATTAAGACAAACCCAGTTCTGTGTAATCCAGTACCTTTGCCCTCTCCACTGTATCTTGCTCAAATGAGAAATGTGAAAAAATTCACTGGAAACTGTAATGTGCTATAAATGTATGAATATCTCTATTAAAACAAAGTAGCTTAACAAAAACCTTTTGCAACACAGTAAGGTAGGTAAATGTGTCACATCAGTGAAGCTTCATTTACCTTTTATTCAAGAGTTCTATGGATTGATTTTATTGCTTTTAATTGTCATCGTGGAAACTAACTTAGAAAAGAAAATGCTGGCCTTGGTCTTATTCAAAGACAGAATATGGGAGGAAGCCAAATGTTCAACCCTAGGTCAAAAGTTTTATTCAGGTTTATGTGGCTTGTGCACTTGCCAGTATTTACTTCAAAAGGTAACAATTCAATTCCAAGATGATTTATTCTATTACAAGTAGTATCACTTAGTATACTTTTGAAACAGGGTACAACTTCTCTGACATTTAAAATCAACAGATGTAGCTGGCATTGTAAAATTTTCTAACATACGAGGTCAACAAACAAACTACACGGCAAGTATTCGGTGTAATACTTTATTTTCTATTGTATTAAACGAAAGCCAGGAAAATACCAAGTTATTTAAAGGCAAATCTTTACTCCTTAAAGAAAAAATACAAACTGTGGTATTTTTAAGAGATCGTTATATTTTACATAATATAAACAAAATCACTAATGCATCTATATGCTTGGTTTCCTTAAACTACAATGAACCACAGAATGGGTGAAAATGCATTTACTTTTTGGTGGCAAATAAACATACTGGAAAAAACACGTAACACATAGCATGCCTTTTTTTCCTTACTGTCTACACACAGGAACTGACATAACCAAGTTTTAATAGCCGCCACCTCCTCTTCCCTGTCCAAAGTAGCCAGTTCCATAGGCCCCCCTACCACCTCCTCGCTGGAATCCCCCAGATCCTCTGTAGCCTCCACTAGGCCCTCTGTAGTCTCCTCCAGAGTTGCCTCTAAAGCCACCTCGGGAAACTCCTCTATAGCCTCCACCAACACCTGCACCATATCCTGCCCGAAAGGAGTTGGCGCTGCCACCATAGCCTCCGCTACCATAGCCTCCACTGCTATAGCCACCGCCATAGCCTCCACCACTGTAACTAGAACCTCCCCTTCTATATCCGCTTCCATTGTCGTATCGGGCCATCTTGGGAGGACGTGGACCATCTCCATACCTAGGAAAAGCACAAAACCATCACTTTAGCAAAGCATTCTTATTATTTCCCAACGACTTACCAAATGTACACATTTAGTTATATTTGAAAATTTAATAAAGGGAATGAAGCCAAATGCACAAATAGAAATTGAAATAAAATTGATCTGCTATTCTAAAACAGTCATCAATTGTATCCATCTGTTTTTCTGAAGTTCTGGTTCAATCTCAAAGGTTTTGAATTTTGGCAGTATGTCATTAGAACTTTAAGACAGTCCTCTTACTCAGTTCAATAACATAAGTGTTCCAAGAAGGCAAGCATTAGGAGAGGGTTCCTGGAGCTGCCAATAAACTATTTGGTCTTTATCACCAGATGTTTTCCTGCAATAATTCTGAAATATGATTTTGAAAAATGTCCTTGGTAATAATGCCTAAATCTGTTTCATGTGGCAAATAAGGAAAATAAAGCGAATAAAAAATTGCAGAAATCAAGATGGACTGTCAACAACTTCAATTAAACATATCCCCAATCTGCTTATTATTCCTGTGCAGCTTTTCTTCGAGAATAACACCACCAATTCAGCAGCTAAGTCAGAAATATGGCTGTGTGGCTGGGTGCAGTGGTTCAGGTTTGTAATCCCAGCACTTTGGGAGGCTGAGGTGGGTGGATCACCTGACGTCAGGAGTTAGAGACTAGCCTGGGCAACATGGCAAAACCCTGTTTCTACTAAAAATACAAAAATTAGCTGGGCGTGGCAGTGTGTGCCTGTAATCCCAGCTGCTCGGGGGGTTGAGGCAGGAGGATCACTTGAACCCAGAAGGCAGAGGTTGCAGTGAGCCAAGATGGCACCACTGCACTCCAGCCTGGACAACAGGGCAAAACTGACTCTCAAAATAAATAAATAAATAAATAAATAAATTTAAAAAAAAATAAAAATAAAAATAAATGACTGTAATCTGTCTTCCTTCTTTCATTGCACTATTCCATTTTAGTCCATCACCAATTCCTATTGATTCTACCACAAATCTGTCTAATCCAGTCACATCTCCCCATTGCAATTCTACTACTGTAATTTAAGCCACCACATATTCATACATCCTAAACTCTCTTGCATATATCCCTTTCTTTCTAGTTTCCGGACTGTTATCCTTCATAGAAACAGATTATATACACAGCGGCTCCTTGCTTACCAGCCCTCCTACCAAAAATAATCTCTCTTCTCCTAAACACCCATGAATACTTCATTTGTTATCTGCCTATGACGGTTATTGAATTATTCTATGCATTTAACCACCTAGGAGGGCCACAGAATAGCATAGTAAGAGCACTGTTTCAGGAGCCATGTTGCCTGGGTTTGAACCTGGTTCTATCAGTTATTAGCTGTATGACCTTGGGTCTTATCTGTGCCTGGTTTCCTTGTTTATATTAAAGAGGATGAGGATAACAATCTACCCATCTTACAGATAGATCAAATGCCAATACATCATTTTTGATGAGGAATTAGAGGTCATTTTTGGATAACTGGAAGAATTTTAGTACCTTAGTATATTATAGTATTACTAAAACACTTAAGGTTTTGGGGTGTGATTGTGGTATTGTGGCCATGTTCTTAAAAGACATGAAGTGTATTGATGTAAAATGTGGTAATGCCTGCTACTTCATCACAAATATTAAGCAAATACAAAATGCTGAAAATTAGTGAACCTAAATAAAGACTATATGGCTATACATTGTATCACTCTTCTTGCCTTTTTGGTAAGTATCAAGTATATGTAAATAAAAATTAGTGGGCAAAGAAAAAATTTTAAAACCTGAAGCAAATAAAAATTTTAAGAATTAAGATAAATTTCTCATTTCTTTAAGATATCCATGCTCTAGTTGTTTAAGATAAACAAAAACACATATACATTTGATACAGAAACAATTTAACATCTCATCAATATTTTTCTTTAGAGATGCCAAAACAGTACCATGGAAAAAGGGCTATCTGGGCTGTGTCACTTCCCTGTCATGTGACCCACTCTGAACTATGTATGTGCATTTGTAAGTTCCTTCTAACACTACCAACATGCACTGATGCAGCAGACCAACTACTAACAAAAAAGTAAATGACATTCTTTGTTCTGAGTATGTTAGAACTCAGAACATCAAACTCTCTATCTATATAGCTCTATCTATATCTAGAATTTTACTTAAGTAATAGGGCTTCTATCACTAACTTCAGGAATTCTAGGCCTACATAAGATCTCTCCCCTCTACTTGGTTCAGTAAGAAGTATATTGGTACTCACCGTGTACTGCCAATCATAAGGTTGATACCAGCAGCTGAGGGTCTAGAGATCTGACGGATCATGTTCAGCATACGTTCATTTACGGGGTCCAACTGGCTGATGATAGCAGGTTGTTTGGTTACTTCAACAACCAAAGCCTCCATGGCTGCCCGGAGACCAGTGATACAGGCAGCAGCTTCATGAGATATTTGCAGTTTAATCCTAAAGTGGCGAAATACATTAAAAATAAGAGAGGGAGTATATGTAGAAAAAGACCATTATCTCTCAACTTCACACATGGCACATTATAGAATAAATTTAACTTCTTAAGCATTAATATTAAAAAAAAAAACTACTTATAATGGCCCCAAACTTAGGCAAACACAGATATGAAGAGTAGTTATAATCAGCACTAGCTTCTTAAAATTCACTGCTAGCTATGAGCAGGAGTCTTAAGCCAAAAAGTCTATCAAGCCAAATAAAATATAATAAAAATATATGCAATATATAATAAACAAAAAACAAAGTCCAGCAATATGGATCATTCAGACTTTCTTTTTTTTTGAGACAGAGTCTTGCTCTGTTGCCCTCGCTGGAGTGCAGTGGCGTGATAGCTCATTGCAACCTCCAACTCCCAGGTTCAAGTGATTCTCCTGCCTCAGCCTCCAGAATAGCTGGGACTACAGGTGTGCGCTACCACACGGGGCTAATTTTTTTGGATTTTTCGTAGAGACAGGTTTCACCATGTTGTCCAGGCTGATCTTGAACTTCCTGAGCCCAAGTGATGTGCCGCACCCAGCCAGATCATCCAGACTTTAAAATAATGAATTTAAGAGACCCAGAATACTGGCATTTTCTAGGTTTTCAAGAATATGATGGCTGAGCCTACTGGCTGTCCATTAAGCTCTATTCCATTTTTGCCCAGTGCTTACCACTAGTTTTGAATCAATATACAGAGTATGTGAAAGGGTACTCAAGCTTCACTTAGATTCTGATTCCATAGTGGTGGTGTGCCTAGTGGTAGACATGGCTCAAATTCCTAATGCATTTGCTTCTACTGGTATCAATTTAAGATTAAGTATATAGTATATAATTAAGTTAGATATAATTAGTATATAATTAAGTTAGATTAGCAGCTGAATTCCATCATATTGTAATTCTAAGAATTCAGTTTGGAGTTCACATCTGAAAATCCATACCAGTCATCTACAAGCACAATCTGCCCATCAGATTGGACTTTCTTGGAGGCAAAGAGAAGCAACTGCAGGGGGGTGACTAAAGTCATGCCTTTAGCAGAGATGGCTCGAGTTCGAATCTGCAAATGGAGAAAGAGACAATACAAAATGGTTGACATTCCAACTTCCAAATACCGCTATATACTGTGCTTTGAAAATCAAAATTCATGTTCCTAATGATTGTAAAGACAATTTCAACTTTCAATGTAAACTTTTCTAGTCTTTTCTTACCTTTTCACCAAATACAAAGAAGGGAGATGGGTACTTCATGTCTTGGCTACTAAAAGGACAATTAACAGATGATTTGTGGATAAGTGCATTACGCCCTTCAGTGGTGAGAATCTTCCTCTTTTCCTTATGATAGCATACATTGGGGTACACACCAAAGGCCAGGAGGGAGATAACAACATCCAAATTATTATCTGGTCCAGTGTTAGTAAACACTTGTGTCAACAAACAATCTGTTAAGAGGAGCACAGTGAAAACAAAAATCAGATAACTGGCTGATCTTCACATTACATGCAAACTATTTAAGATAATTCAGAGAACTGACTCTTCCTCACTCTTTTCACATAACCTGTCTGTAAAACTTTCTCTTCTCAGAATCCTTACACCCAGATTAAGTTCAAGGAGTAATGTTACTGAGTTTCCACAATAAGAAAACGAAAACGTCTCTATTCTCTTATAGACTCAACCATAAATAAGCTTGGGGTGATTACTTTTTTTTTTTTTTTTTGAGACGAGTCTCGCTCTGTCGCCCAGGCTGGAGTGCAGTGGCGCCATCTCTGCTCACTGCAAGCTCTGCCTCCCGGGTTCATGCCATTCTCCTGCCTCAGCCTCCCAAGTAGCTGGGACTACAGGCACCCGCCACCACGCCCGGCTAATTTTTTGTAGTTTTAGTAGAGACGGGTTTCACCGTGTTAGCCAGGATGGTCTCGATCTCCTGACCTCGTGATCCACCTGACTCGGCCTCCCAAAGCGCTGGGATTACAGGTGTGAGCCACTGCGCCCGGCCGGGGTGATTACTTTTTAAAGTCCCCCAATCAACCATCTACTCTGAGAATAAGAGCTTGACTGATAGGACCACAAAGTATTTATCTGCTACTCTTAAATAGCTGTTAGTTGTAGAGAAGATGGAGATAATCTAAGAGGACACCTACTGGAATGAAGGCTGACGTTTTTACCCAGTCTACACTTTGAGTACTTAGCTACTGACTGGAAAGCATGACAGTCAACCGCTGAAAGCACAGACATATTTTGTTCTAGACAAACGAGTTCTAGTCTTATAGCCTCCTAATTGGATGAATTAAAGACAATTTATACCTTGGTGCCTGTTTCATTACCTGTAAAATTCATCTCAAGATTCTAGCACATGAAGTTTTCCCTTTCTTATAATTTTGAGGAAAAACTAAAATTTCGGCTGGCTTATGACAGAAGAGAACCACTCACTACTTTGTTTAGTTATTCCAATTACAGCCTTTAAAAATTTACCATCTTGCCCAACTACCTTCTGTCTCTCAACAGTCTTATTTCTGGTTATGCATTCCAGTTCTCAATGTTTTAGGAAGTAATTCTATATTTTAACCTAGTTGGAAAAGAAAAGTACTACAGCTCATCAAGAAACATGGGTTGGTTTTTTTCTATGTTAGATGTCATAAAGTCCTTTAATCATCTGTACACCGAAAGTATAAATTAAAGTCATTTAAAATTTAATGTGGTAGAATTTACTTCAAGTCTAAATGCTAATAAATTACTTTGCAAACCACTATAAGGTTATCAGCAAAGTACTCATTCTGGGAACTAGACCAGTGTTCACGAGAACTAAGAAATAGTCGGGAATATATAAAAATCATAGGGTCTAAAATTTGAAACTAAAATACACTTTGCTGTCAATTTGCATGTACTATATAAATGTCACTTTAAAGATATCTTAAGAATGGAAGAAGTCTTACCTTCTGGAAACCCAGAATTAATCAAAATCTCTTTGAGCTGAACTTTGGCTTCCCAAGTCATTCTTAGTGTAGCCATATTAAGTCTTTTGTG